>NW_017852933.1:321185-642371 GCF_000001405.40 Homo sapiens | reverse complement strand
AAACCATCCTGGCCAACATGGTGAAACCCCGTCTCTACTAACAATACAAAAATTAGCCGGGCGTGGTGGCACGCGCCTGTAGTCCCAGCTACTCAGGAGGCTGAGGCAGGAGAATGGCTTGAACCCGGGAGGCCGAGGTTGCAGTGAGCCGAGATCGCACCATTGCCTGGGAGACAGAGCCAGACTCTGTCTCAAAAAAAAAAAAAAAAAAAAAAGATTTTTTTCCCCTTTGGTTTTTAGAAATGTTTTTTTTGAGATTGCTTAGGACCAGAATTTGCAAAGTTGAAAATAGGAACTCCACTAGTAATGCCGGATAGAAGAGTGCTTCACATTTGTAGAGGGAGACAAGAACTAAATATCACAACTTCTTTCTGAGCCTTTTGGTTTGCTAACGTGCCCCAAATTCTTATTCCAAATGGTATAAGATAATTATGTGTAAATGAATACTGGCTCTACTTAGTTGTATTTCATATTTGTGTATCTGAATATATTAAAATGTCATTCGTTTTTTTTTTTTTTTATGCAGAGTCTTGCTCTGTTGTCCAGCCTGGAGTGCAGTGGCATAATCTCGGCTCACTGCAACCTCTGCCTCCCAGGTTCAAGTGATTCTCCTGCCTCAGCCTCCCGAGTAGCTGGTATTGCAGGAGTGTGCCATTAGCCTGGCTAATTTTTGTATTTTTAGTAGAGATGGGGTTTCATTGTGTTGGCCATGCTGGTCTTCAACTCCTGACCTCAAGTGATCCTCCTGCCTCGGCCTCCCAAAGTACTGTGATTAGTGTCATGAGTCACCACACCTGGCCTAAAAGATCATTGATTTAGTTTTGAGTAAGATTTTAAGTGATTAAATTATGGTATTGTTGTGTTTGGAATATCTGATATTAGGGTTTTTTTTTTTTTTTTTTTTTTTTTACAGTTTTTGATATGCTTTATTTTGGGTATGTAGTTTAAAAAATATAAAGGAAATATAAGGAATATTCTTTTTTTTTTTTTAAAATAAAAAATGTATTTTTAACTGGGCATGGTGGCTCACTCCTGTAACCCCAGCACTGTGGGAGGCTGAGGCTGGTGAATTGCCTGAGTCCAGGAGTTTGAGACCAGCCTGAGCAACATGGTGAAACCCTGTTTCTATCAAACAAAAAAAAAAAAAAAAAAAAAAAGGAAAAAAAATAAGTTGGGCATGGTGGCATGCACCTGTAATCGCAGCTAGTTGGAGGCTGAGGCAGGAGGATCACTTGTGCCTGGGAGGTTGAAGCTACAGTGAGCTATGGTCAAGCTACTGCACTCCATTATAGGCAACCCTGTCTCAAAAAAGCAAAACAAAATGAAACATTTTCCCCTTGATTATAGAGGTTTGAGAAAAATTTGAGGGAAGATTCAGAAAATTACCTGTAACTGAACAGAATGCCACCAGCTTGGGCTTATTCTGCATGCATAATTATGAACATTTTCCCAGCTCTTGTGAAAATTCTCACATTCATAGAAAGATAGATGCACCAGTAAAATAAATACCTGTAAATACGATAATAATTTCATAATATATGCTTCACCTAGATTTACCAGTTACTAATATTTTGCCACAGTTTTATTTTCTCACACACTTTTGTTGAGCATCTGAAAACCATACACATGATGACAGTTCACCCCATAATGTTTTAGTATGCATCTCCCAAGAATAAGGTTTTTCTTCTGTATAACAAGAATATTGTAATCATACCTAAGAAAATGAATTTTATTACATATGTGTTCTATATTCAAATTTCTGTAATTACCCCAAGATGTCTTTTAAATGATTTTTAGCATTGATAGTCTGTGCCTGTGTAGATTATAACATTGGCTATTGCAAAATAATGGTTTTCTTTTTCTCTTTTTTTTTTTTTGAGACGTAATCTTGCTCTGTTGTCCAAGCTGGAGGGCAGTGGCACGATCTCGGCTCACTGCAACCTCCGCCTCCCAGGTTCAAGCAGTTCTCTTGCTTCAGCCTCCTGAGTAGCTGGGATTACAGGCATGTGCCACTGTGCTCTGCTAATTTTTATATTTTTAGTAGAGACGGAGTTTCATCATGCTGGCCAGGCTGGTCTTGAACTCCTGACCTCAGGTGATCCACCTGCCTCGTCCTCCCAAAGTGCTGGGGTTACAGGTGTGAGCCACTGCACCCAGCCTAAAATGATGGTTTTCTGATTCTAGCATTTCTTTGATAAGATTGCTATGTAAAGCACAGCTTTTCCTTTTTTAGGGAAAAATGTTTTTTAACAGCTGCAAAATAAATATTCTTTCAATGGAATGACAAATAGTTATTTATTATTTTATTTTTGCCATATATTTATTTTAAAAATTTATGTATAATGGTAACCTGAGCCTGCATGTTATTCATGTGTGGTGCCATACTGATCTTCCTTAATTTTAATATGAAGCAAGTACTAATATACTAAAGCATAAATTATATAAAATTTGCTTTATATTTTGGATTGCAAAGTAATTGTTGTACTTTATAGAAAAGTTTCCCAAATCCATTTTACTTTTTTGTATTTGAAATTTAATCACAGGTAGAATCTTAAAGAGAGCATTTAGGGATATTGTAAACAGATGTTATTAAGGACTAATGTTAACTGATGTCAAAGGACTAATATTAACAAACATTGAAGAAGAGAAAACAGTATCTGTTTTTAGCTTAACAGCTTAGTGGAGCGAAATATTTTCAGTTTATTTATTTTATTTATTTATTAATTTTTTTTTTTTTTTTTTTTGAGATGGAGTCTGGCTGTATTTCCCAGGCTGGAGTGCAGCGGTGCAATCTCAGCTCACTGCAACCTCTGCCTCCTGGGTTCAAGCAATTCTTGTGTCTCAGCCTCCCAAGCAGTTGGGATTTACAAGTCAATTCTTTTTTTTTTTTAACTAAAACTACAGAATCTATTTTTCTTGGTCTCATACTCAGGTTTTTATGTAGGCACTTCGTAAATAATGAACCTAATTTGCTTGTTTTCTCCCTATTTTGTTGAATGTTCACGGTTTGTAACTTTTATTTTTAAGCTTGTAATGACCAGCCTGCAGTCAATTCTTGAAAATGTGGATACACCAGAATTGCTTTGCAAATGTGTTAAGTGCATTCTTTTGGTGGCTCGATGTTACCCTCATATTTTCAGCACTAATTTTAGGGTGAGTTCCTCATTCCGCTGTTCAGATCATGGGGTGAGGGGGATGGTTGTGTGTGTGAGGAACTGAGGAATCAGATGGAAAACAGTGCCTCTGCTCCTTTGAATATAATCAGTGATATTTGAGGTTCCAGGGTTAAATGCCGCATTTTTCTTTCTGACGTTCGTACCTTAAAATATTTGAAGAAAATAAACTATTTCATTGTTGTCAGAAATGTAGTTCTTTTATTTTCCTGCCCCTCTCCCCTTTCTAAGTTTCTAGAATGTCAAGTAGGTAGAACATAGATGCTCCTTTTAGGATCTTTTGCTGTGAAATGGTCCACAGGTGGATTGCAGTAATATCTTAAAATGATTGGCCCCCTCTCTCTTTGTTTCCATCAAGGATACAGTTGGTATATTAGTTGGATGGCATAGAGATCATACTCAGAAACCTTCGCTCACGCAGCAGGTATCTGGTAAGTCTTGCAGCCTATACCAGTTATTTAAATACTGTCGGGGAGGAGCAGTGGTCCCCCAGTGACCATCTATCAATACCATTTCTTTAATAATGCAAGAAAACTAATTCAGAGAAATGTTTTATTGTAAATGAACATGACTTGTTAGCTAAATATATATTTTCAGAGGAAATTACTAGTAGGTGGGTAGAGTAAGTACAGACAGGACTTACCCAAGTTATTTGTAGTTTGTACTGGTAGGAAAGTATATGGTAAGAATATATTGCAGTGGCAATACCCTGAAGTGGACAATGGAAGATCCAAGTTATTTGTCACATTTTATTGTTTTTCTGGTTATTTTTTTAAAAAAGGAAATATAGGGTTAATTTGGAGAATTGTCATAAATGAGAAGTGGTTTTGTTTCCCACTTTTTTGGAGTTAAGTGAATGACTAGCGTGGCTCATTTGCACATTTCAGCTTGTTTCAAGTGTCATAGTTTCTCGTAACTTACTTGGTGTAATAAACTTTTGAAAATAAGATATTCAGGTGATAGTGGTCTGTTTCATTTTCACTGAGGAGATGAGTATACACCTTTAATGGTTAGATGTGGCCCTGGGATTAGCCGGGCCAATGGTAGATTGTGGCATTTTAGTCTTAAGTCATGTGTAGTGACAATATAGATATGAAATTTACTGAAAAAGTAAGGAAATAACATTTACCTGTTAATTTCTGCAGAAATTAAGGAGGTATTAATTAAAGAGGTATTGGTTAATCGTGATCAGCATGTTTAGCAGTCTTAATTTTATGATATAGGACATGTTTTAGGGTATGCTGCTTGAAAACCAGATACTTTTTAAAAGAAGCCTCTTATTTTTTTTAATTTGGATTTTTTGGTGTTTTTTCTCCCCCCTACCCTTTCACAATTTCTTACGCGATTCCAAGGGTGGTTGCAGAGTTTGGAGCCATTTTGGGTAGCTGATCTTGCATTTTCTACGCCTCTACTTGGTCAGTTTCTAGAAGACATGGAAGCATATGCTGAGGTGAGTATATAGAAAGCTGTTTCTTAAAATTTTGGTTAAGAAAAAATCTTAAATTGTGCTAGATTTATTTTAAAATGGCTCAGACCTCCTGACATTTAAGCAGAAATTACAAGCCCATTGCAATATTTTGAAAAATTTTTTCTTTTTGAGACGGAGTCTCGCTCTGTCACTCAGGCTGGAGTGCAATGGCACGATCTCAGCTCACTGCAACCTCCACCTCCTGGGTTCAAATGATTCTCCTGCCTCAGCCTCCCGAGTAGCTGGAATTACAGGTGCCCGCCACTACGCCCAGCTAATTTTTGTATTTTTAGTAGAGACGGGGTTTCACCATGTTGGCCAGGCTGGTCTCAAACTCCTGACCACTGGTGATCCAGCCGCGTCGGCCTCCCAAAGTGCTGGGATTATAGGCATGAGCCCCCGTGCCCAGTCAGTATTTTAAACATTTATTTCAGATGTGTTTAAGTTACCAGGAGAATTACTGGAGAGACTAAAAGAAACGTTGCAAGCTTCGTATTTCGCAAAGCTTTACATACTCTCGGTAGCTGGTATTTTTCTAAAGACATATTTTGTTATTTATTTTTATTTTTTGTTCCCAGTCTTCAGAGTCTTAAAGCAAATTGATGTTGTGTTATAAAAAAACACAAAACACCAAAAGCTCCTAAAGATTTTCCTCTTACATATGTACAGGAGATCTTGAATCGTACTTTGGAGGACAAGCCTTGGCTTCAGCCAGCTTTTGTGGCTGTACGAATATAGCATAGGAGCTTTAAGAGCGCTGCTGAAGCCTCTGTTACTGGTACTTGGCTTTTCTGGCCCCACTGTCATGGCTTAACTCTGTGCCATCTCTTATCTGAATCTCTTTGTGTTTCTCCCCTATTCAGATCAACCAGTCAAGGCTCCCATAAAGATTTTGGCCTCATCTTGTTTTTTTCATCTTTGCTGCTTGTAGTCAACAGGAATTCAGTACCTTTAGCTGTACTGATGTGTTTACTCTTTCCTAGAAAAGCAAGGAAATGTTTTGCTTCTGCGTTGTTTTTTCTTTGCCCCCACACCTAGAATGTCTTTTTTCACAGCCCACGTTTAAAGCTGATCTACCTCTCATAAGCCACACATTCTAGTTTGTAGAGATGCTTCCCCTTGTTATCCTTAAGATCTCATTCTCTTCTGTTATTTTGGTGCTTAATTTTAGGTAGATGTATACATTGGTTCTGGTATCCTAGTTTTTGCGAATCTTGTCCTTTTCATATATCGTACTTCTTCAGTTACACATCTGTAGACCAGGTCTTGTAATCTCCCTTTGCTCTTCATGTGCATGCTCTTGGTTTGGAGGACTTACTGTTGAGCTGAGTGGCTCAAAGAATACCTAGAATGAGATTTTTAGCCAAAAACTAATTCAGGAGTGGCAAAAGCTTCCGTCTTCATTTATACCTACATATAACTAGAGCATATGTGCTAGAATTTATTTTTCCCCAACAGCTTTCTGAGTTGATTTAAGAGATTATTTCCTTAATTTGTTGTCTATTGGGTTTAATGTTGGCTTTTTGAAATAATTAGGTAAAACCCATTTTTATATTCAGAGTCATGAATATTCTCATGGGCCACAGTTCTCTTTCTAAAAGCCTAAAAATCTATTCTAAAATGAATTGATTGAAATATTTTAGAGTTTTTTTTTGTTTTGTTTTGTTTTTTTAAACAATGTACTACTTATTAAGAATGCTGTGAATTCACATCTAGGACCTCAGCCATGTGGCCTCTGGGGAATCAGTGGATGAAGACGTCCCTCCTCCATCAGTGTCATTACCAAAGCTGGCTGCGCTTCTCCGGGTATTTAGTACTGTGGTGAGGAGCACTGGGGAAAGCCTCAGCCCAATTCGGGCCCTCCAATTACTGAGGCATACGTAACAGATGTAAGTGCTTTTGGGCATTTGAAGTGTCATTCAAAAATAAAATTGTTTTACATTGTAAATGCTTCTCTTTACCAGGTGAACTGTTATTAATCCTTCATTTGTTTAGCATGTATGTATGTATGTATATATGTATATATTGTCTGACTGCTTTCTTAAACAACCAGAAAAGCAGGGAATCCTGTTATAGCTCATCCTCCTTTCATCCAACTCCCCTACCCTCCCATGACAAAAGGCCACTCTGAATTTTTAAATCTCATTCTTTCATTTTTAAATAATATTTCTTATAATTTTACTTTTAAATTATTGGGTTTCCTTTTAGTTTTTCAACATATTACGAATAGCACACTATAGGAGAAGCCTCAGAAAGTAATCTTCTCTGAGCATAAGATGGAACTCATATGAAAACTTGTGTATCTTTATATTCTTTGATAGCCTGATATCAAAGAACATAAACAAATTAAAAATGAGGTAGCTAGATTGCCACACTTCAGCAGCCTCAGACATTAGCTGCACTGTATATAGCACATCCAGTGAGGGTTCAGTGGAAAAGACACAAGAAATGAACCCCAGGCATTGTACTCTGCTTTGAATAAGGAGAAAGAAGCATGTGTGATACAGTCATAAAAAATTTAATCTAACTGATGAAAATTTTACCGTTAGGATAAAACTTGCTTTTAGGAGCATATACTTTTGCTGAACATGTTGCTAAATAAAATAGGATATTGATTATATAGTAAGTTGTGTACTTGAGCAGAAATGTCAGAACTTAAAGATAAACCGGCATATCGGTATTTTAAACCAATATGGTTTCAAAATGGTTTAATATCTTTGCTTCATTTTTAATGTCTAAAAGGTGGTTGTTTGAAGACTGTACAGAGTTGAAATAAAAAGCCGTTAATTCAGACATAAAATAAAGGGGACATAATTTATAGGATAGGTGTATATTGATTTATGAGGATCTTTTAGGCCTTTGAGAATGGTAGAATGGTGGGGTTTTTATTTTTTTTATTTATTTTTGGAGCTGGAACCTCACTCTGTCACCCAGGCTGGAGTGTAGTAGTTCAATCATAGCTCACTGTAGTCTTGAACTCTTGGGCCCAGGTGAACTTCCCACCTCACTCAGCCCTACAAGCGGGTGTCACCATACCCAGCTTTTTTTTTTTTTTTTCCTTTTTAAAGTGGGGTGGTGCCATCACGACTCAGTGCAGCCTCTATCTCTTGGGCTCAAGTGATCCTCCCAGCATAGCTCCTGCTAATTTTTTATTTTTGTAGAGATGGGGTCTCAGTGTTTCCCAGGCTGGTCTTGAACTTTTGGCCTCAAGCAGTCTTCCCACCTCAGCCTCCCAAAGTGTTGGGATTATAGACATGAGCCACTGTGCATGCATGGCCAAGAATGCTTCCCCCTCCGCCCTCTCCCCCCCACTCTTTTTTTTTTGGAGACATGGTCTCTGTTGTCCAGGCTGGAGTGCAGTGGCACGATCTTGGCTCACTGCAGCCTTGACCTCCCAGGCTTAAGTGATCCTCCCACCTCAGCCTCTCAAGTAGTTGGTGGGACTACTGGTGTGAGCCACCACACCCAACTAATTTAGAAACAAATTTGGTAGAGATGAGGTGTTGTTATGTTGACATGGCTGGTCTCAAACTCCTGGACTCAAGAGAACCTTCCAGCTAATCCTCTCAAAGTGCTAGGATGATAGATGTGAGTCACTATGCCCAACCTCTAAGGATACTTTTAATGAAAACTATGGGTAGACTAAATAAAATCCTGTATGTATTGGTTGTTAAATATTATAGAAATATTTTTTAACATTTGCTCTGTTTTCTCCCCTATTTTATTAGAAATTTAGTACACAATTATTGGCCATTATAGTTAAGTGGGGGATTTTGTGTGTGTGTGTATTGGAAATAATATGATTTTTGAAGATATTATGTGGCAAGCATGAGAGTGCTTATCTTTCAAAAGAGACCATCAGTAGATAGAAACTTTAATAAGCTTAAAGTGACTTGTATGTTCAGTTTTGAAAGATTGATTCCCAAAAGCCCAAGAGCTAGCTTGTAGTATGTGTGGGCAGGCTATTCCCATGCTGTCAATACCATTACTGTCGTGGTGTATTTCATGATAAAGATTCTGAGCTTCAGCCATTTAGTGACATTGGGAGAAACGAAGTTGGGTATGTGGGAAATAGAGGATGGCAGCTTCCATTTCCTGTCATAGTAGCACTTTAGGATTTTTTAGCCAAGATCATGTTTACATATTGTAGTAAAGGCATCATTATTATTCAGCTACTGAGAACTAGAATATTAAGAGACTGCTGGCAAGGCAAGCAGTTAATTTTCAGTTGAAATTGCATTAAATAGAAAGTATTTTCTTGCTTTGTGGAAGCACGTGAATTTTTTTAAAAAGCTGCTGGTTTTCCCCATTTACAGGTTCTGTACAGAGTAATGAGATGTGTGACGGCTGCAAACCAGGTGTTTTTTTCTGAGGCTGTGTTGACAGCTGCTAATGAGCGTGTTGGTGTTTTGCTCGGCAGCTTGGATCCTAGCATGACTATACATTGTGACATGGTCATTACATATGGATTAGACCAACTGGAGAATTGCCAGACTTGTGGTACCGATTATATCATCTCAGTCTTGAATTTACTCACGCTGGTATGTGAATTATTCTTTTCCTTTTTAATGTGTTGGTTTATTCAGGCCCTTAAATGGATATGTAAGAAATTAAGGGCTTTGTCTGGGTATGGTGGCTCATGCTTGTAATCCCAGCGCTTTGGGAGGCCAAAGCAGAAGGGTTGCTTGCATCCAGGAATTCTGGCACAGCTTGGGCAATGTAGTGAGACCCCATCTGTACAAAAAGTCAAAAATTAGCTTGGTGTAGTGGTGTGCACCTGCAGTCCTAGCTACTCGGGAGGCTGATGGAGGAGGATCGATTAAGCCCAGGAACTTGAGGTTGAAGTGAGCTCTGATTGTGCCACTGCACTCAGCCAAGGTGACAAAAAAGGCCCTGTCTCCAAAAAAGAAAAAAAATAAGGGTTTTGCTTTATTATATAATTTTTTTAGAGTACATTCATCAGTCTTATAATCTGTGCTTTCATTTTAGTGTCTATTTACTTTTATTTTTAATGCAATTTTTTTTTTGAGACAGGGTCTCACTCCGTTGCACAGGATGAAGTGCAGTGGCATGATTTTGGCTCACTGTAGCCTTGACCTCTTGGGTTCAGGTGATCCTCCCACCTCAGCCCCCCAGGTAGCTAGGACTACAGGCGTGCACCACCACACCTGGCTAATTTTTTATATTATTTTGTAGAGATGGAGTTTTGCCATGTTGCCCAGGCTGGTCTTGAATTCTTGGGCTCAAGCAATCCACCTGCCTTGGCCTCCCAAAGTACTGGGATTATAGGCATGAGCCACTCTGCCAGGCCTCTATTTTTAGTGGTTGATAGCTAGTCTCAGTGTAGCTTTACTCGTTTTTTCTGAGGAAACATTGCTCTACGCACCAGATTCTTTTTTTCTTTTCTTTTCTTTCTTTTTTTTTTGGTCACAGGATCTTGCTGTATTCCCCTGGCTGGAGTGCAGCGGTACAATCAGAGCTCACTGCAGCCTCAAACTCCTGGGCTCAAGTGATCCTCCCACTCAGCCTCCCGACTATCTGGGACTACAGATGCATGCCACCATGCCTGGCTAACCTTTATATTTTTTGGAGAGAAGGGGTCTCGCTACATTGTCTAGGCTGGCCTTAAATTCTTGGTCTCAAGTAATCCTCCTGCCTTGCCCTCCCAAAGTGCTGGGATTACAGGTGTGAGCAATCATGCCTGGCCTCCTTTAATTTTTTTTTTTTTTTTTTTTTTTTTTTTTTTTTGAGACGGAGTCTCGCTCTTTTGCCCAGGCTGGAGTGCAGTGGCACAATTGTATTTTTAGTAGAGACGGGGTTTCACCATGTTAGCCAGGATGGTCTCGATCTCCTGACCTCGTGATCTGCCTGCCTTGGCCTCCCAAAGTGCTGGGATTACAGGCGTGAGCCACCGCGCCCGGCCGGCCTCCTTTAATTTCTTAACCATAAATATCCTCCCCCCACTTTTATTATGGACGTTCTGAAGCACATAAAAATAGGGAGCATAGTATAATAAATTTGTACATATTTAACACTCAGCTTCTATAATTAGAAACAAATGGCCCATCTGGTTTCATCTAGGCCTCTTTGCTATCCTTTCATCTCCAACTGGATTATTTTAAAGCAAATTCTAGATGACATTCTGCTGAGCATTTCTGCCAGAATTACACCTCTCTTTGCTAATGTGAAAAAATGCCCATGATAACTGTAAAATACGTGTGTCCTATTTAGGTGTCTAAACACTTTAATGTCACAGTATTAAGGCCTTAAAATATAGCTTAGATATATTTTTCTAAATTAAAAGACTTCATTTTTTAGATATACAGAAAATTGAGCAGAAAACAGTGAGTTCCCATATACCTTCTTCATCCCAACAGTTTCCCCCTCATTAACATATTGTGTTAGTGTGGTACATTTATTACAAAGGAGTGAATATTGATATATTATTATTAACTAATTTTATAGTTTACTTTGTGTTATGTATTCTATGGACTTTAACATGTGTAATGACATGTTTCCCCTATTACCAGTATCATACAGGATAGTTTCACTTCCCTAAAAATCTTTTATGTTCTACCCACTCCTTCCTCGTTCCCTCTCCCCACTCCTCCCTCCCCCCATCTTAAGCCCATGGCAACCCCTGATCTTTTTACTGTCTCCATCGTTTTGCCTTTTCCAGAATGCCATGTAGTTGGAGTCATATAGTATGTAGCCTTTTCAGTTGGCTTCTTTCACTTACCAGTGTGCCTTGAAGGTTTCTCCATGTCTTTTTGTAATTTGAGAAGCTCATTTTTTAAAAATTTTATTCTTTTAGATTGTTGAACAGATAAATACGAAACTGCCATCATCATTTGTAGAAAAACTGTTTATACCATCATCTAAACTACTATTCTTGCGTTATCATAAAGAAAAAGAGGTAAGTAATACACTGATAATGAATTTTGACAACTTGAGTCACTGAAGAGTTGGACCTAATGTTGCTTACCCCAGGCTATATAAGTGAAATTGAGTGAAATGTGAAATGTTTGATTTAGAATATAGTGATTGTATTTGTTCTTTTAAATTTATATTTCTTGATAATCATACTGAATACTTTCATGAATGGTGTGCCAGATACTCTTTTCAGACTATGCATCTTTTGCTGTTATTAAATTTATTAAATTTTCATAAGGGTAAAACAAGTTGACACATTTATAAAGTTATAAATTAAGAAGTACTGTATATTTGGTAAACAAAAATGACTGGCTTTTCAACCACCCCCTAGTCAAATCCACCACAGACTTTCCTGGTAGATTTAAGAAACCCAGTCTTAAACTGCTGTTTGCATATGTCTTTTGATGTTGATTATTAAAAAAAAAAAACAAAAACGGCCATTTTGGAAATTTCCTATTGACAGTTTTCATTTATAGTACTCTTTATTTGTGATAAAACTTAATAGATTTGAAATAGCATACTGATCTGTGTCAGTTTTCTGATTGGTTTTTAAAAAATTAAAATATTAAATGCTACAGACAGTGAATTGATCGATCTTAAATTTATTTGTATCATCAGCACTAATACAGATAGTGATTTATTTTCCATATAATTTTAGAAGATTTATTTTCCATTTATCACTTCCTTGAATTTTTTGTTTTTCAGGTTGTTGCTGTAGCCCGTGCTGTTTATCAAGCAGTGCTCAGCTTGAAGAATATTCCTGTTTTGGAGACTGCCTATAAGTTAATATTGGGAGAAATGACTTGTGCCCTAAACAACCTCCTGCACAGTCTGCAGCTTCCTGAGTCCTGTTCTGAAATAAAACATGAGGCTTTTAAGAATCATGTGTTCAATGTAGACAATGCAAAATTTGTAGTTAAATTTGACCTCAGTGCCCTGACTACAATTGGAAATGCCAAAAACTCACTAATAGGGGTGAGTCTTTAATTGTAATGACTTTGTTTTATCCACATTACATATTTATGTATTTCACTGTTATGTCAACATGTCTGCAGAATCACTGTATGTAACAAACAGCCATATTTAAGACATGCCTGGATAAATAAAATTGGTAGGAATGTTTTCTTGCCATTATATTTAACTTTTCTTCTTTTTCCTTGACAAATCTTGATAAGTTTTTTTATATTAGTTTTATTTTCTAGAAAATGTCTTATGAATTTCTCCTATTTGCTCTAGCATGCTTACAGAAAATGTCAGTGTTTCTTACAGCTCAAATTTGTATAGTTGTTTTAAAATGCGGTCTCTTTCTTCTTCCCCTGGTACTTTTTTCTTTCTGTGTACTGAAGTTAGTTCTTATACATGGTCTTATATTTTGGCTGTCTCTTTTTCCCTAGGAACATTCATACAGGTTGAATATTCCTTATCTGAAATACTTGGGACTGGAAGTGTTTTCGATTTTGGATTTTGGAATACTTTTTTTTTTTTTTTGGAGATAGTGTTTTTACTCTTGTTGCCCAGGCTGGAGTGCAATGGCGCGATCTTGGCTCGCTGCAACCTCCGCCTCCCGGGTACAAGCGATTCTCCTGTTTCAGCCTCCCAGGTAGCTCGGATTACAGGCATGCACCACCACCCCTGGCTAATTTTTTTGTATTTAGTAGAGATGGGTTTTCACCATGTTAGCCAGGCTGGTTGTGAACTCCTGACCTCAGGTGATCCACCTGCCTTGGCCTCCCAAAATGCTGGGATTACAGGTGGGCACCACCATGCCCAGCCGGAGTTTGGAATATTTTCATAACACTTACTGGTGAGCATCCCTAATCTGAAAATCCTAAATCTAAAATGCTCCAAAATTTGAAACTTTTTGAGCACCAGTATGATGCCCCAAGTGGAAAATCCCACACCCGACCTCATGTGATGAGTCCAAACTGTTGTATGCCCAAAATTATTTAAAATATTGCATAAAATGACCTTCAGGCTATGAATAGAAGGTGTCTATGAAACATAAGTGAATTTCGTCTTTAGACTTGGGTCCCATCCCCCACATATCTCATTTTATATATATGCAAGTATTCTCAAATCCAAACATATACAAAGTCTGAAACACTTCTGGTCCCAAGCATTTTGAATAAGGGATACTGAACCTGTAGTCTTCCTTTTGGTGGTGGTGGGGGGACTTTTTTTTTTTTTTTTTTTTTTTTTTTTTGGGGGAGACAGAGTCATGCTGTTGTCAACTGGGCTGGAGTGCAGTGGTGCAATCTCGGCTCACTGCCACCTCTGCCTCCCGGGTTCCAGCAATTCTCCTGCCTCAGCCTCCCGAGTAGCTAAGATTACAGACACTTGCCACTACGACGGGCTAATTTTTGTATTTTTAGTAGAGACTTGGTTTCACCATGTTGGTCAGGCTGGTCTCAAACTCCTGACCTCAGGTGATCCACCTGCCTCAGCCTCCCAAAGTGCTGGAATTACAGGCATGAGCCACCGCGCCCAGCCCGTGTGGTTTTTTTTTTTTTAAGTAATTCGACATGGCCCTGCTCTTGATTTGTATTTATTGTTTATGGTTTGTGTATTTCTTCTTCCTATTGGACCACACAGAGTTGAAAAACATCATTTTTAATAGAAAATAATAGGTGTAGGCTGGGCACGGTTGCTGACACCTGTAAACCCAGCACTCTGGGAGGCCAAGTCAGGCTGATCACCTGTGGTCAGGAGTTTGAGACCAGCCTGGCCAACATGGTGAAAGCTCGCCTCTACTAAAAATAGAAAAATTAGCCAGGGGTGGTGGTGCACACCTGTAATCCTAGCTACTTTGGAGGGTGAGGTAGGAGAATTGCTTGAACCCAGGAAGTGGAGGTTGCAGTGAGCTGAGATCACACCACCGCACTCCAGCCTGGGCTACAGAGCCAGACTCTGTCTCAAAAGAAAAAAAAAAAAAAGAAAGAAACAAAGAAAGAAATGGATGTAATTAGGGAATAAAGTTTTTAGGAGGAAGAAGGTAAAATTTGATGTTTGCGCTTCAATGTGCTCCGTGTTGTTTGATTGGATTGCCTTGTATAATTCCATAGCTGCTTCGCTTATTACCAGTTACAGTTTATGTTTGAAGTCACAATAAACTCTTCTTCAAACATGAAAGCTTGATTTTTGAGGAAAATTATTCACATTATTTACAGATTCAAAGATGTTTATGTCCTGTACTCTAGAAATAAGGAGAAAGTGGGTGGGGATGGGGCAGTCAGGTGGAGTGGAGTGTCTTGGCAGTGTAAAGGAAAAAGATGGATGGAAAAGGTGTAGGGTGGCAGGGTGTGCCTCTGTTTCCTTATTGAACAGGGCACCTTGCCATTTGCAGTATATGGAAAATTGAGGAAATACAGTCTACTTCCGCAAAAGGCACATACAAAGGGCTCTGTTTAGACCAGAGATCAGCAAACTATGGTCTGTGGGCCAAATACAGCCCAGCACCTGTTTTTTGTCTGTTATTTTAAGTGTATAATTCACTGATTTTTACTATATTCACAGAAGTGTACAACCATCACAACACTAGTGCCTGTTTTTGTAAAGAAAGTTCTTGTTGGGCTGGGCGCAGTGGTTCACGCCTGTAATCCCTCGGGAGACTGAGACAGGCAGATCACCCAAGCTCAGGAGTTCAAGACCAGCCTGGCCAACATGGTGAAACCCTATCTCTACTAAAAAAATACAAAAGTTAGCAGGGCATGGTGATGGGCACCTGTAATCTCAGCTACTTGGGAGACTGAGGCAGGGAGAATTGCTTGAACCCCGGAGATAGAGGTTGCAGTGAGCTGAGATCGCCCCATTGCACTCCAGCCTGGGCGACAGAGCGAGAGACTCCGACTCAAGAAAGTTTTCTTGGAACACAGGTACTCTCATTCCTGTGTTTTGTGTGTGGCTGGTGTTTTGTTTTGAGAGAGAGAGTCTTAACTTTGTCATCTAGGCTGGAGTGCATTGGTATGATCTCGGGTCACTGCAACCTCTGCCTCCCAGGTTCAAGCGATTCTCCTGCCTCAGCCTCCCGAGTAGCTGGGATTACAAGTGTGCGCCACCATGCCCAGCTACTTTTTGTAATTTTAGTAGAGATGGGGTCCCGCTGTGTTGCCCAGGCTGGTTTCAAACTCCTGGGCTCAAGTGATCTGCCCACCTTAGCCTCCCAAAGTGCTAGGATTACAGGTGTGAGCCACAACACCTGACCTGTGGCTGTTTTCTTACTGTAGCGATAGACGAGGAGTTGCTGCATTGCATAGAGATGCTATATTGCACGCAAAGGCTTTACTGACTTCACAAAAAAGTATTTGTCCCAGGTGTAGTGTACTAGATCCCTTCCAATCTGTAATTTTAATTTAAAAATGTCCAAATACCCCTGTTTTGAAGGATAAACTCTGTATGCTTGTGCTTATTTTGGAGAAGCCATAAACTTACTTTGTTTTGTACATGATCAGATGTGGGCGCTATCTCCAACTGTCTTTGCACTTCTGAGTAAGAATCTGATGATTGTGCACAGTGACCTGGCTGTTCACTTCCCTGCCATTCAGTATGCTGTGCTCTACACATTGTATCCTCATTGTACCAGGTACTGTATTCACAAATTTTTCTTAAGAAAAGAACCCCACAAAACATTTTATTTTTTTAATGGATAGATTTTGAAGATGTATGTTGATTTAACTTTGGACTTGCTTGCTTTCTTTGATTAAAGATGAAAAGATAATCTATGCTTTGTCTTTCAGGCATGATCACTTTATCTTTAGTAGCCTCAGTTCTTCCTCTCCTTCTTTGTTTGATGGAGCTGTGATTGGCACTGTAACTATGGCCACAAAGAAACATTTCTCAATTATATTAAATCTTCTGGGAATGTTACTTAAGAAAGATAACCAGGACACGAGGTAACAGATATTATATAGTATTAACCATTCCTAACTTTGTTAATTTGCCTTTATAATTTGAGAAGAAGAAATGTGGATTACAAAAAATTTAAAAAAATGTGGATTATAGAGGTGAGGTAGAGCAGCTTCTTTATTGTCAAACACCTTATAATTTGGTTTTATTATTTAATCTAGGCTTTCTTATTCTTTCTGAAAAGAAATACATGAAAAACCTCAATCCCCCACGCCCAGTGTTTCATAGAAGAATATATATAGATTTTTAATATTCTTTGCTTTTTTTTTTTTTAAGATGGAGTTTTGCTCACTGTAACCTCTGCCTCCCAGGTTCAAGCAATTCTCCTGCCTCAGCCTCCCAAGTAGCCGCGATTACAGGTGCCTGCCACCACACCTGGCTAATTTTTGTATTTTTTTTTTGTATATATGTTAAGGTTTAATACCCAAAGTATATAAAAAACTTCTACAATTCAACAACAAAAAGACAAAACATTTTAAAACAAAATGGTTGTAAACAAACAACAAAAAGACAACCATTTTTGTCCATCTTACAATGGACAAAAGGCTTGAATAAACATTTCTCCAAAGAAGATAAACAAATGGCCAATAAGCACTTGAAAAGATGTCAACATCATTAGTCAATGGAGACATACAAATTAAAACTCCAAGCTATCACTTCACACTTACTATGATGACTATTATTAAAAAATGGAAAATAACAAGTGTTGTTGAGGATATGGGGAAATTGAAATCTTTATAAGTTAGCAATAGGAATGTGAAATGGTGCAGCTGATGTGGAAAACAGTTTGGCAGTTCCTCAATAATTTTTGTATTTTTAGTAGAGATGGTGTTTCACCATGTTGTTGGCCAGGCTGGTCTTGAACTCCTGACCTCAGGTAAGCCACCACGCCCGGCCTCTTTGCTATTATCATGCTGCGTTGGGAGGTTTTCTTAAAAGGCACACAACAATTTTGACAGTAATTTCTATAGTTTCATTTTTTATTTTTATTTTTTATTGTTTGAGATGTTTGAAAAACCAAGAGAAAACCAATGTAAGAAGACTAGGCTTTTAACTTTTTTTTGTTTTTGTTGTTGTTTTTTTTTTAATGTACAGTCAACTGTATATTTTGTGTTTCAGGAAACTGTTAATGACTTGGGCTTTGGAAGTAGCTGTTGTAATGAAGAAGTCCGAAACATATGCACCTTTATTCTGTCTTCCGTCTTTCCATAAATTTTGCAAAGGCCTTTTAGCCGACAGTAAGACTCTGGTTTTTTTTTTCTATTTTGTTTATCAGTCCTTAAAAGGGTCTTTGGTAATGGGAGATGGTCATGAATCGAGCTCTTTTCCTGACCTGAAGATGTGTAATCCTCATTTTAATGACAGATACACAGTCTTGATTTTTTTTCATTCTTAGTATTAGAAAAATGTTTTGAAGTGATTGTCACATTTTTAAGCTAACGTGAATGTTTATAGTTTACATATACTTTTACATTTTCTCTCAGAAAAAGTTTTGTGTGATGACCCATCAGTTACATTACGTGGGTTTTGTTGAATGTGTCATTTTTCCAAATGTGACAGTCAATGAGGATTCTGGACAAGAACAGTGCCTAGTCTATAGTAGGCACTCACTCTTTGTTGAATGAATGAATGGATTCAGATAATTATGACAAACTGGGATATAATTTCTTTTGGCCAGCTGAAAGTAACTGTCTTTTAATGTTTAATAGCTCTCGTTGAAGATGTGAATATCTGTCTGCAGGCATGCAGCAGTCTACATGCTCTATCCTCTTCCTTGCCAGATGATCTTTTACAGAGGTATGAAATTAAGATCGTGTCTTTTGACATTAACCCTAATAACCTGGAACTGTTAACACACCTGCTTTGTCTATTTCGTTCTTTCATAGATGTGTTGATGTTTGCCGTGTCCAACTAGTGCACCGTGGAACTTGTATTCGACAAGCATTTGGAAAACTGTTGAAATCAATTCCTTTAGGTGTTTTCCTAAGGTATAACAGTTGTTTTGAAGCAAAGACATTCTGTGATATTTACAGCCTCTACTGGTTGTCTACTTTAGGAGAAGACAGATCACCTATTAGAGCATTAATGACACATCTTTTATGGCCCTGCTTGTCAGTGATTGAAGTGATGTCAAATAACCAAATTTTGCAGGTCTGCAAGAAAATTAAAAATTTTTAATGAGCTTTATAGGCTCACAATAATTAGTATAGAATAACTCATGTAGTGCCAAAATATGTTTCTTAGTAGCTCAGATATTTGAAAAACTAAACAGTAATCTTTTATTGTTTTTGATCAAGTTGATTTGGGAGCTTTTAAGAGCCTAAACTTGATCCTTTTGTAATAGATAAGCATAATGATTGGGTTTTTATGTTCACATGTTTGATATGCCTCCCTCAAATCCTCTTATGATGTCGGCACATGACCCATCTGAGGTGAATAAAAAAAGGATCTAAAGTTGTAATCACATCTCTGTATCCATTTGAAAGTCTCAATTTTACTATATTTTTACCTCCAGTGAGTTAATAAGTAAATAATCCACTTACAGTATGTGCTAACCTTTTAAGCTAAAATATTTTGCATAACAACAACTTTATTTTCTGTCTACAGCGATAACAATCACACAGAAATTCAAGAAATTTCTTTAGCATTAAGAAGTCACATGAGTAAAGCACCAAGTAATACATTCCACCCCCAAGATTTCTCTGATGTTATTAGTTTTATTTTGTATGGGAACTCTCATAGAACAGGGTAAGACATTTCTTTGACTATTTTATCTGGGAAAGAAAATTTTAAGATTCCCTTGACTTTACATGCAGTTTTGAAGAGAAAATATGTTTGGGGGTGGCAGAGTATCAAGTAACATTCTTCTCATATGGGTTATTTCAGTTTTCATCAATAGGAAAATTGCTTTGAAGATAGCATCTGTAGAAACAAAAATGGGCTTTGAAATTGAGTAATGAAATGTGGTTAACAGTTAACTGATGTGATGTCATTAACACTTTGGGGAGTGGGGTGGGGGTGGAGATATTCTAGAGATGCTTAGTTGCATTGAATGAGTTTCATTCCTGACTGGCATGAGCCGTTTACCCTAATCATCCTTCCACACTGTACCTCATCCTGTTAACTATACAAGACCTCAAAATGAGAGGGGGGGACATAATGCTTCTCAATTTCATAGGTTTTGCCTTTTTTTGGAGTAGGGAAAATTACAGTTCCTTATTCCCATTCCCCTTGCATTTTTTTTTCATTATTAAAATGAAGTTGTCATTGTCTTTTAAATATGAAACTACTTTTCCCAGGAAGGACAATTGGTTGGAAAGACTGTTCTATAGCTGCCAGAGACTGGATAAGCGTGACCAGTCAACAATTCCACGCAATCTCCTGAAGACAGATGCTATCCTTTGGCAGTGGGCCATATGGGAAGCTGCACAATTCACTGTTCTTTCTAAGCTGAGAACCCCACTGGGCAGAGCTCAAGACACCTTCCAGACAATTGAAGGTAACTCGCTCAAGCTTTATGATGTGAATACTTTCAAAGCCTTATTGAGAAATAATGGATTTTTAAATCTTTGTTAAAGATTTGAGGGTATATGATTTTTTTTGAAAAAAGTCAATAATTTTCAGGTTTGTTTGTTAGAATAAGCTTTCATTGAATAATTGCATTGGAAATATGTTTGTTTTTTTTCCAAAACTTATGGGAGTTGTGTGGAAAAAATATATATTTTTTTCCCCTAAAATGAAAGATCTTTCATGTTGGGATTTTTTATTTTTAAATGATGGGTAGACAGAGGATACTTGATAAATGTGAATTGGTCATAAAAAACTCACACTTATTCTAGGAACTTTTAAGATTTTTAAAAATTCAGAATGTTGTCTTTGCTTTCAGGTATCATTCGAAGTCTCGCAGGTCACACATTAAACCCTGATCAGGATGTTAGTCAGTGGACAACTGCAGACAGTGATGAAGGCCATGGTAACAACCAACTTAGACTTGTTCTTCTTCTGCAGTATCTGGAAAATCTGGAGAAATTAATGTATAATGCATACGAGGGATGTGCTAATGCCTTAACTTCACCTCCCAAGGTTGGTTTCCGGGAGATAGTGTTGTTTTATAGCAGTTTAATGGTCACAGCTGGCAGTATGTGCAGAGCTGAAATCACAATAGACTTGTGTATTTGGTTTATATATAGGTGAGACATCCTTACCTACAAATTGAACCAGTCCTGAGCTTTTCTTTCTCTTATCGTAAAGGTCATTAGAACTTTTTTGTATACCAATCGCCAAACTTGTCAGGACTGGCTAACGCGGATTCGACTCTCCATCATGAGGGTAGGATTGTTGGCAGGCCAGCCTGCAGTGACAGTGAGACATGGCTTTGACTTGCTTACAGAGATGAAAACAACCAGCCTATCTCAGGTAAAGTGGTGTGTTTGAAATTCATTTTAAGTCTGTTAATAAGAAAAACATGGTTTAATTCCTTTGGTATGATTTAATCTATGGATAAAATAAGTTAAAGCTTGGATTCATTTTCAAAGGTTTTGATCCTGTATTTTGTAAAAGCAACAACTGCCAGAGTTACCTATTTTATTCGTGTTAAAACAGTGTTAGAAGTCAAAATAATGTTCATGTTTTTGTTCATGTTAAAACAATATTCATGTTAGAACACGTTAAAACTCTATTTCTTCCGTGCAAAGTTTAGAACTTTAAAGGTAATTCTGAAAATTTGTTTATGGGGGAAAATTTTTATTTATTTATTTATTTTTTTGAGACACAGTTTCACTCTGTCGCCCAGGCTGGAGTGCAGTTGTGCGATCTCGGCTCACTGTAAGCTCCGCCTCTCGGGTTCAAGCCTCTTCTTGCCTCAGTCCCTGGGATTACAGGCACCCACCACCATACCCGGCTAAGTTTTGTATTTTTAGTAGAGACAGGGTTTCACCATGTTGGCCAGGCTGGTCTCGAACTCCTGACCACAAGTGATCCGCCCACCTCGGCCTTCCAAAGTGCTGGGATTACAGGCATGAGCCACTGCACCTGGCCAGGAGAAATTGTTTTTATAACGTATGACAAATGCTTGAGTAATTCCTGGCTTGAAAGTGGGCTCACAATAAATAACTGGAATCCAAAAATAACAAAATGTTTAGCAATTCAGGTAATGTCAAGCAGTATTCAAACACATGAAGTTAATCATTCCTTAATTCCTGTTTATTTATATTTCATTTTTGCTTTCTTTTTACTCCATGTGTTATTCCTACAGAGGTCACAGGTTAAATGTTTTTGGGTAACTTTGGGGTGGGGGTACAAACATCCATGTGCTGCTAAGGTTCTGTTAGTCACCCTTTGTGGCTATTTTATATGTAACATTTTAAAGAATTCTGAGCTAAATAATGTGAAAATTGTGACAATAATTGTTAAATACATTTGGCTTTAAGCAGGCACAGACTGATCAGTTGTAAATTTTATAGGGATTTATGTTTTAATGGTATTGGGTGACTAACTTTTCTGAATGCGTTTTCAGGGGAATGAATTGGAAGTAAGCATTATGATGGTGGTAGAAGCACTATGTGAACTTCATTGTCCTGAAGCTATACAGGGAATTGCTGTCTGGTCATCATCTATTGTTGGAAAACATCTTCTGTGGATTAACTCAGTGGCTCAACAGGCTGAAGGGAGGTAGGTTGGAGGGAAGGAAATGGGTGATAGAATTACTTTATGTTTAAGTTCTTTGTATTACTCACTGACATTGTAGCCAAATCTTAAAACAGCTTTGTTTGCTTTCAGCATTGAAGCTTGCTATAAATCCCTTCACCAGGAGGCATCTTCAGTTTGTTCTTCAGTTAGCAGCAATACTGGAGTGCCTTTCTTATTTAAGAATTAGTGGCAAATCACACTGTAAAACAAGACCTGTCAGTTGTTTTATAAATGCTTTTGAACTTGATCCCTAGTTGAGCTCCTTCCCCCTCAGAGTCTGATACAAATTACCCTTTATTGTCAGAGTATTTGCTCGTTAGTCCTGTGAACTCTACATTCAGACTCATTGCTTCCTCCGGGTAGAGGAGCTTGTACCATAATATTCTGTGTCCATTTATGTTAGTTTAATGAAATCTTGCGAACTTAGGAAAATAAAAGAACTGCTCATACTTCCATATCTTTGTAGTAACTTCTGTTGTGTGTCCTTTTGTAGTCCCATATTTCCATATCCATACGCTTTGTAATTCTTTTTTCTTTCATGTCGTTTTCTCCATTCTTCACCAAAACATCAGCGTACATAGGCACATGGTTTTATGATCTGTTTTTCCCACTCAATATTTAAAAAAACAAAATTTGCCATGTTAGGTAGGCTGGGTTCGGTGGCTTACATCTGTATTCCCAGCACTTTGGGAGGCCGAGGCAGGCGGATCACCTGAGGTCAGGAGTTCAAGACCAGCCTGGCCAACATGGTGAAACCCCGTCTCTACTAAAAATACAAGAAAATTAGCCGGGCATGGTGGCGAGTGCCTGTAATCCCAGCTACTCAGGAGGCTGAGGCAGGAGAATCGCTTGTACACGGGAGGCAGAGGTTGCACTGAGCTGAGACAGTGCCATTGCACTCCAGCCTGGGCAAGAAGAGCAAAACTTCATCTCAAAAAAAAAAAGTAAGTAGTTAGATAAATAAAGAAATAAGACTGCTTCAATTTGCTTTTCAGGTTTGAAAAGGCCTCTGTGGAGTACCAGGAACACCTGTGTGCCATGACAGGTGTTGATTGCTGCATCTCCAGCTTTGACAAATCGGTGCTCACCTTAGCCAGTGCTGGGTGTAAGAGTGCCAGCCTGAAACATTGTCTGAATGGTGAGCGTTCAGCATTTTTAAATAAAGCAAAAGTTATAGTAATATATTTCGTACTGATGATCTTATCATGTTTTTAGGTTTCTGTGCTCTTTGAAATATTTCTAATTGATCTGAATCTCTCTCTTCTTATTTTATAAAATACTTTCAGGTGAATCCAGAAAAAGTGTGCTGTCCAAACCGACTGACTCTTCCCCTGAGGTTATAAATTATTTAGGAAACAAAGCATGTGAGTGCTACATCTCAACTGCCGATTGGGCTGCTGTGCAGGAATGGCAGAACGCTATCCATGACTTGAAAAAGAGTACCAGTAGCACTTCCCTCAACCTGAAAGCTGACTTCAACTATATAAAGTAAGGCTTTCTGTTTCCAGTTATAAAACAAATTTCCAATAACTATGATGTTTTTCCTATGGCAAAAAAAATATTAAAATTGGTCATATGCAGTAATACTCAAAATGGTTATATTTCTAACTTACTGCCATTATGAAAATGACAACAGGAAACTGACATCAGAGATGAGGGAAGGTATTTGTATAATGGGAAAACACTGCTGAGATAGTCATTTGGTATTAATTTTCAGAACCTGTCGTTCTAAAACCTTAATACAGTTTGAAGATTATGCCAGAGTGAATATAAAGAAAAATTTGTACTGCTTTAGAAAGAATCACATTTGATGGCTTTGTTTCGAAATGAGGTCTGAATATATCAAAAACATTTATTCTAATGAGGACAGAGTTTGTGAACATCTGTAAATTAAACTTTCTTCTCATTCCTCTGTGCTTTTATTAATTCTGTAATTCAAAACTGAGCACTCACTCTGTTGCAGACACTTGGCTGGGAAGATAAAGGTCATTAGACTTTGTCTGATACCCTTGCCTTCTACTGCTAAATGGGTTAATGTGTAATTGCTTCACTGAGCATGTGCTGTGACCCAGGCAGCACATAAAACAGACACAAATTCCAACCTTTTAAAGCAAAGATTAGATAAAGATTATTGATAGAAGGACTAATTGGACCTCACTCACCTTTTCTGTGCCATAAGGAAAGCAGTTAGGTAAAGCTGACCTTCTTTGGAGGGAAGACACAAGGTCAAGACATGCCCATCAGGATGCCCTTTGGGCCTAGACCTGATGTGAGAATGATGGGCTTGGAGTGTTCTGGAAATAGCTGGGAGGCCTGTGTGTTTAGGAGCGCCTTAAACAGTAGGATATAAGGGCAGAGAAGTAGCTGGGAACTGAGAAAAGAACTTTGGCTGTTATTCTAGTAAGACTGAAAATTTCAGGTGGGATTTGAACAGAGTTGTGTTGTGATCTGACTTGGTTCATTCTGCTGTGGTGAAGAGACTGGAGGTGCGGGGCAAGTATGGAAGCATGGAGACCATTAATTTATGGGGGCAATGGTAGAGGGAAGAGAAACAATGCTATTAACTGGAGTAGGAGCACACAGAGAACAAGCCATGTTTTAAGATTTCTAATGAAATGTGCAGATGAGATTGTTGGGTAAGCTGTTAAGAATTGGATTTTGAACTAAGGAGACAGTCTAAGCTTGAGAGATTTGCAGATGATTAGTACACAGAAAAGGCCCTCTTTCCTTTTCAGTCTCTATACTCTAGAGCCTTTGTAAGCAACCAAACCAGAGAGAAGCCTCTGGAGAATAGTGAGTGAAGAGGAAGGAAGGCCTGGGTCAGAATCCTAGTTTAGCATTTTTGTGAAAGGATAGAAGAGGAAGCCATTCAAAAAAATACAGGGACATTGAGAAGGGAAGTGCCCTAGATATAGGACATCCAGATGGGAGTAGTCAGCCTTGTCAGATGCTCTAGGGATTATAAGGAAAAAGAGTTTTGTAGAGAGACAGAAGAAGCTAGATTGAATAGTATTGAGTGGTAGAGACATTTGAAAATGAAAAGCTTGAGGTAAGTTATTTGGTCAGTGAGTTTTTCTTGAAGTCGAGGATAGGAAGCTGTTGCTGGAGGGAAATATGAGATGTTTATTTTAAATGTTGGAGAGATTATGTTCTTTTGGCCAAGGGGAAGGAGCCACTAGAAAGCAGAGGTTGAAGAAACAGGAGAAAGAACATTGATAGATTAACTGGCCCTCACCTTTTCTCTGCCTCAAGGAAAGCAGTCAAAGTTGGTATAGACAGAATTTCGGCAGTGTATGGTGGATTGGGGGTAGGGGTAGAGGAAATTAAAGCCTGTGTTTTTTTGTTTATTTGTTTGTTTTTTCTGAGGACTGAGTCATTAGCTGAAAGCATAGGGCATTATAGAGCATAGTGGGGACTTGGGGAACCTGCCACTGGAGAGGACTTAGGACCTTTTAATGGCAGAAATGATGACTGTGTTGGCAGCAGTTCATCAGTGCCCAGTACTCAAGGGTCCCCCTGAGAAGCCAGTGGTTGCACTGATCTAGGTAGAATCAGGCACAGAATAAGTCAGGTGATGTGCCTTTCTAGCACTGGCCTCAGGCTGAGTTATAAGGGAAGTTACACAGCGAGAGGGACAGGCAAAGATGGAAAAGAGAGAGAGTGAGAAACAGTGTCTTCTTCCTGGCTGGAGAGCCCGTGTCATGAAAATGGGGACAGGGTAAGGGATCTGAAAGGAGCAGCATAGAAGCTGGGAGGATGAGGCCTGTCTTCCTGGCATTGATGCTGCAGAACTACAGGAAAGAATTTCAGAGGTGTCATTATTTTTCATATAAGCAGATGAAAGAGAAGAATTCTTTGAAAAAAGAAAAGTAGGTGAAAAAGGGAGAGACGGAGGGATGCCAGCAGTGAAAGAAGCCAGGACTGAGATACAAGATTGTGATGCTGGGAGAGCTGTGCAAGGGCTCATGCTGTAGGTGAGGAGTGAGGCTGCACAGGGAGCTCACTGGCAGCTTGGAGAGAACTGGGTGTCAAAGTTGTCCTGCAGAGGTCTACTGTCAGTGTGTCAGGCTCTGAAGAGAACAGGCTGCAACACATGAAAACAGGAAGGAGACACAGGGGCGAGTCAGCTCCACTGAAAGTCTGTAGCTGTGACTTTCTGGTTTGCCACTCCAATTTGAGTACTAATTAAGTGGTAGTCACATCTTCAACATAAAAACCAAAATAATGGCATCCTCGTGGAAGGAATTTTGTCAGAAAAGTGCTGTGTACTTTGCTGTCTTCCTAGGATTTGTTCTGTTTTTGTTTGTTTGTTTTTTTTAATGGTTCCACAGGCTGCATAGGAATACAAGCTAACCAATATTTTAATTACAGATCATTAAGCAGCTTTGAGTCTGGAAAATTTGTCGAATGTACCGAGCAATTAGAATTGTTACCAGGAGAAAATATCAATCTACTTGCTGGAGGATCAAAAGAAAAAATAGGTAGGTATTTGAGAAAATAGTTTTAAAGTTATTTTAGTGGACAAGTTGCTCAAAATGTTTGGCTTAGTATATTTTACTGGAAAATCTGGAAGTTATTTTACATTTTTGTGGGGGCAGAATCCCATGTGAAGCAACAAATTTAGGGCTGCCCTATTTATGTTTGATTTGGGAAATGAAAAGCACTTAAAATTAAGTCAAATAAAAAAAATGACCACCTTAATACTTTGAGATTTATCTAGCCATTTTGTTTGATAAAGGACAAAGTAGTGTTTCAGCTAAATATTTTTCTTGATTTTCATCTTGATGTGGCTCGTTAATTAAGTTCTTTATCACAAATGGAACACTTGATAAGATGTTATTAAAAAGTTTAATGAGTATTCTGGATTGAGCAAGATTTGCTAATGCAGGTCTAGATTTGTCCCCTTAAATAGTAGATTGACTTACCGATTTTCTTTTTTGTTGAGACAGAGTCTCACTCTGTTGCCCAGGCTGGAGTGCAGTGGCGCGATTTCGGCTCACTGCAACCTCCGCCGCCCTCTGAGTTCAAGCGATTCTCCTGCCTCAGCCTCCTGAGTAGCTGGGATTACAGGTGTCTGCCACCGTGCCCAGCTAATTTTTTGTATTTTTAGTAGAGACGGGGTTTCATCATCGTGGCCAGGCTGGTCTTGAACTCCTGACTTCGTGATCCACCCACCTTGGCCTCCCAAAGTGCCGGGATTACAGGCGTGAGCCACCACGCCTGACCTCGACTTACTGATTTTTGAGCCTTTGAAGGCAACTGCTTTTTAGGGGTCTGAGGTACAGTAATTTTGTATGAAGTATGATTTTTATATAGCTCTCAGTAATGCTTATAGTGTTTAACTGCCTGAAATATTAAAGGAGCTGTTCATTGGTGATTAGTTTTTAATAATGCCAAACATAAATCAAAATTTATAATAAAAGCACATTAACTTAATGACATTTCATTTAACTTCTGTAGACATGAAAAAACTGCTTCGTAACATGTGAAGTCCAGATCCAAGGGAACCTCAGAAATCCATTGAAGTTCCATTGTTAAGAAGTTCTGTTTGTTTGGCAACTGCTTTAAACCCGATAGAACAAGATCAGAAGTGGCAGTCTATAACTGAGTAAGTTTACTCTTACGGAGGTAAATGTACATTGTGTATATCATGTGATAAACATACATGGGGTGAAGAGGGCTGGAAGGAGAGTTACTAGATTACTAAATACTAGTGCTAATAGCTTCATTTTAGTTGTAGAAGTCATATGATATATGAATGCTGCTTGCCAACAAAAACTGAGGTTGAAATGAAATAAAATGTAAAAATCCCCAAAAGCAAATGTCTTGACTTGCTGATACCATTTTATTATAGAGCAGGCTGCTCCTCTTACTGCCCCCTAACTTTGGATGTCAATTTGATAGCATCTTATCAATTGCTTTATTCTTTGAGTGGTTATGAATTGTAATTTTTATTAATTGACAGTAAATATTTTGTTTCAGAAATGTGGTAAAGTACTTGAAGCAAACATCCCGCATCGCTATTGGACCTCTGAGACTTTCTACTTTAACAGTTTCACAGTCTTTGCCAGTTCTAAGTACCTTGCAGCTGTATTGCTCGTCTGCTTTGGAGACCACAGTTTCTAACAGACTTTCAACAGAGGTCTGTATATTTTTACAAGCACACTCTTATGACTATTAATGGTCATTACTGTAGAACAAAGACCTTATTTTTTGAGTTTTTTGGAATAGGATTTGTAGTTGGGCAAGCTGGTAAATCCAGAAATCTAACATGCTGTTTTCAGGCAGTCTTTCATTTGGGAAGTACATGGGGCAGATGGAAGAACCTGAGATAATCGCAAGGATGGCAAATTGCTCAGTTTTTTCTTCTATTTTTGGGGTGGGAGGTGGTGTATGTAAAGACAGTTCCTTTAGGCAGATCACGTAAATTTTAGATTTGCTGCAAACAAAGATCTCTCCTCTTCATCCTAAATGGGGTAAAGTTCGACCAGAGATGGGGGCTTCTGAATGAATGGTGATCTTCGAGAACTTCATAATAAAGCATTAGTTGTAATGTTTTTCTGCAGTCTGCTTTATAGTAAATGTGCTGTGACTTTTTTTTTTGTAATGTGCTTTATTAAGTATATTGATAAATTAGACTTAATATTCTGAAGAAGATTTCCCTTCAAAACAAAAGGCTTTCTCTTACTGTGTGCTTGCCTCTTGTGAGTAGAAGATAAATGATGTAAGGGTATAGTGTAATAGATAAAACTACTGCAATCAATCTGAAGTAGCCAAACTATATTGCAGTCTTGGACTTAAGACTTGCTATATATCTGCAAACATATCAACAGCCTGTTTTACGTTGAGTAATTTTGGTTTTTCTCTGGCAGGACTGTCTTATTCCACTCTTCGGCGAAGCTTTACGTTCATGTAAACAGCATGACGTGAGGCCGTGGATGCAGGCATTAAGGTATACTGTGTACCAGAATCAGTTGTTGGAGAAAATTAAAGTTAAGTGGTTTTCCTTTTTTTTTTTTTGTAAGAGAAAATTAAAGGTGGTTTTTTTTTTTAAATTTTGCTTTATTGAGGTTTATATTACACATTCTAAGTGTATGGTTTGATGAGTTCTAACATGTCTTCACTTGTGTGACCACCAATACGATCGAGATAGAGAACAGCGTCTTACCCCAGAAGGTTCCCTTGGGATCATCTCCTCATTTGCCCCTGTCAGCAGTTACTGATTTGCTTTCTGTCACTATGGATTAGACTTGTCTTTACTAAAGTTTCATGTACGTGAAATCATAACAACATGTTCTCTTGTGTTTGGCTTCTCTTGCTCAGCATGATATTTTTACGGTTCACCCATATTGCATGTATCAGGAATATAATCCTTTTTATTATTGAGTAGTGTTCTATTGTATGTATATACCACAGTTTATTTCTCCCTTCATCCTTTGCTAGATTTTGGGGTTTTTTCACATTGCGCTATTCAGTATAAACCTGCTCTCAACATTCATGTGCAAGTCTTTGAGTGGACATATATTTGCGTTTCTCTTGAGTGAATGCACCTTGTTGGGTCACGTGGCTTAACTTAAAAAAATTTTAATCACTGTGGTGCATATGTAGTGATTATTAGTGATTATCTCATAATTTTATTTTCTTGTTTAATGATGTTGAGTGTATTTCATTTGTATTTTAGTTTGCAAATGTTTGTTCAAATTCTTCACCTGTTTTTAATGAAGACGTACGACTTATTTTTGTGTTCTGAACATAAGTTCTTTGTCACATAAAATGTGCTATGAATGTTGAGTTTTAAATACTCCAAATGAATGGCTAGAGAATTACTATTTGTAGAAATATTTATATGTCAAAGGGATGCTAACAATTTACTTTATTGCTCTAAAATAGAAAAGTTGCCAGAATGCTGTGGAGTTTTAGTGGAAAACATGATAGCTGGTGTTACTGAGTAAATTTGAGTGTTAAATGTCAATGTAAGCTAACGGCCAAGATAGGGACCACTGCAGGGTGGTTACTTGCAGCTGTGACTCAACTGGTCCTTCACTGCCAAACATACCTGGGGTTGGATCATTGGCCTGACGTTTGCAAATTGAGGAACCTTAGGGCAAATCAGTGAACTTCTGAACTGCCTTCGTCTTCAGTTATATGGGGATTTCCCCACTTTTGAGATCCTTGTAAGGATTATATGAGATGAAGAGATGAGACAAGGTATATAAAAGTCCTAGCACAGAGCGTGTCATATAATATGGCTTCACAAGTACCCTCATCTCCTTTCCAGTCGTTTTTTGTTTTTGTTTTTGTTTTTTTGAGACCATCTCACTCTGTTGCCCAGGCTGGAGTGCCTCTTCATTTTTATTTCTTTATTCAGCAAGTATTGATCAAATGTGCTTTGTACCAGGTACTGAGCTCTTCGTTGGGATATAATGGTGATCAAGGAGATTGTAGATTCTGGCAGGGAAAACTGACATCAAACACGGCGACCCGACATAGTGAGACCCTGTCTCTACTAGAAGAACTTTAAAAATCACCTAGGTGTGGGCCGGGCACGGTGGCTAACGCCTGTAATCCCAGCACTTTGAGATGCTGAGGCAGGTGGATCACGAGGTCAGGAGATCGAGACCATCCTGGATAACACGGAGAAACCCCGTCTCTACTAAAAATACAAAAAAATTAGCCGGGCGTGGGGGCGGGCATCTGTAGTCCCAATTACTCGGGAGGCTGCAGCAGGAGAATGGCATGAACCCGGGAGGCGGATCTTGCATTGAGCCAAGATCACGCCACTGCACTCCAGCCTGGGCGACAGAATGAGACTCCATCTCAAAAAAAAAGAAGAAACCAAGGATATAGAATAAAACAAGAGTGTAGATTTGGGCATTGAGGCCTTCAAATTGGATTGTTCTCAATGTCCAGAAGAAAAAAAAAATTTAGAAGAGACCCAAATCAGAAAACAAAAGTTGGGCTGAATTCAATGCGAATTATTTTCTAGCTCAATATTAATACTGCTTATGTCAGCTGAATTTCAGCCTTTCAATAACAGCTAGTCAAGTATTTTTTTAGTTGGTTCCTATTGATCGTCATCTTATTTTAGTGGAATCCATTATATTGAAGATGTCAAGTTCCTCATTTCCCATACAAAGAATGTGAGATTCATCTTTCTTGAATCTTTGCTAAGTGTTGAAGGGGACTTTTGGCATCTTTTCAGGAGGACTATAATTGGGCCCTCTAACTAAAAAGTCTCCTATGCCCCTTAGATAGATGAGATTTTTTTTTTTGACCTTGTACCCACCAACATTGGTGGGAGGCTCAGAAGGGACTGTGTTTGTAACTTTGTAGCACTTTCTAAACAGTGACCTGTTGTATGGGCATTATAGGACAGTCCGTGGGGTGGGGCGGGGGATGGGGGAGATGGACAAATGAGGTCTGGTTTAAAGAATGAGAAGTGTGACCAGGCATGGTGACTCATGCCTGTAATCCAGCACTTTGGGATGCTGAGGCAGGAGGATCACTTGAGCCCAGGAGTTTGAGGTTACAGTAAGCTATGATTGTGCCACTGGGCTCCAGCCTGGGTGACAGAACTAGACCCTGTCTCTAAAAAAAGAAGAAGAGGTGTGTATCCTTCTAAATGATAAAACAGATCACTCCCCTGCTTACATAAAACTTTCCGGTGGCTGGCCAGGCACGGTGGCTCACGCCTGTAATCCCAGCACTTTGGGAGGCCGTGGTGGGCAGATCACGAGGTCAGGAAATCGAGACCATCCTGGCTAACGTGGTGAAATCTTGTCTCTACTAAAAACACAAAAAATTAACCCAGGTATGGTGGCATGCACCTGTAGTCCCAGCTACTCGGGAGGCTGAGGCAGGAGAATCGCTTGAACCAGGGAGGTGGAGGTTGCAGTGAGCTGAGATTGCGCCACTGCACTCCAGCCTGGGTGACAGAGACTCTGTCTCAAAAAAAAAAAAAAAAAGAAAAAGAAAAATTAGATGGGTGTGGTGGCATGTGCCTGTAATCCCAGCTACTGGGGAGCCTGAGGCAGGAGAATCGCTTGAACCTGGGAGGCAGAGGTTACAGTGAGCCAAGATTGCACCACTGCAGTCTGCCTGGGTGACAGAGCTAGACTCTGTCTCAAAAACAGAAAAACAAAAAAACAACTTTCCAGTGGCTTCTCACTGCTCTGAGAATAAACTCCAGGCTCTTCCATTGCAACCAACAGGATCTGGTGATTCGACCCCAGCCCCTCTTTCCAGGCCCTCATCACCTTGATCCTCCCTTAACCTATCCTGCTCCAGCTGCACTGGCTGCCTTCCTATTCCTCCAGCATACCAAGATTGTTTCTGCCACAGGGCCTTTGCATCTGCTGTTCTCTTCGCCTGGACACCTCTTGGTTCTTTTTTTTTTTGTTCTTTGAGATGGAGTCTCACTCTGTCGCCCAGGCTGAAGTGCAGTGGCGCGATCTCGGCTCACTGCAAGCTCCGTCTCCCAGGTTCATGCCATTCTCCTGCCTCAGCCTTCCGAGTAGCTGGGACTACAGGCATCCGCCACCACGCCCGGCTAATTTTTTTGTATTTTTAGTAGAGACGGTTTCACCGTCTTAGCCAGGATGGTCTCGATCTCCTGACCTCGTGATCCGCCCGCCTGGGCCTCCCAAAGTGCTGGGATTACAGGTGTGAGCCACCGTACCCGGCCATAGAGCAGCCTCTTCCTTTTCCTGTTGGGTCTCTGCTCAAATGTCATGTCAGAGAGGCAGACCTCTGGGGCGGTCTATCTGAGGGAATGCACCCATCTCCCTTCCTCTGACCAGTTAGTTACCTTGCTTATTCTTTCAAAGCTCTTACCACCACCTGAAGTCATCTATCTGGTTTGGTTATTTTATTGTTTAGTAGCAGTCTTTATTTTATTATCATTATTATTTTTTGATGGAGTCTCACTCTGTTGCCCAGGCTGGAGTGCAGTAGCATGATCTCGGCTCACCAGAACCTCTGCCTCCCAGGTTCAAGCGATTCTCCTGCCTTAGCTTCCTGAGTAGCTGGGACTACAGGCACGTGCCACCATGCCCAGCTGATTTTTGTACTTTTAGTAGAAACGGGGTTTCACTATGTTGGCTGGTCTTGAACTCCTGACATCAAGTGATCCGCCCACCTCGGCCTCCCAAAGTACTGGGATTACAGGCATGAGCCACCACGCCAGGCTGGTAGCAGTCTTTCCTAGAATGTGGATGCCTTGGAAAACAGGGGCTCTGCCTTGTTTCCCTAGAACCTAGAATGGCATCTGGCACACAGCAGATGCTACATCTATTGTAAATGAATGAATGAAAGAAGTGTCCTTGCAGCCACACTGGCAGCCGTAACATAGTGGTTATAAATCTAGACTCTGGAGTCTCAAGTGCAAATGTCATTGGCCTCTCCTCCAGCCTCCTCAAGGGGCACTCAATGACTGGAAGTGCCCTGATATGACTGTGGTTGGACTGACATGACTGCCAGATGGTGGGACTTGGTCTGGAGCAGAGACTACTTGGAATGGTAGAGGCAAAACTCAACAGCCCCTGGAGCTGCGCTTGTGGTGGAGCTGGACCCTGATTTTAGCTGGACCTTGTTTTTAGAGACAGGGTTTCCTTCTGCAGTCTCAATCTCCTAGCCTTGATTGATCCTCCTGCCTTGGCCTCCCAAAGTGCTGGGACTACAGGTGCATGCAACCACACCTGGCTAATTTTCTTCTCTTCTTTCTTTTCTTTTTTTTTTTTTTGATGGAGTCTTGTTCTGTTGCCCAGGCTGGAGTGCAATGGTGCCATCTCGGCTCACTGCAACCTCTGCCTCCCGGGTTCAATCCATTCTCCTGCCTCAGCCTCCCAAGTAGCTGGGACTACAGGTGTGTGCCACCGTGCCTGGCTAATTTTTGTATTTTTAGTAGGGATGAGACTTCACCATGTTGGCCAGGCTGGTCTCGACCTCCTGACCTCAGGTGATCCACCCACCTTGGCCTCCCAAAGTGCTGGGACTACAGGCACATGCAACCACGTCTGGCTAATTTTCTTGAGTTTTAGTAGAGACTGGGTCTCGTTATGTTGTCCAGGCTGGTCCCGAGCTCCTGAGTTCAATCGATCTTCCTGCCTTGGTCTCCCAAAGTGCTGGGCCTACAGGCGTGAGCCACCATCCCCAGCCCAATTTTTGTATATTTTGTAGAGACACAGTCTTGCTATGTTGTCCAGGCTGGTCTCAAACTCCTGGGCTCAAGGGATCTTCTTGCCTTGGCCTCCCGGAGCACTTAATTACAGGAATGACTGCATGTGCTGTTGTGCCTATACTTTCTGGAGATACGTTGTTAGGAATTTATGTAGTTGGCCGGGCACGGTGGCTCACGCCTGTAATCCCAGCACTCTGGGATGCCGAGGCAGGTGGATCACCTGAGGTCAGGAGTTCGAGACCAGCCTGGTCAACATGGTGAAACCCTGTCTCTACTAATAATACTAAAATCAGAGGTTGCTTGCAGTGAGCCAAGATCATACCATTGCACTGCAGCCTGGGCAACAGAGCGAGACTCTGTCTCAAAAAAAAAAAAAAAAGGAATTTACATAGTTGAACAACTATTCTTTGGACATCTTTTAGTCCAGTAGACGGTGTTAAACTTGAAGACAAATAACGATTTGACCTGTGATATTTGTTTTTCCCTCTTATCTTCTAAGCCCATTCATCCAGATCATTCATCACCTTTAAAGGCATCCCCAGAGGGAGGCAGGTCTGGACAGAGCTGAAGATTGCACAGGCCATTTGCAGGCTGGATTAGTTCTGTGGTGACCCACCTGTCTGACTCGAGTTATTTTTTTCCCATGTCTGGACAAGACTGACCTCTGCCCAGCAACTCAGGCCTGGATTTAGTCCAAGGGCCCTCAGTGGCTTTTTTGTTTGTTTGTTTTTTCAGGAAGTGAAGAATTTAGAGGGATAAAAGGCGGAAATAACTTTTCAGCCTCTGACCTTTGTAACAATCTAGTTTCCTTTTAAAGGAGCATTGTTTGGGCCTGGGGCCACCTAGACCTTCTGATGCTCTTTCCCCACCCTTGGAGGAGGAGGAAAGGAAGAAAATGGGCCCTGAGCGATCACCACATACCAGGCCCTGGGGGTCTAGTGGCGAAGGAGGCAGGTAGGGTCTCTTGCTTTCATGGAGCTTCTAGTCAAGCGAGACGCACTAAACAGTAAAGGGACAAATAGGATTACTGGAGGTAGCCCTAACTACTGGGACAGAAACAAGATGGTAAGATAGAGAAGGAAGAGTGGCCTGCTCAGATGGGGTGGTCCAGAGGCCTCTCGGGGGAGGTGACTCCTTTTTATTTTATTTTTTTTGAGATGGAATCTAGCTCTGTCGCCCAGCCTGAAGTGCAGTCGTGTGTTTCATGCGCGTCCGTGTGAAGAGACCACCAAACAGGCTTTGTGTGAGCAACATGGCTGTTTATTTCACCTGGGTGCAGGCGGGCTGAGTCCGAAAAGAGAGTCAGCAAAGGGTGGTGGATTATCATTAGTTCTTACAGGTTTTGGGATAGGGGGTGAAGAGCCATGTTTTGCAGGCAGGGGTGGATCTCACAAAGTACATTCTCAAGGGTGGGGAGAATTACAAAGAACCTTCTTAAGGGTTGGGGAGATTACAAAGTACCTTCTTAAGGGTGGGGGAGATTACAAAGTACATTGAAGAGTTAGGGTGGGGCAGAAACAAATCACAATGGTGGAATGTCATCAGTTAAGGCTATTTTTACTTCTTGTGTGGATCTTCAGTTACTTCAGGCCATCTGGATGTATACGTGCAAGTCACAGGGGATGCAATGGCTTGGCTTGGGCTCAGAGGCCTGACAGTGTGATCTTGGCTCACTGCAAACTCTGCCTCCTGGGTTCAAGCAATTTTTGTGCCTCAGCTTCCCGAGTAGCTGGGATTACAGGTGCCCGCCACCATGCCCAGCTAATTTTTGTATTTTTAGTAGAGACATAGAGTTTCACCAGATTGGCCAGGCTGGTCTCGAACTCCTGTCTCACGTGTCTGTGTGAAGAGACCACCAAACATGCTTTGTGTGAGCAACATGGCTGTTTATTTCACCTGGGTGCAGGCGGGCTGAGTCCGAAAAAGGAGTCAACAAAGGGTGGTGTGATTATCACTGGTTCTTATAGATTTGGGGATAGGCGGTGGAGTTAAGAGCAGTGTTTTGGGGGCAGGAGGTGGATCTCATAAAGTACATTGTCAAAGGTGAGGAGAATTACAAAGAAACTTCTTAAGGGTGGGGGAGATGATAAAGAACCTTCTTAAGAGTGGGGCAGATTACAAAGTACATTGATCAGTTAGGGTGGGGCAGAAACAAATGACAATGGTGGAATGTCTTCAGTTAAGGCTGTTTTCACTTCTGTGGATCTTCAGTTGCTTCAGGCCATCTGGATGTATACGTGCAGGTCACTGGGATATGATGGCTTAGCTTGGACTCAGAGGCCTGACATTCCTGTCTTCTTATGTTAATAAGAAAAATAAAACAAAATAGTGGTAAAGTGTTGGGGTGGCGAAAATTTTTGGGGGTGATATGGAGAGATAATGGGCGATGTTTCTCAGGGCTGCTTCGAGTGGGATTAGGGGCGGCATGGGAACCTACAGTGGGAGAGATTCAACTGAAGAAAGATTTTGGGGTAAGGGCTGATACTGTGGGGTTGTTAGAAGGAGCATTTGTCATATAGAATTATTGGTGATGGCCTGAATATGGTTTTGTATGAATTGAGAAACTAAACAGAAGACACACGGTCCGAATAAGAGAAGGAGAAAAACAGGTATTAAAGGACTAAGAATTGGGAGGACCCAGGACATCCAATTAAGAGAGTGCCCAAGGGGGTTCAGCATAATTATTTGCTTGGTTGGCAAGTTTTTGGACTCTATCCTTGAGTTTTTTTATGTTGTCATATACCAGGCCAGATTGATTTAGGTAAAAACAACACTCTTCATTTAAAAATATACAGAGTCGTCCTTTTTCAGCAATGAGTAAATTGAGGCCTTGGCGATTTTGGAGGAAAGAGAATTGCAAAGCCAGCAATTGTTTCTTTTTTTATTTATTTATTTACTTATTTTTTTAAATTATACTTTAAGTTATAGGGTACATGTACACAATGTGCAGGTTTGTTACATATGTATACATGTGCCATGTTGGTGTACTGCACCCATTAACTCGTCATTTACATTAGGTGTATCTCCTACTGCTATCCCTTCCCCCTCCCCCACCACACAAGAGGCCCCAGTGTGTGATGTTCCCCTTCCTGTGTCCAAGTGTTCTCATTGTTCAATTCCCATCTGTGAGTGAGAACATGCGGTGTTTGGTTTTTTGTCCTTGTGATAGTTTGCTGAGAGTGATCGTTTCCAGCTTCATCCATGTCTCTACAAAGGACATGAACTCATCCTTTTTTATGGCTGCATAGTACTCCATGGTGTATCTGTGCCACATTTTCTTAATCCAGTCTATCATTGATGGACATTTGTGTTGGTTCCAAGTCTTCACTATCGTGAATATTGCCGCGATAAACATATGTGTGCATGTGTCTTTATAGCAGCATGATTTATAATCCTTTGGGTATGTATCCAGTAATGGGATGGCTGGGTCAAATGGTATTTCTAGTTCTAGATCCCTGAGGAATCGCCACACTGTCTTCCACAATGGTTGAACCAGTTTACAGTCCCACCAACAGTGTAAAAGTGTTCCTATTTCTCCACATCCTCTCCAGCACCTGTTGTTTCCTGACTTTTTAATGATCGCCATTCTAACTGGTGTGAGATGATATCTCATTGCGGTTTTGATTTGCATTTCTCTGATGGCCAGTGATGATGAGCATTTTTTCATGTGTCTGTTGGCTGCATAAATGTCTTCTTTTGAGAAGTGTCTGTTCATATGCTTTGCCCACTTTTTGATGGGGTTTGTTTTTTTTCTTGTAAATTTGTTGGTGTTCTTTGTAGATTCTGGATATTAGCCTTTTGTCAGATAAGTAGATGGCAAAAATTTTCTCCCATTCTCTAGGTTGCCTGTTCACACTGATCCTAGTTTCTTTTGCTGTGCAGAAGCTCTTTAGTTTAATTAGATCCCATTTGTCAGTTTTGGCTTCTGTTGCCATTGCTTTTGGTGTTTTAGACATGAAGTCCTTGCCCATCCCTATGTCCTGAATGGTATTGCCTAGGTTTTCTTCTAGGGTTTTTACGGCTTTAGGTCTAACATTTAAGTCTTTAATCCATCTTGAATTAATTTTTGTATAAGGTGTAAGGAAGGGATCCAGTTTCAGCTTTCTACATAGGGCTAGCCAGTTTTCCCAGCACTATTTATTAAGTAGGGAATCCTTTCCGCATTTCTTGTTTTTGTCAGGTTTGTCAAAGATCAGATGGTTGTAGATGTGTGGTATTATTTCTGAGGGCTCTGTTCTGTTCCATTGGTCTATATGTCTGTTTTGGTACCAGTACCAGGCTGTTTTGGTTACTGTAGCCTTGTAGTATAGTTTGAAGTCAGGTAGCATGATGCCTCCAGCTTTGTTCATTGGGCTTAGGATTGTCTTGGCAATGCGGGCTCTTTTTTGGTTCCATATGAACATTAAAGTAGTCTTTTGCAACTCTCATCAGCCCAGTTTAATATTACCTATTTATTATAATGTAATGCTGCTCGCACAACTGAGAAAATACTGTTGCTTTACCCCCTCCAGCTCTGTAGCAGCCACGCAGAAATCATAGAACTGTAAACATATGCTAATTACACAACCTATGTAGGCAATCAATATTAAGAAAAATTTTTACTGCCCGGTATTTCTGTGGTTGAAAATGTAGAGTCTAATTTTGATCCGCAGTAACATCTAGGTTAATGTTGATTCAGAAGGAAAACGTTTGTTGTTGCCATGAGAAGAGGCATTGAAATGCTGAATCACCACCACAAATGTTACCACTATTAATATAAGGAGATACATAGGAAGATGGAATTAGACCATCTCGGACCACCAGGTTTACAATTCCACCTGCAGATACATGCAAGAAGTATTGTCACAATACTTATGTCACGTTATTCCGTTGAGGTCATCACCAACTAAGCTTATAATTAATGTGTGGTCAATTTGGTCAATGTCACCAGCGTAGCATACTAACAAAAACAAGGGTTGCAAAGTCAAATGCCTATAAGGCAGAACGTAAGACGGTAGGAAGCAAAGTCTATAGGGAGCTATATAATAGAGGCTGCAGATTCATGGCAGATTCTAAAGCACAGCAGTCCCCAACATTTTTGGCACCAGGGACCGGCTTTGTGGAAGACAATTTTTCCACAGGCGGCAAGGGATGGGGCGCAGGATGGTAATGGTCTTGGGATGAAACTGTTCCACCACAAATCATCAGGAATTAGATTCTCATAAGGAATATGCAACCTGGATCCCTCGTGTGTGCAATTCACAACAGGGTTCATGCTCCTGTAAGAATCTAATGATGCTGCTGATCTGACAGGAGGCAGAGCTCAGGCAGCAATGCAAGCAATGGGGAGCAGCCAGAAATACAGACGAAGCTTCAATTGTTACCCACCATTCACCTCCTGCTCTGTGGCCCAGTTCCTAACAGGCCACAGACCAGTACATGTCCATGGCCCAGGGGTCAGGCACCCCTGCTGTGGCACATTGCTTAATAGAGGACTGTAGCAGCCATGTGCCCTGACCTTTCCTTTTTTTTTTTTTTTTTTTTTTTTTTGAGATGCCAGAAACCCAGAATTTTTTTTTTTTTTTTTTTTTTTTTTTTTTTTTTAAGACAAGGTCTGGCTCTGTTGCCCAGGTTGGAGTGTAGGAGGGCGATCTCAGCTCACTGTAACATCAACCTCCCAGGCTCAAGCAATCCTCTCACTTCAGCCTCCCACGTTGCTGGGATTACAGGCACACTCCACTACACCCAGCTAATTTTTTTGTATTATTTGTAGACATGGGGTTTCGCCATGTTGCCCAGGCTAGTCTGGAATTCCTGAGGTCAAGCTGTCTGCCCATCTCAGCCTCCCAAAGTGCTGGGATTGCAGGAGTGCACCACCACACCTGGCCTGAAACCCAGATTTTATTTATTTATTTATTCATTTTTTGAGATGGAGTCTTGCTCTATTGCCTAAGCTTGAGTGCAGTGGCGCGATCTTGGCTCACTGCAACCTCCACCTCCCTGGTTCAAGCGATTCTCCTGCCTCAGCCTCCCAAAGTGCTGGGATTACAGGCATGCAACACCACACCCAGCCTGAAACCCAGATTTTTAATATGAAATCAAAGTCTTCAGACCTTGTAGGTGTCATAAAAAGCACGCTGAGGACCACTAGTTTGCAACTGCCAATCTAAAATATCATAGACATTATATCACTTCAACCACGAAAAAAAAAGTATGTGAGGCAGAAAATGGAAGCAACCATGCCTAATTTATTGTTGAATACTTTTTCCGTATACCAAGAGCTTCCTTTGCACTAGCATCTGAAACTATATCCAGAATGACACTGGTTTTCATAAAAGTGTTGATCCTCACACCTCTTTATAGTCTTGCACCTAGCACAGTGGAGTGAAACACTTTAAATAGCACTTGTTCCTTGAGTATATATGGAAAAAAGTGAAGTATTGATAAGTGCTCAGCTAATATGAGCAGCATCTCAGGAGTCTCCAATTCTTGAATTACCAGGGAGTATTTTTACCATTTTCCCCCAGTGAAAGGCCTATTTTGAGAGACTTACCCTCCAAAATGAATGTATTAAGTCATGTTCCTTTTTTTTTTTTTTTTTTTTTTTTTGAGACAGGGCCTTGCTCTGTTGCCCAGGCTGGAGTGCAGTAGCATGATAGTTACAGGAAAGGGGTCCCAATCTAGACCCCAAGAGAGGGTTCTTGGATCTTGTGCAAGAAAGAATTCAGGGTGATGCCACAGTGTGAAGTGAAAGCAAGTTTATTAAGAAAGTAAAGGAGGAGGGGCACGGTGGCTCACTCCTGTAATCGCAGCACTTTGGGAGGCCGAGACAGGTGGATCACGAGGTCAGGAGATCAAGACCATCCTGGTTAACACGGTGAAACCTCATCTCTACTAAAAATACAAAAAAATTAGCCAAGTGTGGTGGCGGGTGCCTGTAGTCCCACCTACTCTGGAGGCTGAGGCAGGAGAATGGGATGAACCCGGGAGGCGAAGCTTGCAGTAAGCCGAGATCGCGCCACTGCACTCCAGCCTGGGTGACAGAGGGAGACTCCATCTCAAAAAAAAAAGAGAGAAAGTAAAGGAATAAAAGAATGGCTACCCCATAGACGGAGCAGCCGTGAGGGCTGCTGGTTGCCCATTTTTATGGTTATTTGTTGATGATATGCTAAACAAGGAGTGGATTTTTCATGCCTCCTCTTTTTAGACCATATAGGGTAACTTCTTGATGTTGCCGTGGCATTTGTAAACTGTCATGGTGCTGGTAGGAGTGTAGCAGGGAGGATGATGGGAGGTCAGTCTTGTCTCTATTTTGGTTTTGGTGGGTTTTGGCCAGCTCCTTCACTGCAACCTGTTTTATCAGCAAGGTCTTTATGACTGGTATTTTGTGCTGACCTTCTATGTCATCCTGTGACTTAGAATGCCTTAACCATCAGGGAATGCAGCCCAGTAGTTTCAGCCTCATTTTTCCCGGCTCCTATTTAAGATGGAGTTGCTCTGGTTCACACACCTCTGACATGATCATTGCCCACTGCGGCTTCCACCTCCCGGGTTCAAGAGATCCTCCTGCCTCACCCTCCCAAGGTGCTGGGACTACAGGTGTGTGCCACCAGCTCAGCTAATTTTTGTATTTTTTGTAGAGATGGTGTTTTTCCATGTTGCCCAGGCTGGTCTCAAACTCCTGGGCTCAAGCAATCCTTCTGTCTCAGCCTCCCAAAGTACTGGGATTACAGGCATGTCCCACCATGCCCAGACTAATATTTACTTTTAATCAGACTAAGATAGGGTTACTACTTGAGTTGCTATGGCTCCAGCTGAAAGAAAGCCCGTGCAGTCATATCACGCGTAAACATTTGCTTTATGCTAAAAATATGGTGGACCTGGCATTACAGCTATTACAAATCTCCTAAGATGTCTCGGGTAGTGTATTAGTTACTTTTCATACTGCTATGAAGAAATACTGGAAACTGGGTAATTTATAAAGAAAAAGAGGTTTAATGTACTCACAGTTCCACAAGGCTGGAGAGGCCTCAGAATCATGGTGGAAGGCAAAGAAGGAGCAAAAAGGTATGTCTTCCATGGCAGCAGGCAAGAGAGCACGTGCAGGGAAACTGCCCTTTATAAAACCATCAGATTTAGTGAGATGTATTCACTATCACGAGAACAGTATGGGAAAAACCTGCCCCCATGATTCGATTACCTCCTACCGGGTCCCTCCCACGACACATGGGGATTATGGGAACTACAATTCAAGATGAAATTTGGGTGGGGACGCAGCCAAACCATATCGGGTAGCAACAACCTAGGGTCAGTTTTGCAGGTGGTAAAGCCATTTACCAAGATAGTTGTAGGTAAAGAAGGGCAGATTTATTAGAGAAATTGTGAAAATATGTTGCAGTGGGCAGCTCAGCAGAGAAGGGGCTACCTGCAAAGAGGCAAGGGCTGGAGGAAAGTTTTATAGGGTCCTGCTGAAGGGTGCTACGTGTGGAATGAGGTCATTGTGCCCGCAGGTTGTTTGTGATTAGCTGTCTCTAACAATTGTTCATACAATAATTGTTCATTATTGTTCTCAACTTGGGGCTCTCCCCAACCTGGGGACCCTTCCTTATTGTTGCTTACTTATCAGGTCTCCACATAAAGGTGTGGAAACTTCATTCATTCATATCTTCAACACAAATTGTAGGTAGCCTGTTTTTTAAAACATTTATTCAACAAATATTTAGTCCAAGCCACTATTACTTACTACCTTCTCTACTATTGTATGGACTTTTAACTATCTCTGACACTATTCACTATTCTTCCACATTCTCTATTATTTATACCTATGGTAAAATTTGCCAGTTTGACCATACAACTAATACTCACAGGGAATATATAGAGTCTAGAAGAAAATATACAGGTCCTTAAAGGCTGCCCTGCCAACAAAACCATAACGCAGGAACAAACATCACAACTATGCCAAATAATCAATCCTACAATGTCCAAAATTTTACTTTAAAACTGGAATTACCAGACTTCCTTTCTGCATTAACCAGTTTAACTAGACAGTAACGAAATATTCCTACTTTATGCTGTGATAGTTTGTTTGTTTGTTTGTTTGTTTATTTATTTATTTATTTAAGACAGAGTTTCGCTCTTGTTGCCCAGGCTGGAGTGCAGTGGCACGATCTCAGCTCACCACAACCTCCGCCTCCCAGGTTCAAGCGATTCTCCTGCCTCAGCCTCCCGAGTAGCTGGGATTACAGGCATGTACCACCACGCCCGGGTAATTTTGTATTTTTAGTAGAGACGGGGGGTTTCTCCATGTTGGTCAGGCTGGTCTAGAACTCCAGACCTCAGGTGATACCCCTGCCTCAGCCTCCCAATGTGCTGGGATTACAGCTGTGAAGCCACCGCGCCCGGCTGCTGTGATAGTTGAGATGTAAACCAAAAATAAAATTCTAAGCCACCCAGTCCGACTGAATGGACCCTTCCTGTTGAGCAAGGACATTCCAAAGTAAACTGAAAAGACCAGCTTAGGCCATGATGGGAAGGGGAGGTGTCAACATGCCTCATTCTACCTTCCTCCCTCTGGAATCCAGACACAACTGACCAGCATTAACATTAAAACAGAGATCTTAAGCTGGGCACAGTGGCTCATGCCTATAATCCCAGCACTTTGGGAGGCCAAGGTGGGATCACCTGAGGTCAGAAGTTCAAGACCAGCCTGGCCAGTATGGTGAAGCCATGTCTCTACTAAAAATACAAAATTAGCCGGACATTGTGGTGCACGTCTGTCATCCCAGCAAGGCAGGCGAATCACTTGAACCCAGGAAGCAGAGGTTGCAGTGAGCCAGGATCATGCCATTGCACTCCAGCCTGGTCAACAGAGCGAGACTCCGCCTCATTAAAAAAAAAAAAAAAAAAAAAAATTAGCCGGGCGTGGTGGCGGGCACATGTAGTCCCAGCTACTAGGGAGGCTGAGGCAGGAGAATGGTGTGAACCAGGGAGGCGGAGCTTGCAGTGAGCCGAGATTGTGCCACTGCACTCCAGCCTGGACAGAAATGCATTTCATAATGCATTTTAATTGCATTAGCAGTGATTTAATTTTTTTAGATGCTAAAACTTATGGGTGAAAGTGGATTAAATGTAGCCAAATGCAACATCAAAATCTTCAGGCACAAAAACCCATTAACTTTTTCATACTCTCAGAAGGTGAACCTAATTTCAAATGAAAGCTGCCTCCAGAATATATTGTTAAGCGTATTCTAGATATAATTCATTTTGGCAAACATACTGTAGAAATTCACATAACATTTTACTGTACTAAAAGTAAATTGCCCATGTAACAAAAAATATCTTTTCAGAGCTTGAAATGAATTTTAAAGGATGACTGATGGTCCTTGGAAGAGAAACAGTAAACAAATAAGGTTTGTAGCAATGATGTATGAGTTAGAAATTGCAGTTCCAGATGATCTCTTTATTAAAGAGACGATCTACACTTAATTTGGTCAAGTGTTATGAACATAGTTCATGTTAAGTCTCCATTTAAATACAACCTGAAATACCAAAGTTAATTTTCTTTTCTTTCTTTCTTTTTTTTTTTTTTTAGAAGGAGTGTTGCTCTGTTGCCCTTCCTGGAGTGCAGTGACGTGATCTTGGCTCACTGCAACCTCCACCTCCTGGGCTTGAGCGATCCTACTGCCTCAGCCCCCCAAGTAGCTGGGAGGACAGGCGCAAGCCACGGCACTCAGCTAATTTTTGTATTTTTCGTAGAGATAGGGTTTCACCATGTTGCCCAATTTGGTCTCGAACTCCTGAGCTCAAGTGATCCGCCCGCCTTGGCCTCCCAAAGTGCTGGGATTACAGGCATGAGCCACCGTGCCTGGCCAGAAAATTGTAAACACACACAAACTCTCAAGTGGCCTAATTCCCTCTCACCAAACCAATCACAATACAGATAAAAGAGAATAACTTGTGTTCATTTTTGTACAAACAAAAAAGATATAAATTGTGAATGATGCATGATTTTTAATTACAAGTAAACTGGGCAAATGCTTCTGCATTATTTAAAGCTAAAAGGTGATCAGTGGAAACTTTCCTCTGTTAGTACTCTAATACTTTTTATATTTATCGGCTCACTACAACCTGTGCCTACCAGGTTCAAGCGATTCTCCTGTCTCAGCCACCTGAGTAGCCGAGACCACAGGCACGCACTACCATGTCCGGCTAATTTTGTATTTTTAATAGAGACAGGGTTTCACCGTGTTGGCCATGCTGGTCTTGAACTCCTGACCTCAACCGATCCGCCTGCCTTGGCCTCCCAAAGTTCTGGGATTACAAGCGTGAGCCACAGCGCCCAGCCTTATTATAATTGTTACTATTTAAATCTCTTTTGCTCTCTCCTTCAAGAGAGACCTCATCCCATTCAGTTGCTTCCATTTATTTATTCATCTTCTGCCTCCTGGGCTCGAGAGATCCTCCAGCGTGAGTCTCCCAAGTAGCTGGGACTACAGGCTCACACCACCAAGCTTGGCTAAATTTTGTAGGTTTTGGAGAGACAGGCTCTTGCCACGTTGCCTAGGCTGGTCTCAAACTCCTGGGCTCAGATGATCCACCTGCCTTCGCCTCCCAAAGCACTGGGACATGAGCCACCACGCCCAGCCGCAAGTACTTTTACACAAAATGCAAACACCATTCTTCCATCATAAAAGTGATACCACAGCTTCCGTGAAGTTTTGCCAGGTAGTACTCATAATTACCTTGGGTAAACTTTTTGATGTTAAACTGTATCTTCTTATTACGAGTTTTTCCATTGTATTAACTGCTTTTACAACAACACAAATAACAAGTTATTTTACAAACCATTTAGAAATTTCTGTACTATGGTCCCAGTAATGTAAAAATATATTAATGCCTATTACATTCAGATAAATTATACACTTGGAAACCACATACTTATGACTTACAGAAACTTACATAAACAAATTATAGAAATTATATGCTCAATTTTTAGGTATATAGTCTTAAATTAAGCTTAAATATACATTCTCAAGATAAATTAACAGTTCAGGGCTTCACAACTTGAAATCTGTGGAAGATGACATTGGAGACAACAGAACTCTGGTGGAATTCTTAGATGGAATTTGCCGAAACTTTTTTTTTTTTTTTTTTTGAGATGGAGTGTCGCTCTGTCGCCCAGGCTGGAGTGCAGTGGCGCAATCTCAGCTCACTGCAAGCTCTGCCTCCCGGGTTCACGCCATTCTTCTGCCTCAGCCTCCCGAGTAGCTGGGACTACAGGCGCCCACCGCCACGCCCGGCTAATTTTTTATATTTTTAGTAGAGATGGGGTTTTACTATGTTAGCCAGGATGGTCTCGATCTCCTGACCTTGTGATCCACCCGCCTTGGCCTCCCAAAGTGAAACTTTTCTTTAAAATAGAGATGGGATCTTGCTGTATTGCCCAGGCTGGTCTCAGACTCCTTGCCTTAAGCAGTCCTCCCACCTCAGCCTCCTAAAGTGCTGGGATTACAAGCGTGAAGCATTACATCCAAGTGAAACTTCTTGAGATGGTTACATAATGTCTAAATCTGCTGGTGTAGAAGTTAATAAAGTGTAGAACTGAATAAATATTAAATATTAGATCAAGTTTCTCATGTTTATCTTAACGTATAACGATTTATCTTAAAGCACTGATTTTCACAAAATAACATCAGTGTGAAATTGGAAAAGAAGCCAAATATTTTATTTCATGTATCTGGGAAATGAGGTGCTTTAGTCAACTGAATCTGCCCAAAACTAAAAAGCATTAATTAAAAAGTACTTAACTCAGAAATTATAAAAATAGCAGACATCAATAAAATACATTCTACACAGAATACGCCAACCATACACTACTCTTTTTTGATAATAAAAAATGTATTTACTGAGCCAGTTGTGGTGGCTCACGCCTATAATCCCAGCACCTTGGAAGGCCAATGAGAGTGGATCAGTTGAGGCCAGGAGTTTGAGACCAGCCTGGCCAACATGGTGAAATGCCGTCTCTACTAAGAATACAAAAATGAGCCGGGCACGGTGGCACGCACCTGTAATCCCAGGTACTCCGAAGGATGAGGCAGGATAATTGTTTGAACTCAGGAGGTGGAGGTTGCAGTGAGCCAAAATCATGCCACTGCACTCCAGCCTGGGTGACAGAGTGAGTCTCTGTCTCAAAAAAAAAAAAAAAAGAAAAAGAAAAAAAGTCAGTTGCAGTGGCTCACGCCTGTAATCCCAGCACTTTGGGAGGCTGAGGCAGGCGGATTACAAGGTCAGGAGATCGAGACCACCCTGGCCAACATGGTGAAACCTCCTCTCTACTAAAAATGCAAAAATTAGGCTGGGCACGGTGGCTCACACCTGTAATCCCAGCACTTTGGGAGGCCGAGGCGCGGAGATCACGAGATCAGGAGATTGAGACCATCCTGGCTAACACAGTGAAACCCTGTCTCTACTAAAAATACAAAAAATTAGCTGGATGTGGTGGCAGCACTTGTAGTCCCAGCTACTTGGGTGGCTGAGGCAGGAGAATGGCGTGAACCCGGGAGGCAGAGTTTGCAGTGAGCCGAGATCCCACCACTGCACTCCAGCTTAGGCGACAGAGCCAGACTGTGTCTCAAAAACAGGAAAGAAAACAAAAGAAAATTTGGACTATTGCCAATTACAAATATTTTTAGAGAAGAATTCAAAACAGTAACTGTGGATGATGGAAACAATAGTTATGATAAAAGTCTGATGAAACTTCCCAGTTCACAAGGAAATTTAATTACTTATGTGCAGCATTTTAAGACAGTAATCAGAATCATGACTGACAGCATCATATCAGGGCCAGCAGACTTTTATAAATTTCATACAATCTTCAGAAATAATAACTTTTTTTTTTTTTTTTGGATAGATTCTACCTTTGTCACCCAGGCGGGAGTGCAGTGGCATGATCTCGGCTCACTACAACCTCCGCATCCTGGGTTCAAGCAGTTCTCCTGTCTCAGCCTCCCGAGTAGCTGAGATTACAGGCATGTGCCACCAGGCATGGCTAATTTTTGTATTTTTAGTGGAGACAGGGTTTCACTCTATTAGGCTGGTCTGGAACTCCCGACCTCAGGTGATCCACGTGCCTTTGTCTCCCAAAGTGCTGGGATTACAGGCATGAGTGACGGTGCCCAGCCATTCGTGACATGTTTATACAAATATAACTTTAGCAAATATTTAGCATAACTATCAAAATTACAAATCATATTAAATTTGTATAAATGTATGCAATTTTTGGAACACGCATATCAACAACATACCCATAAATATAACTGAGATGAGATCTAATGTCACCTCACTTGACAGTGCCCTCCCATGCAGTATCGCCACATTTGACAATGCCTGCCCATTTAATCTACCAAATAAATCGAATCACTTAATACCTCTACAAGATGAGAGATACATTCTTTAGACTCCCCAAGGGATGCAGCTGAAAAAAATCCCAAAGTTAGTTTTAAGCCAAAAAGACTTGATTTAGGATTTTGACACTGGAGAAACCCATCAAAGATGTCAAGTTTGAAAACACTTGATCAAAACAGAATCACAGGTCACTATTAAAAGAGTATTAATTTAACCAGAGACTTCCAAAGCAATACAGAAACTTACATGGATATAAAAACCCTAACCCTTTTAAAGGTCAGATTTGCTAAGTGATCAAAAGGGGTACTTGAATTGAATCGACACAGGAAGAGTGTGTACAGGGTTATGAGTGTAGGCAGGTGGTTACTTTGGTCATATCTCCATTTGCCACCTGATTACACATGAGAATGGCATCTTTACTCACCAGAAAGCCAGTATTATAGGAGGTGTAGGAGGCATTCTTGGACTTGAGACAAGAACATTGTTGTGTAGAAATTTCATTGACTGTGTTAAAATTATTCTCCATGGGCTGGAGAACACATAACATGGCCTTTAGAATGAGACGGGCATTGATTGGATGCAAGGTCTCCACACTTACTAGCTGTGTGACATTGGACAGAGTGCTTCATCATTCCGAGACTCAGTTTTTAAAGGAAAAACAACTAACTACCTTGCAAGCTTGCTAGCAGGTTTAAGTGTAATAATGTGTGGGAATGACTGCACCGTGACTAACATGCAGTGACAGCTTAATTAATGTTAACCCTTATCATTATCATATAAGAATGTGAGTTACATAAGAGAGGAGTCCTGTCAGTTCGTTCTCTGCTGTGTCCCCAAGACCATGAATCATGGCTGGCATGTAGTAGGCATTTAATAATATATGTTCAACAAGTATTTGGCAGTCTTGGAGGGCAGAAAAGGAGGTGGGGAAGATTTTTAAATAACATTTTTTAAAAAGTCACATTGTCCTACAATACCGATTTTTCTTGCATATTTAGGAAATTGAGGGTTTTTTTCTAAAACATGCGGACATATGGGAAATAGGATGCAACATTTGCACTAATGTTTCAGACACAGTTAGAGGTTTCCAAGAGATTTTGCGCTGGGGAGGCTGCTTGCTACAAGCTCCCAAAGCTCTGGGAGGACATAGTATTCATTCCTCCCTCAGCAGAAGCGGTGAGGCAAGAAGCTCTGGGGAGCACCCAGCGTTGGACTTTTAGCATAGTGTGTCAGGTCTTCATAGTTTGGGCCCAGGGCACAGAGAAGTCACAGCTCTCCGGCATCCTGTGACCTTTACCCTCTTTGCCAAGGGAAAATGTGGCCCACCAAAGCAAGAAACTTGAGGGCATGGGTCACCCCAGCCCTGGCATCTGCCCAGAGCCCGAGAAGGAAGGAACAATGATCCTCCAGCTACCTCACGGGGCTGGCACAGGTGACCACTGCCCTGGCATCACCCAGCTGTGTCCGGCAGCCTGAACCCCATCTGTGGGGATGCGAGGAGGAAAATACAAAAGTCCTTAGGTGAACACTGAGAAGGCAGATGCAGCAGAAACCTCCAGGCCAGAACTACCCAGTCTTGGACCTATGGTGGAGATAGAGCATAGCTGGCGATCATGTGTACTTACACTCTAAGGTCACCTGGTTGCACTATGGCCTCATCTGTGGCTCTGAAAATGAAGATTTGGAAGGAGATCATCACAGCTAATGTTTAACAAGCCCCTCCTGTGTGCCAAATCATTCACCCCTCACCACAACCGAATGAGCTAAGGATTCTCATTATATATAGTTTATGGAGAGGGAAGTGCAGACATAAAGAGGTGAATTATCTTACCCAGATCACACAGCTGATAAGTGGTGGAGGCAGAATAGAATCTAAACAGTGTGGCTCCGGAGCCCACATGCATTGATTCGACAAGTGTTTATTGAGCACCTGCCGCGGACAAGGCCTTGTGTGATTAAATAGGGTTATAATTAGTAATATAAAAATGAGAAATCACTAATGCTTTTTAGACTTAACATTTTGTTTTTTTGTAGGTTTCAGGCACAGAACTGTATATCCAATAATAGTGAAATGGATCCCACTAATTATGACAGAAATGATGATACATTTAAATGACTTGGATGTTTTATAGGTATGATCTCGTGAAATCTTGAGAGAAACTGAATGACGAATGAAACTATTGTTCCTGTTTCACACAGAAGAAAACTGAGGTTAAAAGGGGTAAAGTAATTTTGCATGGCATGAAGTAGAAATTCAAAGTACAGGAATTTGAACTTGGTTCTGTCCTTTTCTGAAGCCCTTGACCACTATAGACTCAAACATCACCTTGTTTTTCCACTCATTCAACACTTTTTTTTTTAAATTATCTAATAGGTTGGCACTCATCATGAGCCCCTGTTCTCATTCTGCAAATGGTGAAGCTCTCTATTGTCCTGACCCCACAGTTCCTGTCCCATGACCAGGGCCAGCTCACCAAGGAGCTGCAGCAGCATGTAAAGTCAGTGACATGCCCATGCGAGTACCTGAGGAAGGTGAGTGAGTGCAGACAGATGGGGCCTGGTGCCCTTGAGCAGTTCCCGGGTCTCAGCTGCCACACATCTCATAGCCGGTGATGCTGGGGGAAGCTTACGCAGTCACAGTACTGGCTTCTTCCTCTTTTTCTTTCCATACAAGTGGCTTAGGGATGGGGTAGAGTAGTTGACTTATTTGGATGAAAACCACTATCTTCTGTCAGAAACTCAAAAGGAATCATTGCTGGCATGGTAACCTAAAGAAAAACAACCAGACAAGTGCCCAACGACACTTAAAAAGGTGATTTATTAGCTTGCCAAGTTTAGGCTGGGCATGGTGACTCATGCCTCTAATCCCAGCATTTTGGGAGGCTGAGGCTGGTGGATCACCGGAGGCCAGGACTTTGAGACCAGCCTGACCAATATGGCAAAACCTCGTCCCTACTAAAAATACAAAAATTAGCCGGGCATGGTGGTGTGAGCCTGTAGTCCCAGCTACTCAGGAGGCTGAGACAGGAGAATTGCTTAGATTCAGGAGGTGGGGGTTTTAGTGGGCCGAGATCACGCCATTGCACTCCAGACTGTGCGACAGAGCGAGACTCTGTCAAAAAAAAAAAAAAAAAATTATCCTGCAAAATTTGAAAAGGAAATTCAAATCAACAGCTTCTAAACTACTTTTTAACATGACTCATAATAATACATTCTATAGTACATATGTATGTTCTATAACTTTGAATAAAAGAGTTAACCACATCACATTTATTTTATAACATGTAATACATATTTTTTATTCTCCTTCATTTGTTTTGAATGCTCTGTGCAGTCTACAAAAAGTCCAATAGTAATAATTAAATTAGTCATTAAGTTGAACATTATCTTGTCTTTTAAAATGATAATCTCAAAAATGATCTTTTATTTTTGAGATTTATATAGATACACACACACACACACACACACACACACACACACACACACACACACACACACACACATATTTTTTGAGACAGAGTTTCACTCTGTCCCCCAGGCTGGAGTGCAATGGCACAATCTTGGCTCACTGCAACCTCTGTCTCCCGGGTTCAAGCAATTCCTCTGCCTCAGCCTCTGAGTAGCTGGGACTACAGGTGTGTGCCACCATGCCCAGCTAATTTTTGTATTCTTAGTAGAGATGGGGTTTCACCATATTGGCCAGGCTCGTGTCAACTCCTGACCTCGTGATCTGCCCACCGCGGCCTCCCAAAGTGCTGGGACTATAGGTGTGAGCCGCTGCACCCGGTCCAAGTAAAATTATTTTAACAATATACTATGAAGAGAAAAACACTGGCTATGAAAGAATATGCATAGTTTTACCCTGTTTAAAAATAAAGATTGAAAGAATACATATGCAAATAAGTTTACTTTTATTTTTGGTAACACTTTACTGCATTGTCTGAATATTGACAATCAGTATGCATTATGAAGCTACCTGGCTAACATTGTGTACTCACTGTGTGTGCCAGGCCCTGGGTTCAATGCTCTACATGCACTTATATTTCATTTAATTCTCTCTGCAACCTGAGATGGTATAGCCACCTCATTTTACAGAGTTGAAACTGAGGCTCAGAGACTGAAAGTTAAGCCTGAGGTTGCAGTCAATAAGAGGCAGAGCTGGAACTGAAACCTACCTGTGTCTGACCACCAGTTCGTGTTCTGACGGCAGGCTAGTCTGCATCACAGAGTGTGGAGTAGATGGTGCATGCCTGCTAGGATGGGCTAGGTATCACTGTAGGTAAGAAACAGCCCCAAACTATGGAAATGTACACCACTGAAGGCTCTTTTCCTGCCCATGCTGCACATCCTCCATGGCTCTCCTGTGCCCTGTGCCCCACATGCCCTCATCCTGCCACGAGAATAAAGGAGCAGCCTCCATATGGGAGCTGTCAGCTGCTCTAAGAGATGAAGGAGAGAGTGGCCCGTCTCAATGGCTCCCAACTCTTCTGCCTCGAGGTGACACGCTTCACTTCCACGCACATCTCCTGGGTCAAAGCAAATCCCATGGGTACATCCACTTTCAAGTGGCCCAGGAGAGAACCTGAAATACTCGGTGGACTCCATTAAGGCCGTCATATGGTGTCAGCCTGCATGGGAGACTGTGGAGGGGCAGAGGAGGAGAGTGGGGAACTGATGGGAAATGACAGGAGGACTAAGTCACCGCAGATTTGCTTTATCTTCAGCCAGGTGGAGTTTGTCCCAGAGCCGCACAAAATCATCACCAGCATGATTAAACGGAGTAGACTTCAGAAAAAGCAGTTTGGTCGGATGTAATCAGCAGTGAACTCAGAATCAATTGAGTGACATTGAGTCAGTAAATCTCTGACTGCCTCAGTTACCCCATATGATAGTTTTGAGGATGGGAACATTGAGAGAGTTGATTTGGAAGGATATCAAGAGTAAAAATTCCAACATTTTTAGTTCCTTTAAGTTAAATCCAGGCACTGTCTTTCCTGCAAGTCTCCTGTTCCTTTCAGATTGCACAGGTGAGAGTGCTCAGATTAGGGCTGGAGGTTGTAAACCATTGCTCCCACACTGACAGTGCCCCCGTGTCGTGCGTGTATTCTGCGCATTTTCCTGTGCTAAACACTCTCCCAAAACATCGTGGGGCCTGATTCTTCCTCTTTGTTCCAATGGCCCTGGGTGACTCAAGTGCCCATTCAATGACCAGGACACAGAGGTCTTAGAGAGATGCTCCTTGAGGCCCCAGGTGCGAGCCTGTACCCTGCCGGAGCATGAGGCAAGGGACAGGGCATCGTCTGTGGGGATAGTGGGGGTAGTGGGGGTAGTGGTCAGCCAGATTTGGTGACTCTACTTGCTCACCAGACGATCCTACACCTGCCACCTCCGATGGATCCACTGCCTCTGTGCCTGCCTGTACTGCTGATGCTCCAGTGGATAACTCAGCATCCCAGCCTAGGCCCAATGCCACTGAAGATGGACCTGCCCCCTGGGGACCCAGGAGTCCTACCACTCAGCTGTCCCCAGGAGTGCCCAGACCCTCATTCTTATCCAGGACCTAGGAGCCCTACCCCTGGCCTTCCCTCATCAGCCGTAAATGATGATTTACTGCTGTTACCATCATCACTGCCTTCAGTGACCAAGGGCCTTCCAAGGTGCCAGCTCTGGAACGAAGGATGCCCTTGGGAGGTGATGACACTCAGGTACACGGGTGCTCAGCAGATTGCTTCCTCCTATCCTCAGACGGTCTTTGCATGCATGCAGCCATTGGCACTCCCATTGTGTGGAAGGAAACCAGCCCAGGGTCACACAGCTGGTCAGCAGCAACATAGCTGGTCTCAAATCTAAGGTGCCTGACCATGCCTCCATGAGGGACCGCCTCCAAGGGAGGTTGATCCTGGCTTTGGGGAGCCTTTCCTGGGCTGCACGAATAACCTCCATTGTTCGAGACCCCAAACTCTGCTCACATCTTCCTTTCCCTATCTCTGCTTGGGCTATGATCACGGTGACTCTAGCAGCCCTTCATGGACATTATAGTACTCTCTGCCATTCACTTTTGCTCTAATCTGACTTCAACCCCCACTTACTTGGTCTCTCCTTTTACAACCACCACAACCGAAATCTAGGGCTGCTTTTTTTTTTTTTTTTTTTTTTGAGACAGAGTCTCATTCCATTCTGTCACCCAGGCTGGAGTGCAATGGTACGATCTCGGCTCACTGCAACCTCCGCCTCCCGGGTCCAAGGGATTGTCCTGCCTCAGCCTCCTGAGTAGCTGGGATTACAGGCGTGTGCCACCATGCCTGGCTAATTTTTGTATTTTTAGTAGAGACGGGGTTTCACCATGTTGGTCAGGCTGGTCTCGAACTCCTAACCTCGTGATCCGCCTGCCTCAGCCTCCCAAAGTGCTGGGATTACAGGCGTGAGCCACCATGCCCAGCCAAATCTAGGGCAGGAACATGGCTGCAGCATATAAAAAGAATTGAATTCCATACTTTTGTTAACCCTGTTTTTTGTTTGTTTGTAGTTGTTGCTGTTTTTGAGACAGAGTCTCGCTCTGTCGCCTAGGCTGGAGTGCAGTGGTGCAATCTCGGCTCACTGCAGACTCTGCCTCCCGGGTTCAAACTATTCTCCTGCCTCAGCCTCCCAAGTAGGTGGGACTACAGGCGCCCACCACCACACCCGGCTAATTTTTGTATTTTATTAGAGACAGGGTTTCACCATATTGGCCAGGCTGGTCTGGAACTCCTGACCTTGTGATCCGCCCACCTCGGCCTCCCAAAGTGCTGGGATTACAGGCGTGAGCCACCACACCCAGCCCCTGTTTTGTTTTTGTTTTGCTTGCTTCTTAGGGTTGTTTTTCTATTTATGGTAAAGGCATTGGCTTTCCATTTGTAGCATCAATAGAATATTTCCTGTTTACAATAACCTTATGTCATAGTAAATGGTAAAGGGATTTAAAGCAGTGGTTTTCAGCTGCCAGAGGCCTGAGAGAGTTTGGGCATACTCTGTGTGATCGGGCAGAAGGCCTGTGGGAAGTTTAGCAGAGGACAGGGCCAGGAAAGGTGATGGACAGTGGGGGTCTGTCCTGGTCACCAGGCCCCTGGGTCCTGCCCACCTGCTTGGAGCTCCCCACCCATCACACATGATGCTGCCAAGCCCTCTGGGTATTGTGGGCAAATACCTTAGGAGAGAAGCTGATGAACTTTGTTTCTTGAAATGCACAGATTCCTTGGACGTCCCTGAGAGCTCAGTCATGAAAGTCAACTTGGTTTTCTCCCCCTCATTTGGGTTCAGAATTTAAAGTCCACACACACAGGCAGTAAGATGATATAGATAAGGACGTCATCACTCGGTTTCGGATGTTAAAATGTCTAGGTGGGTTAGCGGTGATTTGAGATCACACAACCTTGTGCCACAAAGAGGAATTCCCAGGCCAGAGGGAGACATTTTATTGCCATGTTATGATCTCATCATTGAGTTGAAAGGCAATCTTGTTTCATTTTGGATTCTTTCTTATGTTTATGTCTTATAAGGGCACTTTGAATTTCCAAGCAAATAATAATTTTGAATTAGCTTTTAATCATTGACTTCTAGCACAGTTATATGATCAGAAACATGCTGTGTGATTTGATTGCTCTCAAATATATTGAGATTTGCTGGAACAAAATAAGTCAGGTTAATTTTTGTAAATGTACCAGGCATGCTTAAAATGAATGTATCTACATTTGTTCCTGAGATACAGGTTGATGGACGGATGGCTACATGGATGTGATGGAGATGGTTTACTATCGGGACCTTCCGCACCCTGCTGATGTTTTGTTGCTTAGGATATGAATGGCTGAGCGGAGGCTGTAAAACCTGGCACTCTGCTTGGGTATGAGGTTCTTCCTGCCATCCTGCCATCATTTGTTTTTTATGTTTTGTCGCCATAAGTGACCTTGAGGAACCCTGGGAGCTCAGGAAGGAAGGAGCGCCCAGAAGCAGGGACAGGGAGCTGGTTGGGGAGGACCAGAAATCAGGTTTGTGAAGGTTCCAGAGAGGACCTGTCTTTGGGAGGAGTGTGGGAGACTGAGATGGGGGAGGGGTCATTGGAATGATGCGGGCGCTACTTGGCATTGTCCATTGTGAGGCACTGTCCATTGTGAGGCACCACCGGGGTCATCAGGGATTGGTGGAGAGGGAGTATAAAGCCCCAGGGTTGGTAAGGGAGGGCCCAGACCGAAGAAGGTTTGGTGGATAGCAGAACCTTTTTGTCTCCCTCTGATTGCTCCTAAGCCTCACGCTCCCTTGCCCCGCGTGTCCTGTTGCTTCCCTGATCTTCTCCGTGACCTGTAGCTAAACCTTCCACCAGCGCTTGAGAACTTAATTTGAACCGGATCCTTTCCCAGACCCCTTTCTTCTTCTCCTCCTCCTCCTCCACCTCCTCCAGGTGCCCAACAGCCCCCTTCTCCTCCTTTCCCTTCCCTTACTTCCCCCCTTCCCCTCCCCTTCCCCTCCCCCTCCCCTCCCCCTCCCCCTCCCCAACTCAGATCCGGCCCCGGTCCCCGTCCCCTTCCCTCCCCCCTGCCCTAAGCCACCTCCACCTCTGTCCTGGCCGCCTCAGGGCGCCCTGAAAGGACCAGGACATGCGGGTGCGGTGGATGCTCTTTTGGCTCCTCTTTGGGCTCCTACTGGAATTTATCAGCCATCAGTGCATCTCTGTGAGTAGACGCTGGACCCGTGGGGTTTCTTCCTTTTTACTGGGCTGTATCACGTGGCATGAAATTACACAGCTCAGGCCTGTAATCCCAGCACTTTAGGGGGCCGAGGTGGGCAGATCACTTGAGTCCAGGAGTTGAAGACTAGCCAGGGCATCATAGCGAAACCCCATCTCTACAAAAAATTCCAATAAAGATTAGTCGGGCCTGGTGGTGCGTACCTGTTATCCCAGTTACTGGAGAGGCTGAGGTGGGAGGATCGCTTGGGCCCAGGAGCTGGACGTTGCAGTGAGCCGAGATGGCCCCGCTGCACTCTTGTTTTTAACAAAGAAAATGGACCAAAACAAAGTGAAATGTCATTTGATTTGTGTCATCTGGTTTGATGACTTTTTTTTTTTTTTTTTTTTTTTTTAGACAGAGTCTCACTCTGTCGCCCAGGCTGGAGTGCAGTGGCAAGATCTCGGCTCACTGCAACCTCCGCTTCTGGGGTTCAAGCAATTGTCCTGCCTCAGCCTCCTGAGTAGCTCAGATTACAACGCCTGGCTAATTTTTGTATTTTTAGTAGACCACCACGCCTGGCTAATTTTTTTTTTTTTTTTTTTTTTTTTTTTTTTTTGAGACGGAGTCTCGCTCTGTCGCCCAGGCTGGAGTGCAGTGGCGGGACCTCGGCTCACTGCAAGCTCCGCCTCCCGGGTTCACGCCATTCTCCTGCCTCAGCCTCCCAAGTAGCTGGGACTATAGGCGCCCGCCACTACGCCCGGCTAATTTTTTGTATTTTTAGTAGAGACGGGGTTTCACCATGTTCGCCAGGATAGTCTCCATCTCTTGACCTCGTGATCTGCCTGCCTCAGCCTCCCAGTGCTGGGATTACAGGCGTGAGCCACCGCGCCTGGCCAAAATATATAACCTTAAGTGTAAGTTTACTAACTTTGGAAAGTACATACACCAGCATAAACCAACCCCCTTTCAAGATCTACATTATTTTATTTATTTATTTATTTATTTATTTATTTATTTTGAGACAGTTTCTCCCTTGTTGCCCAGGCTGGAGTGCAATGGGGCAATATCAGCTCACCGCAACCTCTGCTTCCCAGGTTCGAGCGATTCTCCTGCCTCAGCCTCCCGAGTGGCTGGGATTACAGACATGTGGCACCACTCCCAGCTAATTTTGTATTTTTAGTAGAGATAGGGTTTCTCCATGTTGGTCAGGCTGGTTTTGAACTCCCGACCTCAGGTGATCCGCCCGCCTCGGCCTCCCAAAGCGTTGGGATTACAGGCGTGAACCACCATGCCCAGCCAAGATCTACACTATTATGTCACCCCAGAAAGTGAACTCTCAGTCTTCCCAGCCAGTCTCTTTCTTATCATAGGTTAGCTTGCTTATTCTGGAATTTCGCGTATACAGATGCATGCCATGCCATAGGTACTCTTTTGTGTCTGCTTTGTTCTGCTCAACACCATGTTTCTGAAATCATTACCATTGTTGTATGGTTCTCTAACTTCATCATTTCCATTTCAGACTCAGCATATGCTGAGTTCAACCTGTTGAAGGGCTATCTCTGTTTAATTCACCATCTTGAAAGAAACATTTAAAATTGAGATGTTTTCAAGAATATATAGTTAAATCCTGAGGAATCGACGTAGAAATGTTATCACAAGCTGTCTGAACTTACTCAGGGGAAGTCTTCGTCTTCACTCACATAAGAGTCTAATGGAATTAATATCAACAATCTTAGAGAAATCCCACACTATTCATGCCATTTTCATGATCTCCACCTTGATAATTTTTTTTTTTTTTTTTTTTTTTTTTTTTTTTTTTTTTTTTTTTTTTTTGAGACAGAGTCTCGCTCTGTCACCCAGGCTGAAGTGCAGTGGTGCGATCTCGGCTCACTGCAACCTCTGCCTCCCGGGTTCAAGTGATTCTTCTGCCTCAGCCTCCCAAGTAGCTGGAACTATAGGCACGTGCCACCATGCCCTGCTAATTTTTTGTATTTTTAGTAGAGACGGGTTTCACCGTGTTAGCTAGGATGGTCTCAATCTCCTGATCTCGTGGTCCACCCACCTCGGCTTCCCAAAGTGCTGGGATTGCAGGCGTGAGCCACCACGCCCAGCCCACCTTGTTAATTTTTAAGCACTAAAATTTGATACTTATTTGTGAATGAAGTAATCTCTTCATTGTATTTTTTTTTTTTTTACTTATGCTGAGATTTAAATGACAAAGATTCATATAATCCAAGAGAGAAGTATTATTTAGAGGGATTCTTTTACCATGTGATATATAATAAATGCATCCAATGTTATACATCAATTTAAAAAACAAGTAAATAACTTTAAAGAAAAGATAACTACTGGCCAGGTGCAGTGGCTCACACCTGTATTCCCAGCACTTTGGGAGGCCAAGGCAGGTGGATCATGAGGTCAGGAGTTGGAGACCAGCCTGGCCAAGATGGTGAAACCCTGTTTCTACTAAAAATACAAAAATTAGCCGAGCGTGGTGGCAGGCGCCTGTAATCCCAGTTACTCAGTAGCTGAGGCAGGAGAATCGCTTGAACCCGGGAGGCGGAGGTTGCAGTGAGTTGAGATCATGCCACTGCAATCTAGCCTGGGTGACAGAGCAAAACTTTGTCTCAAAACAAAAAGAAAAGAAAAGATAAGATAATTACTTTATACTTAGCTTGTCTTACCCATGAGTGACGGGCTGCATGTGGCCCAGGACAGTTTTGAATGCAGTTCAACACAAATTTGTAAACTTTCTTAAAACATTAGGAGATTTTGGCCAGGTACAGTGGCTCATGCGTGTAATCCCAGCACTTTGGGAGGCTGAGGCGGGCAGATTACCTGAGGTCAGGAGTTCGAGACCACCCTGACCAACATGGCAAAACCCCATCTCCACAAAAAATACAAAAATTTGCTGAGTGCACTGTCAGGCACCTGTACTCCCAGCTACTCAGGAGGCTGAGGCAGGAGAATCACTTGAACCTGAGAGGCAGAGGTTGCAGTGAGCCGGGAGCACACCACTGCACTCCAGCCTGGGTGACAGAGTGAGACCCCATCTCAAAAACAACAAACAAAAACAAAAACAAAAAAATGGCTGGGCACGGTGGCTCACACCTGTAATCCCAGCACTTTGGGAGGCCGAGGTAGGCAGATCGCCTGTCAGGAGTTCAAGGCCAGACTGGCCAACGTGGTGAAACCTCATCTCTACTAAAAATACAAAAATGAGTCGGGCATGGTGGCAGAGACCTGTAATCTCAGCTACTCGGGAGGCTGAGGCAGGAGAATGGCTTGAGCCCAGGAGCTGGAGGTTGCAGTGAGCCGAGATTGCACCACTGCACTCCAGCCTGGGCGACTGAGTGGAGCGGAACTCTGTCTCAAAAAAAAAAAAGAGGTTTTTTTTAGATCATCAGCTATTGTTAGTGTTAGTGTATGTTATGTGTGGCTCAAGACAACTTTGCTTCTTTTAATATAGGCAGGGAAGTCAAAAGATTGGATATCCCTGCTTTATACCAAGAAAGACAACACCCCACATTTGCAATGCCTGAAAACACTACCAGCCATCTGAAAAACATGTGACTTCTAACTTCTGTTCTTTTTTGTAGCAGTGGAATCCCACGGTGATATCTGAGGGATGTGGTTACCTTTTGGAGGAGGTTGACGGTTTCTAAGGATGATTCTTTCTGAGTGAAATATTGTCAGTGTCATTGACCTTTTCATTATTTCAACTATTATTATTCCAGGTTATCAATACTCTGGCTGACCATCATCATCGTGGGACTGACTTTGGTGGAAGTCCTTGGTTACATGTCATTATTGCGTTTCCGACAAGTTATAAAGTTGTCATTACCCTCTGGATAGTTTACCTTTGGGTGAGTATACTAACTTTCTGTAGAGGTATACTTGTAATCACAAATAAGAATAAATTATATAAAACAATTCACATTTCTGGACTTCATTATGAATATGTGGTTTTACCCAAAAAATCAGGGAAATGATTTATTAGTATAAGAATTATGAAAACATCTGCCATTTGCATTATGAAAATTAAATAGGTCGGTGTTTGTTTAATAGAATGTCAACAGAGCTTTTGGTCAAAAATAAGTTTTTTTAACCTTTGTGCTATTTATCACAAATGGAGTATGAGGTTTCGTCACTTAAATAGGAAATTCTTTCTAAACTCTTCTGCTTTATAGTTCTATCGTATGGGTGGAAGGAAAGCTTCCAATCTCCTCTCTGAAGATTCACTGCAGAAATGAGCTGACAACAGACAGCTTAACAGGAAAAGAAAAACATAGAACAGGCATAAACATGGGAACCAGCTGAAAAATGAGACTGCTAGAAGGGCCGGATGGCTGATGCTTAAAGAGCACCCTCTTCTGAGGGGAGAGGGAGATAGATGGAGATGTAGGCCATTTAGAGGGGCAGCAAATGATTTTTAGGGGAAATGAAAGAGGCCAAGGAACAAACAATTGGCCTGAGACAAAGTTCCTGTGAGGTCATAGGGACGAGGTGACAAACTGCCGGAAGGTGAAGGGCAGAACTGCACTGCGTCTCATGATGCAGAGAAAGCCCCAGAGACTCTTAGAACTGCCCTCCAAGAGAATCAATGAAAAGTGTGTCTGGGCAGGGTAATTTTGAATGACATCATTCAAAGTGCATGTTCCGACTTGGAACTGGAGAGAGATCAGTATGTCAAAAGTCTGTACTTGGTAAGAATTTGGCTGCTAAGTTGTGCCATAATTTGTCTTTTGAGCCTTTTTTCCTTTGGGTAAGTTGAGCTCTACATTTTGTCTTGCCATTCATGACAGTAAAAATGTGGTTGTCTGGGGGCTGAACCTCCTTCTGAACAATGATCCAAGATAAAAGTACTAATACCACAATGCTTTTTTATATTCAAGGGAAGAGGAAGTATGTTTCAGTTTTACCACCTAGATAATTACACGTCATTTGGCACTGCCTTTCAAGATATGTAGAAAACAGAAAATATATGAGTTATGAAGATATCTAGGCACATTTAACATTCTCTATGCCACTTAGTCCTGAACAGAGAATTTTCGGTATAAATTGGAGGAAGCTTTTTTCTTTTTTTTTTTTCTTTTCTCACCCCGAAGACGAGTCTCCTTCTGTTGCCCAGGCTGGAGTATAATGGTGTGACCTCGGCTCACTGCAACCTCCACCTCCTGGCTTCAAGTGATTCCCCTGCCTCAGCCTCTCAAGTAGCTGGGATTACAGGTGCCCACCACCATGCCCAGCTAATTTTTGTATTTTTAGTAGAGTCGGGGTTTTACCATGTTGGCCAGGCTAGTCTCAAAACCCGACCTCAAATGATCCACCCACCTCAGCCTCCCAAAGTGCTGGGATTACAAGCGTGAGCCACCACGTGAGCCAGGGGAAGTTTTTAAATTTACCACTTTTTAACAATTCCACTTAGGAAAGTTCAGTTGAGCTGTTGGACTTGGACAACTTCGCACCTCTCATCTTTGTCCTTGTCATCTAGTCATCTATACCATTACCTCCTTAGCAGGGACATCATGGGTGCCATGAAGCATTCATGCGTGATGGCATTTCTTGGCTTCTCATTTCTTCATGTGTTTGACATTTCCCCTAGCTCCAAACTGGGCCAGCTACCTTTCCTATGAAATCTAGCAGTAGCTGTGGGATTGACGTGGTTGCTCTTTTCATCTTTTTAGATTACCCATTGCTTCTCTCGAAATCCTAGTACATGATTTTTTTTTTATCCTATGTGCAGAAATCAGGAAAAAACAAATTCTACAAAGAATTTGAAAGATATTATTTCAGGCCAGGTGTGGTGGCTCATGCCTGTAATCCCAGCACTTTGGGAGGCTGAAGCAGATGGATCATTTGAGGTCAGGAGTTCAAGACCAGATGGGCCAACATGGTGACACCCCATCTCTACTAAAAAGACAAAAATTAGCCAGGCATGGTAGCAGGCACCTGTAATCCCAGCTACTTGGGAGGCTGAGGCACAAGAATCGCTTGAATCTGGGAGGTGGAGGTTGCCGTGAGCCAAGGTAGCGCCACTGCACTTCAGCACGGTTGAGAGTGACACTCTGTCTCAAGAAAAAAGTCATTTCAATGACCACCTCAGGAGATTCATAGGTATCTGACCCACATCTGAGATGGGATTTGCATTGCATTTTAGCTATGATGAGAAGAAATATTTAATATCTTAGAAGATTAAAAGCATACTGTGATAATATGGAAATCTTGGTGGGAATTCAGTCATTAGTGAGAATGTTTTGCGTTAAGTTCAAACCAGCCTCAATGAAGCTGATGTGAGGGAAGGGAAAGTGAACTCTGAGTAGAGCAGGGACAGAAGGAAGATGCTCCAGTGCAGATCAGGAAGGAGCAGGGGATGAAATGTTACAAATTCTAGAACTCAGAGAGCTGAAGGTAATTACTTCCTTTTCAAGTTGTGAAACATGTTAACCTGTGGTAAAATACTTATAAGATGATAATTACCATCTAACCGTGTTGAAGTGTACAGTTCAGTTGTGTGAAGTATATTCATGTCATTTTTTTTTTTTTTTTTTTTTTTTGAGACGAAGTCTCACTCTGTCACCAGGCTGGAGTGCAGTGGTGGGATCTTGGCTCACTGCAACCTCTGCCTCCTGGGTTCAAGCAGTTCTCCTGCCTCAGCCTCCCGAGTAGCTGGGACTACAGGCGTGCATCACCATGCTCAGCTAATTTTTGTATTTTTAGTAGAGACGGGGTTTCACCATGTTGCCCAGGATGGTCTCCATCTCTTGACCTTGTGATTCACCCGCCTCGGCCTCCCAAAGTGCTGGGATTACAGGCGTGAGCTACCGCATCTGGCCTATTTTTTTTTTTTTTTTTTTTTTTTTTTTGAGACAGAGTTTCAATTTTGTTGCCCAGGTTGGAGTGCAATGGCACAATCTCAGCTCACCACAAGCTTTTCCTGCTGGGTTCAAGTGATTCTCCTGCCTCAGCCTCCCGACTAGCTGGGATTACAGGCATGCACCACCATGCCTGGCTAATTTTGTATTTTTAGCAGAGACAGCGTTTCTCCATGTTGGTGAGGCTGGTCTCAAACTCCCGACCTCAGGTGATCCGCCTGCCTCGGCCTCCCAAAGTGCTGGGATTACAGGAGTGAGCCACCGTGCCAGCCTCATGTCATTCTTGTGTGTGTGTGTGTGTATGTGACAGAGTCTCATTCTGTCGCTCAGGCTGGAGTGCAGTGGTGTGATCTCGGCTCACTGCAACCTCCGCCTCCCAGCTTCAAACGGTTCTCTGCCTCAGCCTCCCGAGTAGCTTGGATTACAGGCGCCCGCTGCCATGCCCGGCTAATTTTTGTATTTTTAGTAGAGACGGGGTTTCACCATCTTGGCCAGGCTGGTCTTGAACTCCTGACCCCGTGATCCACCTGCCTCGGCCTCCCGAAGTACTGGGATTATACGCATGAGCCACCGTGCCCAGCCGTCATTCTTATATTATTATTTCCTAGGTGTCTCTCCTGAAGACTATCTTCTGGTCTCGAAATGGACATGATGGATCCACGGATGTACAGCAGAGAGCCTGGAGGTCCAACCGCCGTAGACAGGAAGGTATGGCTCTGTTGGAATCCGCATAGTGTGGAAATGAGTTTGCCCTGGAAAGGGAAAGAACAGCTTCTTGCCCTCAGGTTTCTCACCTTCTCCTCTCCTCACTCTCACCAAGGGCTGAGGTCCATTTGTATGCACACAAAGAAAAGAGTTTCTTCCTTTCGAGGAAATAAAATTGGCCTGAAAGACGTCATTACTCTACGGAGACATGTGGAAACAAAAGTTAGAGCTAAAATCCGTAAGAGGAAGGTGACAACGAAAATCAACCATCATGACAAAATCAATGGAAAGAGGAAGACCGCCAGAAAACAGTAAGATGTGCCTTGACACAAATACTGTTGTATGAACCATGTGCCAATCAAAGTAGACAACTGTAAAGTCCTTGAGAATATTTTCTACAATATTTGTGGCAAATTCAGTGGGTTCAAAATTGAGTTTGTCCTTTCTGCTTCATTAGTTTAAGCTGTATAATTCCTTTCCCTTCCTACATTCTTGTTTTCATTTTTTCGGAGGAAGAGGAGTTGCTAGTACTGGCATTGGTTTTCCTTTCTCTTTTTTTTTTTTTTTTTTTTTCCTGAGATGGAGCTTTGCTGTTGTTGCCCAGGCTGTAGTGCAATGGCACAATCTCAGCTCACTGCCTTTTGGGTTCAAGCAATTCTCCTGCCTCAGCCTCCCAAGTAGCTGGGATTACAGGTGCCCACCACCACGCCCAGCTAATTTTTGTATTTTTACTAGAGATGGGGTTTCACCATGTTGTCCAGGCTGGTCTCGAACTTCTGACCTCAGGTAATCCACCTGCCTCAGCCTCCCAAAGTGCTGGGATTAGAGGCGTGAGCCACCACAGCCAGCCTTTTTTTTTTTTTTTTTTTTTTTAATTTTGCGATAGAGTCTCGCTCTGTCGCCCAGGCTGGAGTGCTATGGTGCAATCTTGGCTCACTGCAACCTCTGCCTCCCAGTTTGAAGCAATTCTGCCTCAGCTTCCCGAGTAGCTTGGATTACAGGTGTGTGCCACCACATTTGACCAATTTTTTTTTTTTTTTTTTTTTTTTTTTTGAGACAGAGTCTCACTCTGTCACCCAGGCTAGAGTGCAGTGGCATGATCTTGGCTCACTGCAGCCTCCACCTCCCAGGTTCAAGCGATTCTTATCCCTCAGCCTCTTGAGTAGCTGGGACTACAGGCATATGCCACCATGCCCGGATAATTTTTGTATTTTTAGTAGAGGCGGGGTTTCACCATATTGGCCAAGCTGGTCTAGAACTCCTGACATGATCCGCACACCTCGGCCTCCCAATGTGCTGGGATTACAGGCGTGAGCCACCGTGCCCGGCCCAATTTTTGTATTTTTAGTAGAGACAGGGGTTCACCATGTTGGCCAGGCTAGTCTTGAACTCCTGACCTCAGGTGATCTGCCTACCTCAGCCTCCCAGTGTGAGCCACCGCACCCAGCCTGGATTGTTGAATTCAATGCTTGGGTCACCTCCAGATTCATTTTCACAGTCTTTCATGTTTTGGTCATATGACATTGTATTTTGCTGCCATATGACTGATCTTTTTTTGTTAAATGTGAGATACTTGTTAAAAAATGTTTAGCAATGAATTGAGGCCTAGTAGCATGTTATCTTGCTGCAGAAGAGATGGGAGTCTACTTCTGGGGGATGGTCAGGGGTCCTCCATACAGGCTGCAATTGAAGTCGTCGGTGCAGGCTCAGTCCCTACAAAGGCCAGGGTATTTCCTGTCCACCTTTATTCTGATGCATGACTCTTCTGGGTCTCAACCAGAGCCAGTGGACTTCAGTATGGGTCGCTTTCATTGGCAGACCCTCAATCCACTTGTTTTCCATCTAATCCCACGCATGTGTGCAAAAGCTGCTGTGCTTCTTTGCATCTCAGTAGTTCCTTCTGGAATTCAGCAATGAAACGCAGGGAAATGGGTTCCAAATGCGAGGCTGACTTTCGTCCTGGGTTTCCTTCTTCTCCATCTTCACCTCATGTCTGTTTACTGCCATGTTAGCAATTTGATGTATTCAATCATGGGTTTTATATTCTGTTTGGTGTCCCCCATTGTTCTCATCGGAGATCAGAAGCTTCAGATGCACTTATGTCAACTCAAGAGTAGAATGCTTCCTTAGCTTCCCTCCAGAGTCAGGTTTTGTGTTTCTAGTTCCCAAGTGCACAGCAGGAGTAGTGATGTCCTCACTGGCTTCTCATTTGCATTAAGCTGTGAGCTTCTTTAGCGTGGGGACAGGACCCTGCTCCCATTGCATTCTCAGCACCACACCACACACTCCTTGTTTGAGGCCACTCCAGACAGCATGTGCTGAAGGATGCCTTGTGGTCAGAAACAAGTTCATTAACTTTCTCTTTGAAGTGTTTTCGCCCCTGTTTCCTAGCGTTCTGGGAATTTTACACATCCTTCCTATAAAGCCAAGTATCAGGTGAGATCCTTAGGATCAGGACCATGAATCAAGTGGTATGAGGGCAACACAGCAAACTTACCCTTTTGAGGCCGTTTCCTTTTTCTGCCCTCAATCTCTGTGAACTGAACCTTGTTAAAGTCAGTCAACACCAGGGTGGATGGTTTGCCGTTGTCACCTATTTTCAGGACATAACACCCTGACTTAGGAGCCATTCCGATCATTTCTAATTCAATAGATGCGCCCAGCATTCAGATTGCCTTTTCTCTCAACCAGGATCTTTAAAGTCGATGACAAGAGTTCCAGTCCTGAATCATGGCAAAGTGCAGTAGTGAACTGCGGGGTTATTCTGGAAGGATCTCTCTATGGCTGATGGTCTCAGTTCCGGCATCAGCCTCTGACTGAGAATCAGGTCTCACACAGGAGGAGTCAGATGAGGAGCAATCCTCTGCTTCCGATGGAGTTAGTTGTGATGAATTGGTGAGGTCTGGTTTTTCACACTGAACTAAAATGAGCTTTCGCTGTGTCAAGCACAAGACTGACCCCAGAGACACACATAGTGCACCTCATAGAAGCTTTTAATAGTCTTTATATTTACTAAAGAATAGGACTAACTATGGAACTATGAAGATGAGCTGGAAATGACAGGTGACTTGCCAGCAGGCCAGAGTGTGACTTTTTTTTGTCCCTCAATGGGAGGTGTCAATTCTCCCTTCGGTTGTGAGAATCAGTTGGTTCATTTGTGGGAAGGTTGCAGGGGGGATCTTTGAATCACAGCCTTCAGATGCCAGAAGGGCAGAGGGAATCCCACACGGGCTGGTGGATCATGTGTGTGCATTTCTCTCCCTTCTAATCTGAGGAAACTAAGCGTGAAAGAATGTGAGCATGCAGAAAAGGAGAGGCAGGTATCAGAGGCAGAGGAAAATGGGAAATTGGATATGAAAGAAATACACACCTACAAGTGAGTTCAGAAACTGTACCCCACCCTCTTGGGAAACGCCCATTGGAGTGTTGTTTTTAACCTTTGTACAGTATTTAGACCCAGTAAATGCAGAAATAGAAACAAACGGTCAGAAGACATATCGTGAGAGAGAGCGAGAGAGAGTTCACAAAACAGAAAACAAAGTACCTTAATATTTACCAGTGACCAAAAGATGTGAAGTAGCAAAACGTCTCCTGACCCCATTGCCAGCTAGACTGTGTGGAAACTCGGTTCATACCAGCCATTCTAGGGGTGGGGTGAGTTGTTGTCATCCTTAGGAAAGTGTGTTGTTGTAGGATCAACCACATCCTTCAAAAGGACTATGCCTGTTTATAAGCCCAGCTGTTTCTGCCCTGTGAAACACGGTAAGGATATTAATACAAAGAGAATACAGCTTTATGATAAAAGATGCTCAATGAAGGATGAATTAGGGATGTACTGAGAATGGGGAAGGAAACTATCATCTCAGAAGTCAGCAGGCAGTAAGCAAGAGGAGGAATCAATACAGCAACAGTTTGGATCAGACTGTACAGTTTTTTTGTTTTTGTTTTTGTTTTTCTGAGATGGAGTCTCGCTGTGTCACCCAGGCTGGAGTGCAATGACGTGATCTTGGCTCACTGCAACCTCCGCCTCCCAGGTTCAAGTGATTCCCCTGCCTCAGCCTCCCGAGTAGCTGGGATTACAGGTGCCTGCCACCACGCCTGGCTAATTTTTTGTATTTTTAGTAGAGAAGGGGTTTCACCATATTAGCCACAATGGTCTCAATCTCCTGACCTCGTGATCCATCCGCCCCGCCCTCCCAGAGTGCTGGGATTACAGGCGTCAGCCACCGTGACCGGCTCAGACTGTACTCTTCTAGCCATCTGAAATACGTTTTCTAGGTAGAGATAGATTGTGTAAGGGTACAGTTGTGAGGATAACAGAAACATGGCAGATTATTTAAAATCATCCTGAAAGTGGTGCTTTATCTGATGAAAGTGATTGTAATCCATAGGAAAATGTTTCAACGTGCGCAAGAGTTGCGGCGGCGAGCAGAGGACTACCACAAATGCAAAGTAAGGAGCTTCCTCCCTGCAGTTGCAGGATAGTTCAGTGCTGATGCAGATGATGCCACGGCCCTTAGACTCTCTCAACATTCAATTTCTCATGTGTTGGCTTTTTCAGATCCCCCCTTCTGCAAGAAAGGCTCTTTGCAACTGGGTAAGTTTGCTTGTTTTCCTTGCTTTTGGACATAGTCTGCCAGGTCAGGACATGGATACATTTTTCTCCCTACAGCTCTGTGCTCAAGCCCTGCAGAGGGAGATGGCAGAGAGAAAGGCTGCCTACAAGCATCACAGTCCCATCCCTGTTGGTAACCGTGTTGCGCAAAAACACCTTCATCCCCACCCAGTGGGGCCCCTGATCTAATATTCTAAGTGTCAGAGGTTCCGTATTTGTAATAGCAGATGGGCCCTGACTGTAAACTAGTGAAGAGTGAATGTAACTTATTACCCACAGGGACAATTCCAAATGAAGGCCTTAAATGATGCTCAGCTAAGCTGGTTCTTGTGTGGCCTCTGTACCTTCAAAAGCTGCCGAGTCCTATGATTACACGTGATGGGACTTGTACACTTGAAGTGAAACACAGTTTTAAAACTTGCTTTGTTTAGAATTCCCACCTCATTTTTCCATGGACAAAAGTATTCTTTATGTCCTAGTGCACTTACAATTTGGTATTACCTGGGAGTGAAAAGAAATATTACAGCCATGCCTAAGTGACTTCTTGAGGTGAGATTGTTCTGTCAGAAAACCCTCTCCCAGTTCCCCTGCAGCTCTTCAGGAATCCACATCTCTCCAGAGCTCTTTGTTCTCATGGGTGGCACCTCCAGAGTGAAGAAGATCCTTTGTCAAGAAGGGAAACAGAGGGGAAATGAGAGGGTCCTGCAGGCAGAGCTGGAATCAACTTCCACTCTGCCTCTTGCAAGCTGTGTGACCCTGGGCACAATTTCTCCTTCCTCTGGAAACCTCTGTTTTCTTAGATTTGGAGCAGGGTGGTCACACTGACCTTGCAGAGTTCTGAGAATCAGAGACAGAACATAAAAGGCCTGGAAAACATTCTCCAAAAAGAAGCTGCAACATGTGTGGACAGTGGGCTTTTCATGCCTCTCTTACTGTCTCTTACTGTCTGTTGACCTGGTGCAAGAAACATGCTCTGGTGATGGCTGTGAGGGAGGAATGAGGATAGACATAGACACTCCTGTGTCTCAAACATGCTTCTTTATTACTCTGTTATGACTCTGTCTTCCCTGGGGCAGGACCCCAGCCTGCCTACATTTGCAGACAGACACAGTGGCATGTGGAGACAACAGTGTGTCCCAATGACTTTCCTTTACCCTCCAGCTGTCGGCAGTACTCAGTGGAAGGGTGATATTATGACACTGATACTGCTATTTTGAAACCTGGAGGATGGAAAGGTGCAAAAATCTATCACCAGCAACAGAAGGTGCAGACTGTGTTGGTGGCGGTAATTTTGTCCATCAAATGAATATGTGTGAAAACATTCCCTCCTTTGGCCCTACAGGTCAGAATGGCGGCAGCGGAGCATCGTCATTCTTCAGGATTGCCCTACTGGCCCTACCTCACAGCTGAAACTTTAAAAAACAGGATGGGCCACCAGCCACCTCCTCCAACTCAACAACATTCTATAACTGATAACTCCCTGAGCCTCAAGACACCTCCCGAGTGTCTGCTCACTCCCCTTCCACCCTCAGCGGATGATAATCTCAAGACACCTCCCGAGTGTGTGCTCACTCCCCTTCCACCCTCAGCGGATGATAATCTCAAGACACCTCCCGAGTGTGTGCTCACTCCCCTTCCACCCTCAGCGGATGATAATCTCAAGACACCTCCTGAGTGTCTGCTCACTCCCCTTCCACCCTCAGCGGATGATAATCTCAAGACACCTCCCGAGTGTCTGCTCACTCCCCTTCCACCCTCAGCTCTACCCTCAGCTCCACCCTCAGCGGATGATAATCTCAAGACACGTGCCGAGTGTCTGCTCCATCCCCTTCCACCCTCAGCGGATGATAATCTCAAGACACCTTCCGAGCGTCAGCTCACTCCCCTTCCACCCTCAGCTCCACCCTCAGCAGATGATAATATCAAGACACCTGCCGAGCGTCTGCGGGGGCCGCTTCCACCCTCAGCGGATGATAATCTCAAGACACCTTCCGAGCGTCAGCTCACTCCCCTTCCACCCTCAGCTCCACCCTCAGCAGATGATAATATCAAGACACCTGCTGAGCGTCTGCGGGGGCCGCTTCCACCCTCAGCGGATGATAATCTCAAGACACCTTCCGAGCGTCAGCTCACTCCCCTTCCACCCTCAGCTCCACCCTCAGCAGATGATAATATCAAGACACCTGCCGAGCGTCTGCGGGGGCCGCTTCCACCCTCAGCGGATGATAATCTCAAGACACCTTCCGAGCGTCAGCTCACTGCCCTTCCACCCTCAGCAGATGATAATATCAAGACACCTGCCGAGCGTCTGCGGGGGCCGCTTCCACCCTCAGCGGATGATAATCTCAAGACACCTTCCGAGCGTCAGCTCACTCCCCTTCCACCCTCAGCTCCACCCTCAGCAGATGATAATATCAAGACACCTGCCTTCCACCCTCAGCGGATGATCTCAAGACACCTTCCGAGCGTCAGCTCACTCCCCTTCCACCCTCAGCTCCACCCTCAGCAGATGATAATATCAAGATACCTGCTGAGCGTCTGCGGATTCCGCTTCCACCATCAGCCGATGATAATCTCAAGACACCTTCCGAGCGTCAGCTCACTCCCCTTCCACCCTCAGCTCCACCCTCAGCAGATGATAATATCAAGACACCTGCCGAGCGTCTGCGGGGGCCGCTTCCACCCTGAGCGGATGATAATCTCAAGACACCTTCCGAGCGTCAGCTCACTCCCCTTCCACCCTCAGCTCCACCCTCAGCAGATGATAATATCAAGACACCTGCCGAGCGTCTGCGGGGGCCGCTTCCACCCTCAGCAGATGATAATCTCAAGACACCTTCCGAGCGTCAGCTCACTCCCCTTCCACCCTCAGCTCCACCCTCAGCAGATGATAATATCAAGACACCTGCCGAGCGTCTGCGGGGGCCGCTTCCACCCTCAGCGGATGATAATCTCAAGACACCTTCCGAGCGTCAGCTCACTCCCCTTCCACCCTCAGCTCCACCCTCAGCAGATGATAATATCAAGACACCTGCCGAGCGTCTGCGGGGGCCGCTTCCACCCTCAGCAGATGATAATCTCAAGACACCTTCCGAGCGTCAGCTCACTCCCCTTCCACCCTCAGCTCCACCCTCAGCAGATGATAATATCAAGACACCTGCCGAGCGTCTGCGGGGGCCGCTTCCACCCTCAGCGGATGATAATCTCAAGACACCTTCCGAGCGTCAGCTCACTCCCTTTCCACCCTCAGCTCCACCCTCAGCAGATGATAATATCAAGACACCTGCCGAGCGTCTGCGGGGAGCGTCTGCGGGGGCCGCTTCCACCCTCAGCGGATGATAATCTCAAGACACCTTCCGAGCGTCAGCTCACTCCCCTTCCACCCTCAGCTCCACCCTCAGCAGATGATAATATCAAGACACCTGCCGAGCGTCTGCGGGGGCCGCTTCCACCCTCAGCGGATGATAATCTCAAGACACCTTCCGAGCGTCAGCTCACTCCCCTTCCACCCTCAGCTCCACCCTCAGCAGATGATAATATCAAGACACCTGCCGAGCGTCTGCGGGGGCCGCTTCCACCCTCAGCGGATGATAATCTCAAGACACCTTCCGAGCGTCAGCTCACTCCCCTTCCACCCTCAGCTCCACCCTCAGCAGATGATAATATCAAGACACCTGCCGAGCGTCTGCGGGGGCCGCTTCCACCCTCAGCCGATGATAATCTCAAGACACCTCCCTTAGCTACTCAGGAGGCTGAGGCAGAAAAACCACGCAAACCCAAGAGGCAGAGGGCGGCTGAGATGGAACCACCTCCCGAACCCAAGAGGCGGAGGGTCGGTGACGTGGAACCGTCACGCAAACCCAAGAGGCGGAGGGCCGCTGACGTGGAACCATCATCACCCGAACCCAAGAGGCGGAGGGTCGGTGATGTGGAACCGTCACGCAAACCCAAGAGGCGGAGGGCCGCTGACGTGGAACCATCATCACCCGAACCCAAGAGGCGGAGGGTCGGTGACGTGGAACCGTCACGCAAACCCAAGAGGCGGAGGGCCGCTGACGTGGAACCATCATTACCCGAACCCAAGAGGCGGAGGTTGAGCTGAGAAGAGGCCAGTGCACTCAAGCCTGAGCAATAAGAATAAAACCGAGTAGAACAAAATAAAAAATTCAAAAAACAAAACAAAACCCACACTCCAAAAACTAACAAAGAATAAATAAATAATATAAAAATAAAATAAATACTGCAGTCCTTATGTTATTGCTTTGTTTCGATATCTGGTATGATTGCCTGAGGGACCTGAGGTTTTTAATCATAGGGGTTTTTTTTTAATCTTTAGAAGTGGTTGGTTATGTAAAATATTATTATTATTTTTTTTGAGACTGGATTTTGCTGTGTCACCCAGGCTGGAGTGCAGTGGCTCGATCACAGCTCACTGCAGCCTCAACCTCCTGGGCTTCAAGCAATCCTCCTGCCCCAGCCTCCCAAGTAGCTGGGATCACAGATGATGTGTGCCACCACGCCTGGCCAATGTTAAAAAATCCTTTAACTTTTTTGTAGAGATGCACTCCTGGACTCAAGCGATCCTCCTACTTGTCCCGACCACCAGCCTCTTTCTGATAAACATTTACACTGTTTATTATCTGATGCCATTTCTATCTTCTTCCTTGTCGTCCAGACATCAAAGAATTAGGTTTCTTCAGGGTTTTCTTTTTCAAGTGCTCAGTGTTAAAGATCACTCACATTAGGGCCACACACCACGGCTCATGCCTGTAATCCCAGCACTTTGGGAGCCCGAGGCGGGCAAAGCACTTGAGGTGGGGAGTTTGAGACCAGCCCAGCCAACTTGGGGAAACCCCACCTCTACTGAAAAAAATACAAAAATTAGCTGCGCGTCATGGTGCATGCCTGTAGTCCCAGCCACTTGGGAGGCTGAGGCACGAGAATCGCTTGAACCCAGGAGGCAGAGGTTGTAGTGAGCCGAGATCACATCAGCACACTCTAGCCTGGGTGACAGAGCGAGACTGACTCAAAAAATAAATAAAATAAATATCACTTACATTAGATATACCCAAGGGGTGGTCTATAGAGACTTGGAAGCAGTGGTTATTGCAACAGGGGCACGGAAGTCATCTGGCTATGCCAGGATGCCCAGGGGATACTCGGGGTGGGTGGCATGGTGGTGCTGGGGACTCACCGCACAGGACGCTCTGATTGACGCACTGCCAGGAGTAGCGCTCTGTCTTGGGGCTGCAGCCGGCCTCCTCAGCTCGAGTGTAACATCAGTCGTGGCCATGGCAGCACCTGCGGATGTCACATGGGCAGGACAGCAGGTGGGTGAAGCTCTCTCCTGGCCCTCCTCTCTTGCCAGGACTATGGGTGACTGAAGACCCCCAGGGAGGCACAGCATCCTCTTATCTAAGATTTTTTTTTTTTTAAGAGACAGGGTCTTTCTCTGTCGCCCAGGCTGGACTGCAGAGGCACAATCATAGCTCACGGCAGCCTTGAACTCCTGGGCTCAAGCGATCCTCCCACTTCAGTGTCCCAAGTAGCTGAGACTACAGGCACACGCCAGCATGCCCGGCTGGTTTTTTAATTTGTATTTCCTTTGAGACAGCGTATCTCTCTGTTGCTCAGGCTGGAGTGCAATGGCTCAATCAGCTCACTTTAGCCTTGAACTCCCGGGCTCAAGTGATACTGCCACCTCAACCTCCCAAGTCTGCTACTACAGGAACACAAACTCCTTTTTTAAATTTTTTATGGATATGGGGTCTCACTATGTTGCCTAGGCTGGTCTCGAGCTCCCAGGCTCAGCAGTCCTACCTCAGCCTCCCCAAATGCTGGGATTACAGGTGGGAGCTACTGTACGCCTGGCCTTATCTAAGCTGTTTCCCTGAAAATCTCCGTCTTGGGTAATGATTCCATTGGCCCCACCATGCCCTGTCCTGCCTTCCTGGCTGTGCCCAAGCTTGGTCCCTGCCTCCCTGCCTCACTCTCTGGGTCTCGAGCTCCTGTGACACATGACTCCTCTCTCTTCCTGGAGTGATCCAAGCCCTGCCACTTCCTGACTTTGCCCACACTGTACCCTCTGCCTGGGGCAACTTCATGTCTGCCCATTGTCCCTTAGGCCTCAGCCCAGGCACAAGCCCCTGCCTCCGGAGGTCATCCAGGCCTCACCAGGCTACACCCTCTCGTAAAATTGGATTCCCTCCCTTCAGGGCAGGTTTATAATGAAATCCTCCTCAGAGGCCAGGTGCGGTGACACCCATCTGTAATCCCAGCACTTTGGGAGGCTGAGGTGGGAGGATCACTTGAGGCCAGGGGGTCGAGACCAGCCTGGGCAACATAAGAGAGACTCTTGTCTCTCTTGTCTCTATAACAAATTTAAAAATTAGCTCACCAGGCCAGGCTCAGTGGCTCATGCCTGTAATCCCAACACTTTGAGAGGCCGAGGCAGGTGGATCACGAGGTCAGGAGTTCGAGAGCAGCCTGACCAACACGGCGAAACCCTGTCTCTACTAAACATACAAAATTAGCCAGGCATGGTGGCACGCACCTGTAATCCCAGCTACTCGGGAGGCTGAGGTAGGAGAATTGCTTGAACCCCGGAGGTGGAGGTTGCGGTGAGCCAAGATCACGCCATTGCAGTCCAGCCTGAGCAACAGAGCAAGACTCTGTCTCGAGAGAATAAAAACACACAAAAAATTAACTCGCCAGGATGGCACATGCCTATAGTCCTAACTACTTGGGAGGCTGAGGTGGGAGGATTCCCTTCAGCCCAGGAGTTTGAGGCTGCAGTGAGCCACTGTGATTGTGCCACTGCACTCTAACCTGGGCAAAAGCGAGACCCCAGGCTAGAGTGCATGATTTTGGGTCACTGCAACCTCCACCTCCCAGGTTCAAGTGATTCTCCTGCCTCAGCCTCTTGAGTAGCTGGGACTACAGGCATGTGCCACCACGTCTGGGTAATTTTTGTATTTTTAGTAGAGACAGGGTTTAGTAGAGACCATGGTGAAACCCCATCTCTATTAAACAAATCTCTACTAACCCCATCTCTACAAAAAACAGCTGGGCGTGGTAGTGCACACCTGTAATTCCAGCTACTTGGGAGGCTGAGGCACGAGAATCATTTGCATCTTGGAGGCAGAGTTTGCAGTGAGCTGAGATCGCACCACTGCACTCCAGCCGGGATGACAGAGCAAGACCCTGTCTCAAAAAAAAAAAAAAAAAAGGGCCGGGCGCGGTGGCTCACGCCTGTAATCCCAGCACTTTGGGAGGCCGAGCGGGCGGATCACGAGGTCAGGAGATCGAGACCATCCTGGCTAACACGGTGAAACCCCGTCTCTACTAAAAATACAAAAAATTAGCCGGGCGTGGTGGCGGGCGCCTGTAGTCCCAGCTACTCGGGAGGCTGAGGCAGGAGAATGGCGTGAACCTGGGAGGCGGAGCTTGCAGTGAGCCGAGATCGCGCCACTGCACTCCAGCCTGGGCGACAGAGCGAGAGTCCGTCTCAAAAAAAAAAAAAAAAAAGAAAAGAAAAAAGAACAAACAACAGCAACAACAACAAAAAAACCTCTGTGTCAATCACAGCCTTCGAGCTAGGGGAGAGGCGGCCGAATTCTGCCCTCCGCTAACGAGCTATAGCTTTGTGGAAATGGGCGAGTGGCGTGCCCTTGTGAGCCTCAGGGCCGCATCTGTAAAATGGGCATAACTGTCATGCCTGTCTTTAAGAACAGCCTTGGGGGTAAATGAGTGGAACTCATGGAAAGATCTCAGCCCACAACCTTCCACAGAACAGGCGCTTCTCACACAGTAAGTAGCAGGAGTGCAGAGGCTGCAGGCATGAATCCAGCCAGACTGCCTGGGTTCAAGTCCCAGCTCCCACGTCTTGGTAACTAAGTGGCCTCAGACAAGTTACTTAGTATTTCTTCTTCTTCTTTTTTTTTTTTTTTTCAGACGGAGTTTTGCTCTGTCACCCAGGCTGGAGTGCAGTGGTGTGATCTCGGCTCACTGCAACCTCCGCCTCCCGGGTTCAAGCAATTCTCCTGCCTCAGCTTCCTGAGTAGCTGGAATTACAGGCACCTGCCACCACACCCAGCTAATTTTTGTATTTTTAGTAGAGACAGGGTTTCACCATGTTGGCCAGGATGGTCTCGAACTCCTGACCTCGTGATCTGCCTGCCTCAGCCTCCCAAAGTACTGGGATTATAGGCATGAGCCACCACACCTGGACACGTTACTTAATATTTCTGTGCCTTGGTTTCTTCATCTGTGAAATGGGATTGTTGTGAGAATGCAAAGGGATTCCCAGGGCAGTTCCTTGTGCATAGTCTGGCTGCCTTTGTGTGTGTGTGTGTGTGTGTGTGTGTGTGTGTGTGCATGTGTGTGTGTTTAATATAGAGACAGGGTCTCACTATGTTGCCTAGGCTGGTTTCAAACTCCTGGGCTCCAGTGATCCTCCTGCTTCCACCCAAAGTGGTGGGATTACAGGTGTGAGTCACCACACCTGGTCACTTTATATTATTTTTTTCTTTTGAGACAGGGTCTCGCACTGTTGCCGAGGTTGGAATGCAGTGGTGCAATCTCAACTCACTGCAAACTCTGCCTCCCGGATTCAAGTGATTCTCCTGCATCAGCCTCTTGAGTAGCTGGTACTATAGTCACCCGGCTCCTTGCCCAGCTAATTTTTGTATTTTTAGTAGAGATGCGATTTAGTGATTCTCCTGCATCAGCCTCTTGAGTAGCTGGTACTATAATCACCTAGCTCCTTGCCCAGCTAATTTTTGTATTGTTAGTAGAGATGCGGTTTCCTTTTTTTTTTTTTTTTTTTTTTTTTTTGAGATGGTGTTTCGCTCTTGTTGCCTAGGCTGGAGTGCAGTGGTGCGATCTCGGTTCACCACAGCCTCCGCCTCCTGGGTTCAAGCGATTCTCCTCCTCAGCCTCCCGAGTAGCTGGGATTACAGGCATGCGCCACCGCACCTGGCTAATTTTGTATTTTTAGTAGAGACGGGGTTTCCCCATGTTGGTCAGGCTAGTCTTGAACTCCTGACATCAAGTGATCTGCCCACCTCGGCTTCCCAAAGTACTGGGATTACAGGCATGAGCCACCACGCCAGGCTGGTAGCAGTCTTTCCTAGAATGTGGATGCCTTGGAAAACAGGGGCTGTGCCTTGTTTCCCTAGAACCTAGAATGGCATCTGGCACACAGCAGATGCTACATCTATTGTAAATGAATGAATGAAAGAAGTGTCCTTGCAGCCACACTGGCAGCCGTAACATAGTGGTTATAAATCTAGACTCTGGAGTCTCAAGTGCAAATGTCATTGGCCTCTCCTCCAGCCTCCTCAAGGGGCACTCAATGACTGGAAGCGCCTTGATATGACTGTGGTTGGACTGACATGACTGCCAGATGGTGGGACTTGGTCTGGAGCAGAGACTACTTGGAATGGTAGAGGCAAAACTCAACAGCCCCTGGAGCTGTGCTTGTGGTGGAGCTGGACCCTGATTTTAGCTGGACCTTGTTTTTAGAGACAGGGTTTCCTTCTGCAGTCTCAATCTCCTAGCCTTGATTGATCCTCCTGCCTTGGCCTCCCAAAGTGCTGGGACTACAGGTGCATGCAACCACACCTGGCTAATTTTCTTCTTTCTTTCTTTTTTTTTTTTTTTTTTTTTTTTTTTTTTTTTTTTTGATGGAGTCTTGTTCTGTTGCCCAGGCTGGAGTGCAATGGTGCCATCTCGGCTCACTGCAACCTCTGCCTCCTGGGTTCAATCCATTCTCCTGCCTCAGCCTCCCAAGTAGCTGGGATTACAGGTGTGTGCCACCGTGCCTGGCTAATTTTTGTATTTTTAGTAGGGACGAGACTTCACCATGTTGGCCAGGCTGGTCTCGACCTCCTGACCTCAGGTGATCCACCCACCTTGGCCTCCCAAAGTGCTGGGACTACAGGCACATGCAACCACGTCTGGCTAATTTTCTTGAGTTTTAGTAGAGACTGGGTCTCGTTATGTTGTCCAGGCTGGTCCCGAGCTCCTGAGTTCAATCGATCTTCCTGCCTTGGTCTCCCAAAGTGCTGGGCCTACAGGCGTGAGCCACCATCCCCAGCCCAATTTTTGTATATTTTGTAGAGACACAGTCTTGCTATGTTGTCCAGGCTGGTCTCAAACTCCTGGGCTCAAGGGATCTTCTTGCCTTGGCCTCCCGGAGCACTTAATTACAGGAATGACTGCATGTGCTGTTGTGCCTATACTTTCTGGAGATACGTTGTTAGGAATTTATGTAGTTGGCCGGGCACGGTGGCTCACGCCTGTAATCCCAGCACTCTGGGATGCCGAGGCAGGTGGATCACCTGAGGTCAGGAGTTCGAGACCAGCCTGGTCAACATGGTGAAACCCTGTCTCTACTAACAATACTAAAATTAGCTGAGCGTGGTGGCACATGCCTGTAGTCCCAGCTACTTGGGAAGCTGAGGCAGGAGAATGGTTTGAGCCCAGGAGCAGAGGTTGCTTGCAGTGAGCCAAGATCATACCATTGCACTCCAGCCTGGGCAACAGAGCGAGACTCTGTCTCAAAAAAAAAAAAAAAAAAAAAGGAATTTACATAGTTGAACAACTATTCTTTGGACATCTTTCAGTCCAGTAGACGGTGTTAAACTTGAAGACAAATAACGATTTGACCTGTGATATTTGTTTTTCCCTCTTATCTTCTAAGCCCATTCATCCAGGTCATTCATCACCTTTAAAGGCATCCCCAGAGGGAGGCAGGTCTGGACAGAGCTGAAGATTGCACAGGCCATTTGCAGGCTGGATTCGTTCTCTGGTGACCCACCTGTCTGACTCGAGTTATTTTTTTCCCATGTCTGGACAAGACTGACCTCTGCCCAGCAACTCAGGCCTGGATTTAGTCCAAGGGCCCTCAGTGGCTTTTTTTTGTTTGTTTTTTCAGGAAGTGAAGAATTTAGAGGGATAAAAGGCGGAAATAACTTTTCAGCCTCTGACCTTTGTAACAATCTAGTTTCCTTTTAAAGGAGCATTGTTTGGGCCTGGGGCCACCTAGACCTTCTGATGCTCTTTCCCCACCCTTGGAGGAGGAGGAAAGGAAGAAAATGGGCCCTGAGCGATCACCACATACCGGGCCCTGGGGGTCTAGTGGCGAAGGAGGCAGGTAGGGTCTCTGCTTTCATGGAGCTTCTAGTCAAGCGAGACGCACTAAACAGTAAAGGGACAAATAGGATTACTAGAGGTAGCCCTAACTACTGGGACAGAAACAAGATGGTAAGATAGAGAAGGAAGAGTGGCCTGCTCAGATGGGGTGGTCCAGAGGCCTCTCGGGGGTGGTGACTCCTTTTTATTTTATTTTTTTTGAGATGGAATCTAGCTCTGTCGCCCAGCCTGAAGTGCAGTCGTGTGTTTCATGCGCGTCGGTGTGAAGAGACCACCAAACAGGCTTTGTGTGAGCAACATGGCTGTTTATTTCACCTGGGTGCAGGCGGGCTGAGTCCGAAAAGAGAGTCAGCAAAGGGTGGTGGATTATCATTAGTTCTTACAGGTTTTGGGATAGGGGGTGAAGAGCCATGTTTTGCGGGCAGGGGTGGATCTCACAAAGTACATTCTCAAGGGTGGGGAGAATTACAAAGAACCTTCTTAAGGGTTGGGGAGATTACAAAGTACCTTCTTAAGGGTGGGGGAGATTACAAAGTACATTGAAGAGTTAGGGTGGGGCAGAAACTAATCACAATGGTGGAATGTCATCAGTTAAGGCTATTTTTACTTCTTGTGTGGATCTTCAGTTACTTCAGGCCATCTGGATGTATACGTGCAAGTCACAGGGGATGCAGTGGCTTGGCTTGGGCTCAGAGGCCTGACAGTGTGATCTTGGCTCACTGCAAACTCTGCCTCCTGGGTTCAAGCAATTTTTGTGCCTCAGCTTCCCAAGTAGCTGGGATTACAGGTGCCCGCCACCATGCCCAGCTAATTTTTGTATTTTTAGTAGAGACAGAGTTTCACCAGATTGGCCAGGCTGGTCTCGAACTCCTGTCTCACATGTCTGTGTGAAGAGACCACCAAACATGCTTTGTGTGAGCAACATGGCTGTTTATTTCACCTGGGTGCAGGCGGGCTGAGTCCGAAAAAGGAGTCAGCAAAGGGTGGTGTGATTATCACTGGTTCTTATAGGTTTGGGGATAAGCGGTGGAGTTAAGAGCAGTGTTTTGGGGGCAGGAGGTGGATCTCATAAAGTACATTCTCAAGGGTGAGGAGAATTACAAAGAAACTTCTTAAGGGTGGGGGAGATTATAAAGAACCTTCTTAAGAGTGGGGCAGATTACAAAGTACATTGATCAGGAAGCAAAGTCTATAGGGAGCTATATAATAGAGGCTGCAGATTCATGGCAGATTCTAAAGCACAGCAGTCCCCAACATTTTTGGCACCAGGGACCGGCTTTGTGGAAGACAATTTTTCCACAGGCGGCATGGGATGGGGCGCAGGATGGTAATGGTCTTGGGATGAAACTGTTCCACCACAAATCATCAGGAATTAGATTCTCATAAGGAATATGCAACCTGGATCCCTCGTGTGTGCAATTCACAACAGGGTTCATGCTCCTGTAAGAATCTAATGATGCTGCTGATCTGACAGGAGGCAGAGCTCAGGCAGCAATGCAAGCAATGGGGAGCAGCCAGAAATACAGACGAAGCTTCAATTGTTACCCACCATTCACCTTCTGCTCTGTGGCCCAGTTCCTAACAGGCCACAGACCAGTACATGTCCATGGCCCAGGGGTCAGGGACCCCTGCTGTGGCACATTGCTTAATAGAGGACTGTAGCAGCCATGTGCCCTGACCTTTCCTTTTTTTTTTTTTTTTTTTGAGATGCCAAAAACCCAGAATTTTTTTTTTTTTTTTTTTTTTTAAAGTCAAGGTCTGGCTCTGTTGCCCAGGTTGGAGTGTAGGAGGGCGATCTCAGCTCACTGCAGCCTCAACCTCCCTGGGCTCAGGTGATCCTCCCACCTCAGCCTCCCAAGTAGCTGGGACCACAGGTGCACATCACTGTACCCAGCTAATTTTTGTATTTTTTTTTAAGGGATGGAATTTCACCATGTTGCCTTGGTGGGTCTTGAACTCCTGGGCTCAAGGGATTCACCCACCTAAGCCTCCCACAGTGTTGGGATTATAGGTATGGGCCACCATGCCTGACCCTAGAGACTATTTTTAATACTAGTTTTAGGTTCTCAGAAAAATGGAGAAGATAGAGATTTCCCATATCCCTCTGACCCCATACATGCATAAGCTCCCCATGATCAATATCCCCCCCCAAAGTTGTACATTTGTTAGAACTGATGAACCTATGTTGACATTATCGTCATTGGATTCTCATTATCATCCAAAGTCCATATTTTACATTAGGGTTCACTCTTGGTGCTTTACATTCTATGGGTTCAGACAAGTATATAATAACATGTATTCACCATTATAGTATCATATGGAGTATTTTCACTGCCCTAAAAATCCTTCCGGGCTTTGCCTGTTCATTCCTCTCTTACTCCTAATTCCTGGCAACCACTGATACTTTTGCCTTTTCTAGAATATCATATATTTAGAATCATACAGTAGATAGCCTTTTCAGATAGACTTCTTTCACTTAGTAATATGCACTTAAGTTTTCTCCAGGTCTTTTTTTGGCTTGATAGCTCATTTCTTTTTAGTGCTGAATCATATTTCATTATCTTAATGAACCACAGTTTATTTAGCCATTCACCTACAGAAGGACATTTGGTTGCTTCCAAGTTTTGGCAATTATGGATAAAGCTGCTATCAACATCCATATACAGGTTTTCATGTAGACGTAAGTTTTCAACTCCTTTGTGTAAATACCAAAGAGTGTGTTTGCTGGGTTATATGGCAAAAACATGTTTGCTTTTGTAAGAAACCAACAAAATGTCTTCCAAAGTGGCTGTATGATTTTGCATTCCCACCAGCTGTCACTGCTAATTGGGCAGACCTCCTTTAGAGATGTCGCCAAAGATAGTGTAATGCTCTTCACTGTAGGCATTTATGATCTATACAAGAATAACAGTGGATTCTGGGTCAGTGCCTTTATTTTATCCTGCCAAGTTCAAGAGAAAGGTTTTTTCTTATTCTAAGAGAAGACTGTTATGGTAAAGTAAAAGGAAGAAATATATAATTACTCTTCTATTGAGGAGGGAGAAGAAGGACACACTGTGATGTAAATGGCAGAAATTCAATAATTTAATTCAAACTAAAGAGAACGGGAATGTATTGAATTCAGGAATGGAATGTAACGGGAAACTCCACTGGTGGTCTTCAGGCATGGCTGAATCCCGTGTCTCAAATGATATCTTCAGGAATATGTTCCTCCCATCCCTCAGCTCTGTGTTCCTTGGTGTGGTCTTTACTTTTTCCACTTGGTAATATGAATGTCCTCCAATATCCTCCCCTACTGCCAGAGATACCAAGAAAGGAGAGCTTCTCTGATAGTTCCATCAAAACTCCCAGGGATGACTCTGATTGGTCAGCCTGCATCACATGCCAATTTTCTCGGTCAAGGAAGTGGGACCATGTGATTGACATGAGTATAAGACAATCTGTTCCTGAAAGAAAAGGGTGCTGGGGGAAAAGGCAACAGATGTCCACCACAGCATGTTTTTTCACTTTACTGGTTATTATCTCTTTTTAGACTCCCTCAGCACTGGACAGCTGAGACCACGAAGGACTTGGGACCCTTTCTAGTACTTTTCTCAGGAGATGAATTAAGCTCTATAGCCACAAAGGTAATGTTGTGCTCCATCTTAAGAAGGCTGAAGGAGTTTGAAGGGGAGAGAAAGTGTGGTCAGTTATACAGCATTGGGTTTACTGCTGTCTATGGTTCTGGAAGCTTCCTCCCTGCCTCCAAGGGCTAAGATGTTTCCAGCTCCATTCCAGGATGTGCAAGGTTCTGGAAAAGGGAGTGAGTCCACAGCTAAATGAACTCAGGCCCTTTTGTGTGGCCCCCCAGGCAGATGTGTGCAGACAGATATTACTTAGCTACCACTCTGCTATTAGTGTACATCTCACACGCATGCCTGTTCTGGCTCTCACACTGGCTGGTGCCCTATGCACATGCACATGTATGTCCAGTGTATGCAATCACATGTGCAAGCACATTTAATCCAATAACAAGTCTTTATTCATCATTACATTTGGGCATGACACTTTTCTAGGAGTAAGGCCCCAGAAGTTAGACAGTCTAGGCCAAGGGTCCTGCAAAATAAGCATGAGTTAGTCATTTGTGCTGCATAACAAAGCCACACAATCTCAAGGGCATAGAACAATTCGCATATGTTTCTTGCTGCCTGATTTGTGGGTCACTGGGGCAGCCCTGCTCTAGAACTTGTTTTTCTCACCATGAAGGTGTGAAACTACCAAAAAAGGGAAGGGATAAGTACAATTCTCCTTAAGTCCTAGGTTGGAAATTGGCACACTATCACTTCTGCCACACTCCAATGGCCAAAGTAAGTTACATGACCAAGACCAACTTTAATGGGGCAGGAAGGAGTCTCCTTCCATGGAGGTGGAGGGCAGGAAAGGAGTGAATGTTTGCTGAATGACAATCAGATCCCCCACAAAGCACATCCACACACTCTCATACCTGCACTTGCAGGCACAAGGTACACATGGTCACACATGCTCAGCAGGGCCTGAACACACACAACTTCACCTAGGATCACACGCAGCACACATTCTGAAGTCCAGTCACAGTAAAATCATATTCTGGATGTCTGAATATATAGTTATAAGCAGTTGATGCACACATGTTTATTTTTATTTTATTATTTTATTTTATTTTGCGATGGAGTCTCCCTCTGTTGCCCAGGCTGGAGTGTAGTGATGCAATCTCGGCTCACTGCAACCTCTGCTTCCTGGGTTCAAGTGATTCTCCTGCCTCAGCCTCCCGAGTAGCTGGGATTACAGGCCCCTGCCACTATGCCCAGCTAATTTTTATATTTTTAGTAGATATGGGGCTTCACCACGTTGGCCAGCCTGGTCTTGAACTCCTGACCTCAAGTGATCTGCCCGCCTCGGCCTCCCAAGTGCTGGGATTACACGCGTGAGCCACCATGCCCGGCCCTGATGCACAAATGTTATATATCCATCTATTTTTTTTCCTTCCTTGTTTTTCTTATGTTTAGATGTTTATTATTATTTTTATTTTTCCATAAGGTATTGGGGTACAGGTGGTGTTTGGTTACAAGAGTAAGTTCTTTAGTGGTGATTTGTGAGATTTTGGTGCACCCATCACCTGAGCAGTATACACTGCAACATATTTGTAGTCTTTTATCCCTTGGCCCCTCCCACTCTTCCATCCAAGTCCCCAAAGTCCATTGTATCATTCTTATGCCTTTGGGTCCTCATAGTTTAGCTCCCACATATCAGTGAGAACATCCATATATCTATCTAATCTTAAAAAAATCAACTTCTGAAATTGAAAAAGTCTTGTATCAACACTGTGAAATCTCAAAAACACAGTGTAGAGTTAAAAAAAAACCCAGATTGCAAAAGAATATCTATGGTAGGATACAAAGTAAATAAATAAATAGTAGCTGAATTAATTGAAAGCAAATGTAAGCCAAGTTTATATGTAAGAGAAGTGTAAAAGTGAATGCCAAATTCAGAGTGACAGTTACTTCTGGGGAAGGAGGAAGGCAAAGAGTGAAGGAGGGACTTATTATTTATATTGTGATGTTTTATTTCTTAAGTTGGGTTGTGAGGACATGGGTGTTTTGTTGTATTATTCTGTATACTCTTTTTTTAAATACTGGAAATGTTTAATAAAGCAAGTAATACATGCTCCTGGTTAACAAATCCCAATCGCACCAAAGGTAATAGGATGAGAAGCAAGTCTCCCTCCCACCCCAGACTTCTAGTTCCCTAGCCTCCCTCTTCAGAGGCAATTGCTGTCCCCAATCTCTTCTGCATCCTTTCAGAAATATCCTGAATATCTATATAACAAGTTTTATATAGGTATAAAAATACCTATATAACAAGCCTCGCCAACATGGCGAAACCCTGTCTCTACTAAAAACACAAGAGCATATACACACTCTTCTTTAGAAAATACAAAATGGAAAATGCCATTCACTCCGCTATGCATATTGCTTTCTAAAAGTTAACTGTCTTAGAGTGGTTGCCTTCAGCCTCAGCTGCACATTAGAATCACCTGGGGAGATTCCAAGAGGGACCAATCCATGGTATCCAGCCCAGCCCGACTGAGTGAGAATCTTTAGGGGCTGGCTCTGGGTGTCCCAGGTGACTCTTAGGTACAGCCAGGGTTGAGAACTGCTGGCCTAGACTGTGACTCTAATTCTGAAGATGAGACTAGAAAGGGGAGCTACATAGGCTGAGAGGCTTGCTCTCTGGGTGAGCCGGGACCCAGTGAGGCATAGCTGTTTGTAGAGCCTGATGGATTATCTGGGCCCATGGGCAGGCCTTCTAATAAAATCCCAAGTCTTGACAAAGTGTATTCGTTCTAGATGAGAAATGGCACTTTCTCCAAGGCAACCCAAAGTCCCCTAAGTCCCCTCATTGCTAGTCTCCACCCAGGATGTTGAGACAACCCTTCTTCACCTCCTTTTCATGACAAATGTTGTGTTAGGCAATTCTTTTTTTCTTTCTCTTTTTTGAGATGGAGTCTAGCTCTGTTGCCCAGGACAGAATGCAGTGGCATGATTTCGGCTCACTGCAACCTCCGCCTCCTGGGTTCAAGTGATTCTCCTGCCTCAGCCTCCTGAGTAGCAGGGATTACAGGCATACATCACCACGCCGAGTGAATTTTTGTATTTTTTGTAGAAATGGGGTTTCACCGTGTTGGCCAGGCTGGTCTTGAACCCTTGACCTCAGGTGATCTGCCTGCTTGGGCCTCCCAAGTGCTAGGATTACAGGTGTGAGCCACCGCACCTGACCTGTGTTAGGCAATTCTTGCATTGCTATAAAGAAATACCTGAGACTGGGTAATTTATAAAGAAAGGAGGTTTACATGGAATACTATGTGGCCATAAAAAAGAATGAGATCGTGTTCTTTGCAGGGACATGGATGGAGCTGGAGGCCATCATCCTTAGCAAACTAATGCAGAAACAGAAAACCAAATACCGCATGTTCTTACTTATAAGTGGGAGCTAAATGATGAGAACACGTTGTCACATAGAATGGAACAGCAGATACTGGGGCCTATTGGAGAGTGAAGGGTGGGAGGAGGGAGAAGATCAGCAAAAATAACTAATGGGTACTAGGCTTAATACCTGGGTGATTAAATAATTTGTACAACAAACCTCCATGACACAAGCTTACCTATATAACAAACCTGCCATGTACCCCTGAACTTAAAATAAAAGTTAAATTAAAAAAAATAAAATGAAAAGGGCCAGGTGCAGTGGCTCATGCCTGCAATCCCAGCAGTTTGGGAGGCCGAGGCGGGCAGATCACGAGGTCAGGAGATTGAGACCATCCTGGCTAAGAGGGTGAAACCCCGTCTCTACTAAAAAAACACAAAAAATTAGCTGGGCGTGGTGGTGGGCGCATGTAGTCCCAGCTACTCGGGAGGCTGAGGTAGGAGAACGGCGTGAACCCAGGGGGCGGAGCTTGCAGTGAGCCGAGATCGTGCCCCCCACTCCACCCTGGGTGATAGAGCGAGACTCCGTCTAAACAGACAAACAAACACTGCCAGGCACAGTGGCTCACATCTGTAATCCCAGCACTTTGGGAGGCCGAGGTGGGCGAATCACTTGAGGCCAGGAGTTTGAGACCAGCCAGGCCAAGATAGTGAAACCTTGTCTACAATAAAAATAAAAAAAAAATTAGCCTGGCTTGGTGCTGCATGCATGTAATCCCAGCTACTCAGGAGGCTCAGGCACGAGAATTACTTGAGCCTGGGAGGTGGAGGTTGCAGTGAGTGGAGATCACACCACTGTATTCCAGCTTGAGCAACAGAACAAGACTCTGAAAAAAAAAAAAAAAGAGACAAGAAAAGAGGATTGATTGGCTCGTGGCTCTGCCGACTGTACAGGAAGCATGATGCTGGCATCTGCCCAGCTTCTGGGAAGGCCTCAAGAAACTTACAATCATGGCGGAAGGCGAAGGGGGAGCAGACACATCTTACTTGGCCGACACAGGAGCAAGAGCGTGATGGGGGAGGTGCTACATGCATTTAAACAACAAGATCTCGAGAGAACGCACGCACTATTGTGAGGACAGTACCAAGGGGATTGTATTTAACCATTCATGAGAAATCTGCCCCCATGATCCAATCACCTCTCACTGGGCCCCACCTCCAACACTGGGGATTACATTTCAATAAGATTTGGGTGGGGTACACATCCAAACTATATCAAATATAAAGTTTAGTAAAAACTTAGAAATAGCACCAAACCAAAAAAGGGGTAGGTACACATACATTTTTTTTTGTTTTTTTCTGAGACAGGGTTTTACTCCCATCACCCAGGCTGGAGTGCAGTGGCATGCTCTCGACTCACTACAACCTCAGCCTTCTGGGCTCGGGTGATCCTTCTGTCTCAGCCTCCTAAGTAGCTGGGATGACAGGCTCATGCCACCACGCCTGGCTAATTTCTGTATTTTTAGTGGAGATGGGGTTTCACCATGTTGGCCAGGCCAGTCTTGAGCTCCTGACCTCAAGTGATTTGCCTGCATCGACCTCCCAAAATGCTGGGATTACAAGTATGAGCCACCACACCTGGCCTAACCTAAATTTTTTTGTCGATATTACCAGATTGCTCTGCTAATAGTGCACAGTTTGACAGTCCCACGGAAAAATGAATGTGCCCAGCATTAAGTATTAGCACTTTATTTTATTTTTGACAATCTGATGGGTGAAAAGTGATTTACTTATGTTTTTTAGACTTTATTGGATTTTTATTGAAGTTGAGTATCATTTTATAGGATTCTTTATAGAGACCACATTAGTGGGACTAGGGAATAGATTTATATGAGAAGTTGCTATAACAAAGAATGAAGGCAGTAAGTAGTGTGACAGTTTCAACTCTAATTTCAATCTGTATTTAAGGGGTTTTAATTATTATTCCTCTTCTTTCATCTTCTTTCACACAGTTTCCTGAGATCCTTCTGCAAGCAGCTTCCAAGATGGCCAGGACCCTGCCCCCTAAATAATTCCTCTGGGCTGTCTTTCAGTCTGTTCGGAACAGCAGTGATAAGATCCCCAGCTCTGACCCTATGCCTGGTGAGTGTTTCCAGGGTATCTGAGCCACTGTTGGCATAGTAATTAATGTTTTGGGCAGGGTCCCTAACATCAAGAGGCCTCCTTATGCAGGGAACTGGATGAAATGTCTGCAAAGCAATAGAATGACAAAATCTATAAGCAAAAGAATTACACTTTTGGTTCAGGTGCGATTGCTCAAGCCTGTAATCCTAGCACTTTGTGAGGTTGAGGCAGGCAGATCACTTGAGGTCAGGAGTTCGAGACCAGCCTGGCCAACATGGCGAAACCCTGTCTCTACTAGAAACACAAAAATTAGCCGGGTGTGGTGGTGCACACCTGTAGTCCCAGCTACTCAGGAGGCTGAGACACGAGGATTGCTTGAACCCAGGAGGTGAAGGTTGCAGTGAGCTGAGATGGCACCACTGCACTCCAGCCTGGGTGACAGCGAGACTCTGTCTCAAAAAAAAAAGAGTTACACTTTTGTAAAGTGACCTGGAATCATGTCCCATACTCCATATCCAGGCTAGTAGGTTTAATGCGTGAATATGTGTAACAAACATTTCAGTAGGATTGACTTAGAGGACCAACATGGATTAGTGGTTTAACATAGCAGTGACAGGGCCGGGCTGGCTAGATTTCACTCCTGAGTCTGCCACTTACTGGCTGTGTGGCTTTGGGTAAGCTCTTTAACCTCTGTGTGCCTCAGTTTTCATCCTTTATCAAATGGGGATAATGAAAGTCTCTACCTCACTGGGTTATTGTGAGAATTAATGGGTTTAAACCCAGAAACATGTTTACCGGAATGCCTGGCATGTAGCAGATCTTTAATAAGTATTATATATTTTTAAAATTTGATTTTTTTTATTTTTTGAGATGGAGTCTTGCTGGAGTGTCACCCAGGCTGGAGTATAGTGGCATGATCTCGGCCCACTGCAACCTCCACCTCCCAGATTACAGCAACTCTCCTGCCTCAGCCTCCTGACTAGCTGGGATTATAGGCATGTGCCACCACACCTGGCTAAGTTTTGTATTATTAGTAAAGACGGGGTTTCACAATGTTGGCCAGGCTGGTCTTGAACGCTGGCCTCAGGTGATCCACCTGCCTTGGCCTCCCGAAATACTGGGATTACAGGCGTGAGCCACTGCCCCCGGCCTAAAATTTGATTTTATAGAGGCAGGGCCTCGCTCTGCCACCCAGGCTGGAGTGCAGCAATCATGGTTCACTACAGCCTCGACCTCCTGGACTCAAGGGATCCTCCCACCTCAGCTTCACAAGTAGTTGGGACTACAGGCATGAACCACCACATCTGGATAATTTTTTATTTTTTTGTAGAGATAGGGTCTTACTGTGTTGCCCAGGCTGATCTTGAACTCTGAGCCTCAAGTGATCCTCCTGCCTTGGTCTCCCATAGTGCTGGGATTATAGATGTGAGCTACCATGCCTGTCCAAGTGTTAGATATTTTATTATTATTACCATGCACCTACTAAGTACAGACTGGGGCCAGGCATGAGGAGACAAAGTTAATCACCCCCAGTGATAGTAGTTGACAGTCAGTGCTTGCTTTCATCCACCCAACAAATATTCGTTAAGCACCAATTTTGTAAATAAAGAGCTTACTTTCAAATGGAGGGTAGCAAGACAATAAATTTCCATACATAAGTAAAATATATGGTATATTGTATGAAAAGTGCCAAGAAGGAAAATAAAGCAAGGGAATGCACCACGAGTGTTGAGAGGGGACTGTCATGTGAAAAGAGAATCATGAAGGAACATCTTATTGAGAAGGTGACATTTGAATGAAGACCCAAGGGAGAGTGGGCCATGTGGATATTTTCAATTAGAGTCTTCCAGGCAGAGAGTGCAACAGGACCACTTCCATGAGTGGGAGGTAAGGGCCAGTGTGTTTGGAGGGGAGTGAGAGACAAGGCCAGCCATGTAGTGACTGTTAAAGGAAACCCTAATGACTTTGGCTTTTACTCTGGGTGGAGGCATCGTGTGACATCGAGCAAAGAAGTATCACAATTGGATTTGTGTCTACCTTGGGTGATTATCCCTCCATGCATTATCTTGTTCTCCCGTTTTTTTTTTTCTTGGTGAATGTGGGGTTTTATTGGGTAATGGAGGTGGCTCTCGGTGGGATGGATGGGGAGCTAGAAAGGGGATGGAGTGGGAAGATGATCTTCCCCTGGAGTTTGGCTGTCCTGTGACCAATCTCCTCTCCAACTGTCCCCAGCCAAACTCTTCTTGGCCTTCAGATGCTCCTTTCTCTGCCATGCTGCTCTTCTGCTCCTCTTCTCTTCTGTTCATCTGCTCATCTGCTTGTATGCTCATGGAGCCTGGGGTTTGGGGTTTATATGGGTACAGGATAGTGGGATGTGGCAGGCCAAAACCTAACATTTGGGCATGAAAACAGGAATGCCTATTCCCATTTAGGGCTGCAGATTTCCAGGCTTGGGTGTTCTCTTGTTTTTTAAATGAAGGAAACTGGGGCTTAGGAGACTAAGGGACTTGTCTAAAGTCACAGAGTTAGTAAATGGCAGTTCTTGGATTTGTACCCAAAGTTGGTGGTGACCACCACTGGCTCCCACTGCCCTCAAGGTCTAGCAGTCCATGTCATCATATTGCAGAGCTCTTACTGTGTGCATGTGGTACACAAAATAAGGCTTTCTATGCTCAGGGGAAGGAAGCTCTGGTATCAGTGCATAGTTTGAGTGTTCTTTAGTTGGTTCTGGGTATTAATTGCTGCTGTGCTTTAGTGATTGATGGATTAGCAGAATTACCGCTTGGTTTTATATTAATTTGTGTGTGTGTGTTCACTCACTCCACAGATATTTGCTGAACACCTACGATGTACCAGGCTCTATTCTAAGCCCTGGACAGACACAGTGATAAGACCAAGTTCCTGATATACTAGTCAACCATTCTGCCCTCTCTAGTTCTGTGCTATCACTGATGTTGTTTTCACTAGAGGGTGGGCTGGGGGTTGGCCTAGGGAGGGATGGGTCTTTAGTCCTCTCCAAGTGGCTTATGATAAAGATGTTTGAGGACCACAACTGGCATCTTTGATCTGGTCTACTTTTGCCTCGTGATTGGAATGCAGTGAATTTCCATTGAAGGTGCAATGAGAAGAGAGAGGCCATGGGACTCGGGAAATACCCTGGCCTTGGGTGGGGTTGGTGCATCTGTCAGCATCAGTGGTGGTCTGCGGCTAAGATAAGAAATCCAGGGTTGCTCTTAAGGATCCTAGAGTTTTCTCCCAGGTTGGGCACATCAGATCCAGCAAAGACAATATCTCACTTGCATGTTGGTTGGTAGCTGGTTTGAGTAGGTAAGGTTCACATTATTCAAAGACCGAAATGGATGTTTTTCCTGTTGCCAAGAGAAATGCAATAGGCTCATTTCTCTTTTCTCTTGGGATGGGAAAGCCACAACCCCCACTATGATTTTCATGGACAGCAACTCATCTTCCTGGTTTTTATTTTTTATTTTATTTTGACACAGGGTCTCACCGTTACCCAGGCTGGAGAATAGGTGTGATCACGGCTCACTGCAATCTTGACCTCCCAGGCTCAGGTGATCCTCCCACCTCAGCCTGCTGGGTAGCTGGGACTACAGGCATGTGCCACCATGCCTAGCTAATATTTTGTAGTTTTTTTTTTTTTAGAGGTGAGGTCTTACCATGCTGCCCAGGCTGGTCTTGAATTCCTGGGCTCAAGTGATCCTTCTGCCTTGGCCTCCCAAAGTGCTGGGATTAAAGACATGCGCCACCGCACAGCCCATCTTCCCATTTTTATAGGAAGGCTGCTGCATAATTTTGGAATCTTTATGCTGGGCTGCAAACTCAAAGGCATAGGGGGTAAGATAGGCAACAGAAATTGTGTATCGAGTGCTTACTGTATGCGTGGCACTGTTCTAAGTGCTTTACATATAACACATTTAGTTTTCACAACCATCCTATGAGGCGATTTTATTTCCATTTTATAGACAAGAAAACTGAAATACAGAGAGGTTAAATAGCCTTGGATTTGAATCGAAAGTCAGGACTGTTCACCACCAGCTCTTACTGCCCTCAAGGAATTTGTAGTTTAATTGTAATGTTGCACCGCTCCTAGTTTGTGCATGTGGATGTGCAAAAAGCTGGCATTTCCATGACTTTGTTACCCAGTAATTAGCAAGAAATGGCAGAAGTGGGATTCAAACTGGTCCCTGCCTCCTGCTCTCTGCTTTTACTCTGTAGTCCCTTCCATGCATAAATCTGACTGGCAAAGAATGTTACTCATTTCAATACACTAACATTTCCTGAAATTCTCTTTCCTCTTCTCCTTCCCTGCATCTCTCCTTTCTTCAGGTTGCCATGGAGTCGTGGCCCCCTCTTCTGATGACATCTTCAAGTTGGCCGAAGCCAACGCCTGCTGGGCCCTGGAGGACCTGCGGTGCATGGAGGAAGACACATTCATCAGGACCGTGGAACTGCTGGGAGCTGTCCAGGGTTTCAGCCGGCCTCAGCTGATGACCCTGAAGGAGAAAGCAATACAGGTGAAGCCCACCTCAGGGAGGAAACATTAAACAGAGGAAAAAAGAAAAACACCAAAACCAGTTCAGCATTTCTGCACATAGAACCCTCCTCGAGCAGTTTTCCCATACATCATCTTGAAATTTTACTGCATCAGCTCAGTGATATTGTGATCTCCTTATCTGAGAAAGGAGGAAATTTCCAGTTCCTCCCTCTTAGGGCTGTGGCAGAGAATGGGATGAGATGTGTCTTGGCATCTAGCAGATGCTCAGTGAATCAAGTTCTGTGGATGTCCCAGTGCCTCTGACCAAGGCGGTTTGCAGGAATTAGGCTTTATTCCTTCACCTGGAGAGCCCCAGCTGCTGCTCACAGCAGGTTTTCTCAGAATCATTTGCAAATTTGTCTGAAAATATAACAGAAAGGAGTAAAAAGAGGACTGGAAGTAGCTTTCCATCTTTAAAAAGGTCCCTTTGTTGGCTGGGTGCAGTGGCTTATGCCTGTAATCCCAACACTTTGGGAGGCCGAGGCGGGCGGATCACGGGAGGTCAGGAGTTCGAGACCAGGCTGGCCAACATGGTGAAACCCTGTCTCTACTCAAAATGCAAACATTAGCCAGGCGTGGTGTCATGTGCCTGTAGTTCCAGCTACTCAGGAGGCTGAGGCAGGAGAATGGCTTGAACCCGGGAGGTGGAGGTTGCAGTAAGCCAAGATTGCGCCAGTGCACTCTAGCCTAGGCGTCAGAGCTGATACCTTGTCTCAAAAATAAATAAAAATAGGCTGGGTGCAGTGGCTCATGCCTATAATCCCAGCACTTTGGGAGGCGGATCACGAGGTCAAGAGATCGAGACCAGCCTGGCCAACATGGTGAAACCCCATCTCTACAGGTGGCATGCACCTGTAGTTCCAGCTACTCGGGAGGCTGAGGCAGGAGAATTGCTTGAACCCGGGAGGCGGAGGCTGCCATGAGCCGAGATTGCGTCACTACACTCCAGCCTGGTGATAGAGCGAGACTCTGTCTCAAATAAATAAATAAAAGGAAAAGGTCCCTTTGTGGCCTGTTTTAGCTTTTCTTTCTTTTTTTTTTCTTTTTCTTTTAAGACAGAGTCTTGCTCTGTCGTACAGGCTGGAGGGCAGCAGCGCGATCTGTGGTTCACTGCAAACTCTGCCTCCCGGGTTCAAGTGATTCTTGTGTCTCAGCCACCTGAGTAGCTGGGACTACAGGCACAAGCCACCATGCCTGGCTAATAATTGTATTTTAGTAGAGACGGGGTTTGTTTGGCCAGGCTTGTCTCAAACCCCTAGCCTCAAGAGATCTGCTCACCTTGGCCTCCCACAGTGCTGGGATTACAGGCATGAGCCACTGCACCCAGCCCTGTTTTAGCTCTTTACATGGTTGTGGAATATCTAGTTACCCTCAAGGGTTAAACAATTCAATGTCTTAAAATTATAAATATAACTGTATTTATGTATTATATGAGTACTTCAAGTTTATTGTAGAAAAGTCAGAAAATAATAAAGAAGAAAATCAGTGATAATCTTTTACTCACTGTTGATATTTTGATAAGCACTGTTCAGCAGATAAGCACTGTTGATATTTTGGTATATTCACTTGAAGCTTACCAGACTCCAAAACTATGTATATAAAAAATATTATTTTATATATTTCATACATATATCTCATGTTTTACAAAAATGATATTATACTTACCTACTATTCAATAACTTGCTTTCTACACCCAACAGTACAGACTGCATATTTTTTCATATCCAAAATGTACATCTATGTCAGTATTTTATTTATTTATTTATTTTTTGAGATGGAGTTTTGTTCTTGTTGCCCAGGCTGGAGTACAATAGTGTGGTCTTGGCTTACTGCAACTTCTGCCTCCCAGGTTCAAGCAATTCTCCTGCCTCATCCTCCCAAGTAGCTGAGATTACAGGCATCCGCCACCATGCCCGGCTAATTTTTGTATTTTTAGTAGAGATGGGGTTTCACAATGTTGGCCAGGCTGGTCTCGAACTCCTGACCTCAAGTGATCTGTCTGCCTGGCCTCCCAAAGTGTTGGGATTACAGGCGTAAGCCACAGCATCTAGCCTATATCAGTATTTTAAATAGCTTTGTAATACAATTAGCCTTCCATATCAGTGGGTTCCACATCTGCAGATTCAACCAACCTCAGGTAGAATGTATTTAGAAAAAATGATCCAAATAACAATATAACAATAAAAAACAATACACATAAAAATACAGTAGCATTTTTGACATAACATTTTGTACATATTTACATAGCACTTATATTGCATCAGGTATTATAACTAATCTAGAGATGATTTAAAGTATACATGAGGATGTGCATAGATTATATGCAAATACTACACTATTTTATATAAGGGACTTGAATATCCATGGATTTTGGTATCTTTAAGAAGTCCTGGAACCAATCCTTGGTGGAGGTATCCACAGGGGCAACTTCATTTTATTTATGGTTAGTTCTTATTTATTTAGCTAATTGTTAGACTTTCATGTTGCATTAAAAAAATGCCTCAATGTATGCCTTTATACATATACTGTTGGGTACTTGTCTCATTTACTCAGGCTAAATTCCCAGAGGTGGAATTTCTGGGTCAAAGAATATAAATACTTTAAAAGCTTTTGATACAGATAGCCAAATTGCCCTCTCAAGAGTATGTACCAACTTATATTCTCAACTACAACAAATGAGGGTATCCCTTACCTTGTATCTTTCCAGTATCGTAAATGGTGATAAGTCTTTATACTTCTTGACATGTGATGAATCAACATGGTCTGATTGTTTTTAATGTATATTTCTTTAATTATGACTGAGAATAAAGTTTTCCCCATACATTTAATTTTTCTTTTGTGAATTCCTTGTTGATGTCTTTTGTCTATCTTTTTTTTAAAACAAATATAGTCATCTTTTTATTATTGATTTAAAAGAGAGCTTTATATTAAGATTTACCCTATGTCTTTTTAATTTTTATTTATTTTTTATTAAGGGATAGTTGACAAATACAAATTATATATATTTATGGTGTATACATATATACAATATGATGTTTTGATGTATGTATACATTGGGGAATGGTTAAAGCAAGCTAACATGTCAATCACCTTTCATACTTGTCCGTTGTCAGTTTTTGTTGTGAGAATATTTAACATCTACTCTCTTCACAATTTTCAACCGTTCAACACATTATTATCAACTGTGGTCACCATGCTGCACAATAGGTTTCCCTATGTCTGTTTTATTTTTATTTCTTTGAGACAGGGTCTCGCTCTGTCACCCAGGCTGGAGTACAGTGGCACCATCTTGGCTAACTGCAACTTCTGCAAGTGAGTCTTGTGCCTCAGCCACCCAAGTGGCTGGGATTACAGATGTGCGCCACCATGCACAGCTAATTTTTTTTTTTTTGTATTTTTAGTAGAGGCAGGGTTTCGTTATGTTGGCCAGGCTGGTCTTGAACTCCTGGCCTCATGTGATCTGCATGCCTTGGCCTCCAAAAATGCTGAGATTCCAAGTGTGAGCCACCGCACCTAGCCTCCTTATGTCTATTTTAGATACTGCCTTTGTCCATTCAGGCTGCTATAACAAAATATCATAGACTGGTAACTTATAAACAGAAATTTATTTCTCACAGTTCTGGGGGGTGAGAAATCAAAAATTGAAGCACTGGCAGATCCAGTATCTGGTAAGGACTTGTTTTTCATAGATGGTGCTTTCTCACTGTGTCCTCACATGGTGGAAAGGGACTAGCTTGTAGCTAGCTCTCTGGGGTCTCTTTTACAAGGGCACTAATCCCACTCATGAGGGCTCCACCCTTATGACCTAATCATCTCCCAAGGCCCAACCTTCCAATACTATCACATTGGAGATTAGGTTTTAACATATGCATTTTAGAGGGGCACAAACATTCAAATCATTGTAAATACCATCACAGTGTTCAGTCTAATCTATTTTCTTTTTTTGCCTAAAGGTTTGGGACATGCCATCTTACTGGAGAGAACACCATATCGTCTCCCTGGGGCGCATTGCTCTGGCTCTTAATGAGAGTGAGCTGGAGCAGCTGGACCTCAGCTCCATAGACACTGTGGCTTCCCTAAGCTGGCAAACAGAATGGACCCCGGGACAGGTGGGTGGATGTTTCTGGGTCTTTTAACTATTCCATATTTATAAGAGCTGCCTTCATACCCTTACTGTTAATTTCCTCATGATGGTCATTTTTGAGTCTGTTTCTGTTGACTGATTTTTCTCTTAGTTATGAGTCATATTTTCTTTTTTTGTTTGCAAGCCTAGCAATTTTGATTGGGTGATGAGCATTGTGGATTTTACATTGTTGAGTATTTGATTTAGTTGTATTTCTTTGAAGAGTATTGGGCTTTGTTCTGTCATACACTTAAGTTACTTTCAAATCAGCTTGATCCTTTTGATGCTTCCTTTTGAGTTTTGTTAGGGTAAAACCAGAGTGACCTTTATTCTGTTGTTAATTTATCATCATTACTGTGACATGATTCCTTTGAGGATGTTACCTAATGCTCCATGTATTTCAAGATCTCTCTACTTTGGCTGGTGAGAATGTGAACTATTTCCAGCTCCATATGAGCTCTGGAAGTTGCTCAGCCTAATCCTTTCTGATTACTGATGACTCTTTTCCTGCCTATGTGGAGTTTCACTCTTTGCATGTGCAAAATAGCAGTCAGTACTAGACATCTCTGCAGCTTTCTGGAACCCTCTGCAGTTTCCTCCTCTCCAATACTTTGCCCAAGTGATAAGTGCCGTGGCCTCTCTGAACTTGGATATCTGTATCCTCAACTCAGCTGGGCCACTGGGCTTGTTTTGGTTCCTCTTCCTGATCCATGTCTTGGAAACTGCTTTTTGGCAGTAAGTGAGGGTAATTTTAAGGCTCATCTTGTTTGTTTTTCTTCTTCTGGGATTATGATTCTGTTGTTCCATATCCGGATGCAGTTGTCTGATGTATTTTGTTAAATTTTCTAGTTGTTTATGGTGGGTGGCCAATTCCTATGTTAATTAATCCTTCATGGGCTAAAGAAGAAGTTCTTCCCAGAATTTTAATTGTTTTGATTGGGAGAGGAGTTTAGGGTGTCTAATCCACTGTACTGCTGGAAAGGGAAGTGTTAGCCCTTCCATGTTATCTTCGTTCTTAGGCAGCTCTCTCAGTGGTCATTTTCAGCACTAGGCTTATATACAACCTAATTAACAAGCCCATAAAAATGTGCCTCTTCTTTATTAGTTTTTGGAAAAGCCTCAGCATTGACTCCACTCATGTAGTTGCCCGCCCCTGAGCAACCACTCTGGTCAGGGGTTGAATATGTTGGTTGGCGAGGCCTGCATCAGGGAGCGGAGTCCATCTTATCAGCATCTCATGACCACATGAGCCGAGTGGGGAAGGATATGTGGTGGGCTGATTAAGGTCCCCCAAAGATGTCCATGTCTGAACCCCTGGAAGCTGTGACTATGTTAACTTATGGAGCAAAAGGGACTTTGAAGATGCGATTAAGGATCTTGAGATGAGGAGGTTATCTTGGATTATTTGGGTGGGCCCAATGTAATCACAAGGGTCCTTTTAAGAAGGAGCAAGGAGGGTCATAGATAGAGAAGGTGACATGATAATGGAAGCAGAGGGACCTAGAAAGAGATCTGAAGGTGCTCTGCTGCTGATTTTGGAGATGGAGGATGGGGCTATGAGCCAAGGAAATGCAGGTGGCCTCTTGAAGCTAGAAAAAGCAAGAAAATGAATTCTTCTTAGAACTCCCAGAAGGAACCCATCCTTCTAGTCCATTTTAGGACATACAGTCTCCAGAACTATAAGAGAATAAACGTGTAGTTTTAAAGCCACTATGTTTGGGGTAATTTGGTAGAGTAGCAATAGGAAGCTAATGGAGGGTAATTTTCCAAAGAAAAAGTGTGGACGCTGAGCAGCCAAAACCAATGAATGTCCCCCTACTCTTTTGAGCTTTTTGTAATCACGGTGGCCATGTTTCATAACTCTGAGTGGCACCATTCAAACAGAATACACTGTGAATGGTGCACCCCTAGAGCTGGGCAACATGCAGATCCTGGCCATGAAGATTACATGAGTTAATACTTGAAAACATTTTGAACAATGTCTGGTACATAGTAGTCAATAAAAATTAGCTGTTTTTATGTTGATATTGACATCATTGCATTGTCATCATCAACATTATCATCATTACAGCCCCTTTCTCTGGGTTAGTCTCCTCCTTTGCAAGATGAGAGGGTTAGCCCCAACAATCTGAGGTTCCTTCCAGTCTGATATTCTATAATCCCATGGTTCTTTGACTCTAAAACTGGTTTTGACTAGTTTGAGAAGTGCCACATCACACTGTGCTATTAAAATCATTCTATTTGCAGGCTCGGAGAAACAGAAAAATACATCCAGAAACTAGGGTATCTCCTTCCCTTCGCACCGATTTTAATTCTCATGGATGGCAGTGAGATTTATCAATATGTTTGAAGAGGATATGAAAACCTAACATTTGCATGTATCATTTGTAGTCAGTTCTTCAACTTTAGCTCCCAATCAACCTTAAATGCAGGTTTCTAGATTAATAGTCAGACCTGACGGAACTACATTAACAGATAGTTCAGCTCAAAAACCAATATAAGGGAAAAAACTATTATAGAAGCCAGAGGGATGAACAGAGAGATTGAAATCTTAAAGCTATTCATTTTTCAACAGTTAATATTGCCTAAAAGTGTTGGTATTAATTGTCTTGGAATCATTACATATACACTGGTCTCGTCACTCAAGGAAATTTATTTTAACTTATCACCTTGCAGGCTGAGCTTGCATTTTCCGGGTTTCAGTGGCAAGGACAATTTAATACCATATCTTCAAAGTAATTTTATTTAAATTGTATTTTTGCACTTTCATTTTAAAGTGAGCATGCCTGATAGTTGAGGAGCCCAAATTGCTCTGAGTCAACTAGTGAAACCTGATTATGAAGACTTAATAAGAAAAATTTGAAAACTAACTTGAATCTCCATCTTTTCTCCATAGCCAAACACCTTCACTGGCTAAGAGTATGGGCCCTGGAATCAGACTGCCTGGGTTTTGATCCTAGAACCATCATTTTCTTTTCTCTTTCTTCTTCTTCTTTTTTTTTTTTAGAATGAGTTTTGCTCTTGTTGCCCAGGCTGGAGTGTAATCTCCACTCACTGCAACCTCTGCCTCCCGGGTTCAAGCAATTCTCCTGCCTCAGCCTCCTGAGTAACTGGGATTACAGGCATGCATCATCACACCCTGCTTATTTTGTATTTTTAGTAGAGACGGGGTTTCTCCATGTTGGTCAGGCTGGTCTCCAACTCCCGACCTCAGGTGATCTGCCCGCCTTTGTCTCCCAAAGTGCTGGGATTACGGGCAGGAGCTACGGCGCCTGGCCAGAACGATCATTTTCTAGCTGTGTGATCTTGGCCTAGTTACTTAACCTCTCCTTGCCTCAGTTTGCTCATCTGCAAACTAGGGATACTATTAATACTTACCTCATAGTGTTATTTAGGAGGATTAGATGAGATAGTATGTGTAAAGTGGTCAAAGTGGTGCCAGCACACAGTATGCACTCAAGAAATGTTAGCTACAATAAATGTTAGCTATTACCACTTTGGATATACAGTCCCATTAAGTCAAAGACATATAAGTCTAAGCATGGTGTTACTGCATCCCCCGCCCCCATAGTAGCTGTGAGCTTTGTAATCATGGAGGACAACTTGATGAGGACACTGACCAGTCCGATTTTCAGAAACATGAGAAATCTTCCTGAAGCCAGTCTATTACATGAAGGCAGCAAAATGAAGCGTGTCAAATAATATATATTGCCCACGACTTTTGTAAGTCACTCACTCAGATGTTGTTTCATTCATTCATTCATTCACTCATTCATTTACTTACTCAAGAAGTACTTATTGAACTCCTACTCTGTGGCAGGCATTATGCTAGGTGCTGGGGACTCATTGGTAAACTACCTGGATATGGTCCTTTTCTTTTGGGAGCCTACTTGGTGATACAGACAAAAAAGTGAGTAATCAAAGTGAAAAATTTGAAAAATCACGATAAGTGATGCGGAAAATGGACAAGGTGCTCATGGGAATAGTGGGAAGAAGGGCTGTTTGAGATGAAAGAGTCCAGAGGGCAGTTTTCTCTGAGTAGGTAGCATTTAAACACACCTGAGGGGTGGGAAGCACCAGCCCATGAAGACGGAATTTCATTGCAACATTTCACAATCTTCCTCAACACTTTCTCTCAACACCTTAATGATCTATATTGTGTGATGGGGATGACTAACATTAAACGGAGATGGGGGCCGGGCATGGTGGCTCATGCCTGTGATCCCAGCACTTTGGGAGGCTGAGGTGGGTAGATCACTTGAGGCCAGGAGTTTGAGACCAGCCTGGCCAAAATGGTGAAACCCTGTCTCTACTAAAAACACAAAAAATTAGTTGGGTGTGGTGGCGGGCGCCTGTAATCCCAGCTACTTGGGAGTCAGAGGCATAAGAATTACTTGAACCCTGGGGGATGGAGGTTGCAGTAAGCCAAGATCATGTCACTGCACTCCAGCCTGGGTGACACAGTGAGACGCTGTCTCAAAAAAAAAAACAAAAAAAAGCAAAGAGAGTTGGGAAGATTGACTATAGCCTGTGATTTTCGCTTCCACTTAGGGGTCTCTCCTTGGATGTCTCCTCATCTTTGCCTTGTGAGGTCTTATAATCTCTTTTACTTGCTCCCATGAGCACTGAAGGAACCAGACTTTATTTTGTGAGACAGAGTCTCCCTCTGTCACCCAGGCTGGAGTGCAGTGGCACAATCTTGGATCACTGCAACTTCCACCTCCCAGGCTCAAGCAATCCTCCCACCTCAGCCTCCCAAGTAGCTGGGACCACAGGCACGTGCCACCATGCCTGGCTAATTTTTGTATTTTTTGGTAGAGACAAGCTTTCACCATGTCAGCCAGGCTGGTCTCAAACTCCTGACTTTAAGTGATCCTCCTGCTTCGGCCTCCCAAAGTGCTGGGATTACAGGTGTGAGCCACCGTGCCCAGCCCAGACTTTATTTTGTAGCTGATCTTCATAGGATTGGCTTGGATGCCTCCTCAGGTCCTACATAGGTAGATAAAATGAATCAGCACATGTTTAGTTACAAGTGGCAGAAAACCCAACACAAACTGCTTGAACAAATAAAGGGGCTGGGTGCAGTGTGCAGTGGCTCCTACCTGTAGTCCTAGAACTTTGGGAGGCTGAAACGGGCAGATCACTTGAGGTCAGGAGTTTGAGACCAGCCTGGCCAACAGTGAAACTACTTCTCTACTAAAAATACAAAAATCAGCCAGGCATGTTCATGCCTGCCTGTAATCCCAGCTACTGGGGAGGCTGAGGCATGAGAATCGCTTGAACCTGGGAGAGGGAGGTTGTAGTGAGCAGAGATCATGCCGCTGCACTCCAGGCTGGGTGACAGAGTGAGACCTTGTCTCAAAAAAAAAAAAAAAAAAAAAAAAAGGAATTTATTGACTCCCATTACTGGAAAGTTCAGGGGTAGTGTTCAGATACAGCTGGATCCAGGATCTTCAACACTCTGGGTGGGAATCTGTCTCTTATCATGTTTTTGAACTTTGCTTTTCTTTGTGTTGGCTTCATTGAGAGACAGGCTCTATGCCTGCATGTGGTAGGTTCCAGCAGATCCTTGTGTATATCCTTCTAAGTTCAAGTCCAGAGTAAAGAAAGCTCTTCCCCTAATGCTCCACTCAAAGTTCTGGTTGACTCTGGTTAAATCACATGTCCAATCCAGAACCAGTGACTGCAGCTAGGCTAAGGTATGAATTGAAATTCATCACTCCTGGAACTTGGTGCAGTTAGCTTTGACTGAACCACATGAAGCAGGAATACAAGAGAGGTGGTTCTCCAGAGGAAGTTATGAATGATGAATAGCCACTGTGCTAGAATTATGGAGACTTATGTGTCAGCCGCCTTAAATCAAGGCTTAGTTTAAAATAGTTTAACACCAAAGCATTTTGTGTGCTACTCTTGGAATTGAAGAGTAAACATTGGAATTGAAGGGGTGAACATATTTCTGTAGGACCACAGAGGAAGAAAAAATCATTAAGGGGTAAACATATTTCTGTAGGACCATAGAGGAAGAAAAAATCATTCTGGCTGAAACCTCATGAAGAAGGTGACATTTGAGTTGAACCAAAGAAAAAAAAAAAAGAATGTCTGCACTTGGAAGTGCAGAAGGGCATTTCAGATGAAAGGACTGGTTTGAACAAAGGCAAAGAGACAGGAAATTATAAGGTTTTGTTGGAGGTTGTGGAAAGGCTGGGTGCGGTGGCTCATGCCTATAATCCCAGCACTTTGGGAGGCCGAGGTGGGTGGATCACTTGAGGTCAGGAGTTTGATACCAGCCTGGGCAACATGGTGAAACCCCGTCTCTACAAAAAATACAAAAAGCCAGATGTGGTGATGTGCACCTGTAATTCTAGCTACTTGGGTGGCTAAAGCACGAGAATTGCTTGAACCTGGGGAGGTGGAGGTTGCAGCGAGCTGTGCCACTGCACTCCAGCCTGGGTGACAGAGCAAGACTCCGTCTCCAAAAAACGAAAAAAAAAAAAAAAAAGGGAGAAGAAACGTTGTGGAAAAAGATGCTGGAAAAGTTTGGATCCTGATGCAGAAGAAGTTGTATGTCCAAACTGTCTGAGGGTCATAAGAGTGACTGAAGGAAATAAGCAGCAGACACACAGGACACAAGTGCCTTTAATATTGGTGAAGGATGTAAGAGATTCGTTGCCTGAAGACACTTCCATAGATTAGGGGACATACTCAGTTGAAGTAGTATCTTAAGGACATGAACTTGGATGCAGAGGCCAGGATGGTTTGGAGTGGGGATTCCAGAGGAGTAGGATGGGAGATCAGTCAGGAGACTACAGCAACAGCTTATTTATCCCCTCAGGCCTGGGGACCTTGATCATTCCTGGATGGTTTATCTTTTATTCTTACTATTTTTTAGGCTGAATCCATTTTGCAAGGGTACCTGGATGATTCAGGATACAGTATCCAGGACCTGAAGAGCTTTCATTTGGTAGGACTTGGTGCAACCCTGTGTGCTATAAACATCACTGAAATCCCACTTATAAAGATCTCAGAATTCAGGTAACTAAAATATGAATGTGCAAAATGGCAAATGGGTTAATTCATCCATCCATCCATCCATCCATCCATCCATCCATCCATCCATCCATCCAGATATTCCACCTCCTGACACTTGGCACCTTTCTGGGCTAAAATCCCACTGGGCTAATGGGATAAGCTGGATCTGCTGTCCCTGCTGAGCCTACTGTGCAGTGTGTGTGTGTATGTGTGTGTGTGTGTGTGTGTGTGTGTGTGTGTGTTTGTTTGTTTTTGGCTGAAGAGTCCAAGCTCATATTATATCCCTCCCTCTTTAACCACTACCAGGGTGGTAGTGGCCAGAATTGGGACCCTGCTCTGCAGCACACATGTCTTAGCCGAGTTTAAGAGGAAGGCTGAAGTTGTGTTTGGGGATCCCACTGAGTGGACCAGTTCTGTCTTGCAGGAGCTTGGGACCATTGCAGGTAAGACTCACCCTGAGCATACCTTTCTCTCTCTTTCCAAACTTAAATGTGGGGACACAAAATAAAACATTATCCTTGGCCATGTGTAGCAAACATCAGTGGCGTTACAGTAGAACCTACATTTCATGATTTGAAGTTGCAGAGGGTGGGTCTGCAAATCTGCTTTTAAAACAAGCTCTTTTGGAGATTCTTGTGTACACTAAAGTTTGGAAAACCGCTAGTTTAGAATGTGATTTAATTGGCCCCTAAGTAGGTTTATACAAAATTTGAAAGTGTGTAAATTGAAGTTCCTTCTGGGCATGCGTTTCACTGTAGGAGGCCAATCAGGGCTAATGTGACCCACATTTTTTTTTTCTGAGTTGATGAAGGAACTTGATTCCCCAGTGTGATTTCCAGGGCCTTTTGTAAGGAATGATGCCTGCCTAGAACACTCAGATCTGAGCATTATGCAGCACCATTAATAAAACAAGCGGAGTTCTGATGGCTTGAACTAAACCCCCGTGATTCCTTTTTCTCCCCAGCTGGATTAACTAAGGCAGAGCTCCGGATGCTTGACAAGGATTTGATGCCATATTTCCAGCCATCAGCAATAAAATGCCTTCCTGATGAGATATTCAAAGTAGGTGCTCAGTTCTTCAAGGAGAAATGGGAGCTTGACCCCATTTCAAATCACACAGGGAAACAGGTGATGGGCCTTGGAATTTAGAGGCTTGTGACCAGGCTCTGCTGATGGGGTCAGAGGAGATCTGTGTGAGTTTAGGTGTTTTTAAAAAACATTTTTTCTTAAAATTACAATATGTAGTTTAATTATATTTATTTTTACGGTCATCTTCTCTTCTTCTAGCAGGTGGTACTGATTTTCTACTTATGGTGGTATGACAGGTTCATAAACCCTTACGAAAACCCCTGGGGACAGATATAGTTCAGAATTCAGAATTTCTCAGATTTTGAAAAGATCACCCTGTACATTTACTGTATGTAACTTCATACCCCCAGCAGTGTCTGGGGAAGCACCTTGTAAGCAAACACATTAATATTTCTGTGAAGAAATCTGTGACAAGCCACACTAATTGGAATAAATAGAGACTATAAATAAATAGCCTCACATTACTTCAGGTCAAGTTTTGCTGATAAATAAGTTTGACTTAAACTTTGGGGGAAAACTTGCAGTTTTCAGATTATTTTTGGACTTTGGAATTGCAGATGAGGGATTGTGGACCTCTGTAACATTTCCTTTTAAGATATAATTAAATAAAAATATTTTAGTTGATTTAGGTCAGGCATGGTGGCTCACACCTGTAATCCCAACATTTTGGGAGGCTGAGACAGGCCAATCACCTGAGGTCAGGAGTCTGAGACCAGCCTGGCCAACGTGGTGAAACCCCATCTCTATGAAAAATACAAAATTAGCTGGGCGTGGTGGTGGATGCCTGTAATCCCAGTTACTTGGGAGGCTGAGGCAGGAGAATCACTTGAACCCGGGAGACAGAGGTTGCAATGAGCCAAGACCACACCATTGCACTCCAGCCTGGGCAACAAGAGCGAAACCATCTCTCTCTCTCTCTATATATATATTTTTTTCTATATATATATATTTTTAGTTGATTTAAAGAAAAGTATTAGGAAAATCACAAGAGGACAGGTGAAAAACTGCTATGAAAAAATTGAGAGGGTGAAATTGGATCATTTGAAGGAAGGGAAGCAGGGTATCTAATGACAGGTCCTTTTTTTCTGTCTGTATACAAGATTAGGGGAGTGTTTGGTGGGAATAGTCTGCTCTGATGAGGAGGCAGTCATTCTGGTGTTCCTGTTTGCTGCGTAATGTGGGAACACATTTTGTCCAGCACTTCTGGATAAAACACACAAACCAGGCTCGACAAACTCCCCCAGTGCCACATCACTTGTTCATTTCAAGAAAGATAGCTGAGGCCGGGTGCAGTGGCTCACACCTGTAATCCCAGCACTTTGGGAGGCCGAGGAGGGTGGATCACGAGGTCAGGAGATTGAGACCATCGTGGCTAACATGGTAAAACCCTGTCTCTACTAAAAATACAAAAAAATTAGCTGGGGTGGTCACATGTGCCTGTAGTCCCAGCTACTCAGAAGGCTGAGGCAGGAGAATGGTGTGAACCCGGGGGGCGGAGCTTGCAGTGAGCCAAGATCGCTCCACTACACTCTAGCCTGGGCGACAGAGCGAGACTCTGTCTCAAAAAAAAAAAAAGAAAGCCAACCTTCAATCACTTCAGCATCCTGGACAGTTCCGAGCACATTGCAGGCATAATAGCTGTTTGAGGGCAATAAATAGCAGTCCTCAAAGCCATTGAGCAAATACCTGCTTCCCCTCTGGGGCACTCTGCATGGGACAAGCAGCTTGGTCTTGGATGCTGGCATTTTGCTAAGCACTTTCTCTTGGTCTTGTTTGGAGTGCTGTTGTGCTGCTTCCTTGTACAGGTATTTATCTATTCCAGAAATCCCTACTGATCACCTACATTGTGGCAGGCTCCAGGGTAGGTGCACCTAAGGATGCACAGGTGAAGGGGTTATCACATAGTGCCTTCAGGGGCCTAAAAGGTAACATAAGGTGCAGTAGGCTGGGTAGAGACCGAAGTGAACTGGAGAGCCTTGTCTAAATGTGGAGGCTGCTTCTCATTCCTAGCACATTCATGCAGTGTGGCCATGTGGGCCCAGGATTGCTGAATTTTCCTTTTCACTTTTTTCGAGAAGAAGTCAGAAATCTTCATTTTCATATGGAATTGCTTGATAATTAAATGTTGGCAGCCAATCTGAATTTATTTTTGAAAACACAGTGCCGTAGGCCTAGAGATTCAATCTGGCCTGTGGGTCGCAAGTCAGCAACATTGATAAAAGAGATAATTTTTAGAATACAGACTCTGTGTTAATGGTATATGGAAGCCAAAAAAGTACCTCTCTGACCACCCCACCGTGTGTGTGTGTGTGTGTGTGTGTGTGTGTGTGTGTGTAGTGAGAGGAGAGGAGGTGATGCTGAATTTTAATTTTTTTGAGACAAAGTCTCACTCTGTTGCCCAAGGGAGTGCAGTGGCACAATGATGGCTCACTGCACCCTTGATCCCCTGGGCTCAAGCAATCCTCTCACGTCAGCCTAAGTAACTAGGACTACACACTTGGCTAATTAAAAAAACTTTTTGTAGAGAAGGGGGGTCTCACTGTGTTGCCCAGGCTGGTCTCGAACTCCTGAGCTCCGTTAATCATTCTGCCTCAGCCTCCTAAAGTGCTGGGATTGTAGGCATGAGCCATGGCGCTTGACCGACCAGATGCTGAATCTTGGAGAACAGCTGGCGATGAAGAAGAAACAGTGTTCCAGGCAGAAGGAGGTGCACAGGAAGATGCTGCCTCTAGGGAACTGTAAATATTGGCACCCACTCTCCTGGAGTGAAGAATGCCATGTGTGAGGCTGGAGAGGTGGGCAGAGTTTTTTCCAGGAGCCTGAACTGTGTTCTGGAGTGGGGTTCCTGGAAGGGCTTTACACAGAGGGATATGATTCCAGGGAAGTATCTACCTGGACAAAAGAGGAGGAGAGGGTGACTGACAGGAGAGGAAGGGATGAGGGAGCATAAGCATCTTTCCCAGATTCTTCAGGGCCTTTAGAAAATAAACATGATGATATAGAGTCCCCTTCGTATTCCAGTCCCATTGGAACGAGTCACCAAGTCCTTTGATCTGGAAGTGACTTCAGAAGACACCTTGTTCACAGTCCTTGAAGACATAGTCTGGCCGGCAGAATTCCCAACTCATGTTGTCCATAGCAGATATCACCAATAGATGACTGCATTTTCCCTCCATGGAGCCCTCACAGAGCTCATCACATGGTGCTCAGGAAGTCAAACCAAAGGATCAGAATCAGTCAGCAGAGGAGATGAGTTCTCTATGCCATCTCACATTTATCCCCAAAGCCCAGGGAGGCTGTGTAATTTGTTCAAGGTGACACAGCAAGTATGTGGCAGAGCAGGGGCTCGAATTCAGGCCTCTGATCTTTAAGGCCTGTGTTTCCCCCTCCACATCAGTGTTTCAGGAGGTGGAAGACTTGAAGCACTGGGAAGCTGTCTTGCATTGCATTAAACAACATTGCCACATAGGGAGGAAATCATGCTTCCCTTTTCAACTCTCCATTAGTACTTCTAAATACCTCAAGAAGGAAGTGTCAATTTAACCCTGTATAATACATTTTATATTCTCTCTCTCTCTCTTTTTTTTCAAGAGGCCAGGGGTTCAGATATTGTTGGCGGACAAATCTAGCTAGGATTCAACAATATTGTTTTATTTTTATTTTGCGGCTCCTATTTAATGCTTGCTTATGGCAAGTCTGCCGGCTTTCCATTTTTGGAAACTTCCATTTTAAATTTTCTATTTTTAAATGCATTTACTTTGGTAGTGCAAGAGTGATCTAATTTTAAGGAAATATCTTAAAGAGGACCACACATGATACACACAAGGGGATGGCAAAGTTGTGTGCATCCTGCGCGGACGCCCGAGATGTGGGAAATCCGGGGAGGGGCCCCGTGTGAGGGTGCTGCCCCTTTGCCTCCTGCAGGAGCTGTCCGCGGAGCAGATCGCCTCCCTGGGTCCGGAGAACGCCGCGGCGGTGACCCACGCCCAGCGCCGGCGGCTCAGTCCACTGCAGCTGCAGAGCCTCCAGCAGGCGCTAGATGGCGCCAAGACTCACTCCTGGCAGGACGCGCCCGCTAGCGCCGGTCCCACTAGAACCTCATCCTCGCGTTCTCCCGCAGGTGAGCAGAGCCGCCCTCTGCCCCGCGTCCCAGCCCCACTCTCCTTCCTTGTCCTCCCTGTCAGGCCTGGGGTGGGGAGGTTCTTAAGATTCAGAGCGAGGTCTCTGACAGTCACTGGGGATTCTGCCCTCAGTGAAAAACCCAAAGTCCCTATCAAGCTTCCCTACCAAGCTTCAGAATTAGTGATTCTCAACTATGGCTGCCCTTGGGTGGGGGGCATTAAACATCTTCCAGTTCTCCCACCCCTACCCAGAACGCATAACATCAGAAACTCAGGACTAATTTCATTTTAGCCGCTCCTTTGCAAACTCCCTCCTCACTATCCAATAATAATGAACTATTATTATTATTATTATTTTGACTCAGAGTCTCGCCCTGTCGCCCAGGCTGGAGTGCAGTGCCGCGATCTCGGCTCACTGCAACCTCCACCTCCCAGGCTCAAGCGATCCTCCCACCTCAGCCTCCCAGTAGCTAGGATCATAGGTGTGTGCCACCACACCTGGTTAATTTTTGTATTTTTAGTAGAGATGGGGCTTCACCATGTTGGCCAAGCTGGTCTTGAACTCCTGACCTCAGGTCATCTGCCTACCTCAGCCTCCCAAAGTGTTGGGATTACAGGCGCGAGCCACCAAGCCTGGCCTGTCCAATATTAATTAATTCAACCCATGTTTACTGGGCACCTACTATGTTCCAAGTCTGCAGTAGGGGCTGGGAATACAGAGGTGTGCAAGATAGATAAGGCCCTCTTGTAAATGAAGAAGATATTTCAAATCTGACAAGACCAGGGAGGGTGATAGTGACTGAGGGCTGAGCTAAGATAGAGAAGCCTCCCCAGGGAGTGGCATTGGATCCTGGGAACATGGCCTTCTTTCCTTTTTCTCCCCCATGCCTTTCTTACAGCTCTCCCCATTTCCCCTTCACTTTCTCACTTCTTTGTGGTACCTTCTGTTCTTAACACCACATTTGGACCATGCTCTGGGGAGATAGCTTCTAACAAGATGGGGAACAGAGATGTTCCCTACCCTCATTGAGCTCTCAGTGCAGCCTGGCGGGGAGGGAAGACATGTACCCTGGTGAACATGAGGCAGGTGCTGGGTGCTGAGATGGGGAACACACATGGGTCAGGAAACCTCCTAAAGTCAGTGATGTCTCAGGTGAGACACAAGGTGAGAAGAAGATGGGCTTAGCGAGGTAGACAGTGTCTCAGGAGTAGGTACCGGCATGGGCAAGTGCCCAGAGAAGTCAGAGGACTTGGTGCTTGACTAAAACCTCCACTCCACCTTTTCCTGACTTGAATGTCTCCCTGTCCTGCCTTCACATAGGGATGGTGAATTGGAGTATTCCCCATTTCTGCAGCCACAAGTGGCCAGAGGTGGCACTTGAAAACATAAATCATGCCTTTTGATGTATTATATTATTACTTTAAAACACTTTTCATTGAGGCTGGGCACATTGGCTCATGCCTGTAATCCTAGCACTTTGGGAGGCCGAGGTGGGCGGATCACCTGAGGTCAGGAGTTTTGAGACCAGCCTGGCCAACATGGCAAAACCCCGTCTCTACTAAAAATACAAAAATTAGCCAGGTGTGGTGAGGGGCACCTGTAATCCCAGCTATTCGGGAGGCTAAGGCAGGAGAGTTGCTTGAACACTGGGGGCAGAGGTTGCAGTGAGCTGAGATCATGCCAGTTCACTCCAGCCTGGGCAAAAGAGCAAAACTCCATCACAAACAAACAAACAGCAACAAAAAAAAACTTTCCATTGAAATATGATATGCATATATTTAAAAGTTATTTGTAAATGTTATAGCATTTTGCATGAATAGATAATATGTGCAATAGATAATGCACAGGGTTCCGAATATGTAAAGTCTGCAAGGCATGTGGTGAAATCTTTTCCTCCAGCCCCTGTCCCCCAGCCACCCTGTTCCCTCCCCAGAGGCAACCAATGTTAGCAGCTTCTTGTGTATTTGTCCAGAGATATTCTATGCATACACAGCAAATCAAATATAGATGATCTCTGCACTTTTCACAAAAGCTTATTATACACCTTATTCTGCACCTTGTATTTTTCACCTAACCATATACTTTGGAGGGAGTTCTGTATCTGTGCACAGGAGCTGTGCCATTGTTGGTTTTATGGCTATGCCGTAACTGTATTCAACCAGAGGTCTGTAGATGGACCTTGCAGTTGTTTCTATTTTTTTTTTTTTTTGCTGTTATGAACAATGCTGCAGCTCCTGACCTGATATAATTTGCATCTGTGCAGTATGTCTGTAGGATAAACTCTTCAAAGTGAGATTGCTAGATCACAGGGTCTGCATTTATAATTTTGATGGATGTTGGTTGGATGTGGCAGCTTATGCCTGTAATCCCAGCACTTTGGGAGGCTGAGGCAAGTGGATCACTTGGGGTTAGAAGTTTGAGATGAGCCTGGCCAACATGGTGAAACCCCGTCTCTACTAAAAATGCAAAAATTAGCCAGGTGTGGTGGCACATGCCTTAGTCCCAGTTACTAGGGAAGCTGAGGCAGAGGAATCGCTTGAACCTGGGAGACAGAGGCTACAGTGAGCCGAGATGGCGTCATTGCACTCCATCCTGGGTGACAGAGCGAGACTCTGTCTTAAATTTTTTTTTGTAATGGATGTTGTCAAATCCCCTGCAGAAAGGTGTGACCAGTTTTCCCTTGAAACAGCAGTGTCAGAAAGTGATGAGGGCCCCTTAAAAAGATGTTCCCTGCATGTCCCTGGCTGGGCAAGATCCTGGATGCCCCTCCTTCATTCACCCCAAGGGCCTAAGTGAGGGCTGCCATTGGATGAACCCTTCCTATGGACCAGAGCCCTAATCTTTTCTTTCCTAAAGTTGCTTAATTATCAGAATCACCTGGGAGAGATGCTTAAAATACAACAAATTCCTGGGTCTCCTGGCAGACTTGCTAAATCAGAATCTCTAGGGGATCCTGGAATTGGTGTTTCTAACAAGCTCCCTAGTACATGCTGACTGACACAATCTCATTTAATTCTCACTCCCCCACCCCTCCTCCTCTTTGGGGGTCATTGTTCCCATTTAAGAGACGAACAAATCAAGGCTCTGCATCAAGTGGCCCCAGAGAGAGACTCGGGGAGTTGGACATGATGTGTCTACCTTCTGCTTGCTGCCAGAACTTCATGTGTACTCTTATTTTGTATTTGCTTTTAGGAGCTCTCCAGTCGTGGGGTCTTTGGCTTGGTTGTCCCCTGCTGGTTCTAATGGCCAAGCTCCTGTGGTGAGTGGCCTGAGCACATCGTCCTGTGTTGCCCCAAGCAGCTGGCCAACGTGTGTAGAGACAGGATGCTCCAGATGGTGGGACACCGTTCCCTGGATCCAGACCCTCATCTAGGGCAGGGAAACCCTGGGGCCTTGATGGTGAAAATGCACCCCAAATGAAAAATAATTATTAAAAATGATCTTGCAAATTATTTTTAATTTTTTTAAATTTTAATTTTCGTTAGTACATAGTAGGTATATATATTTATGGGGTACATGAGATGTTTTGATACAGGCATGCGATGTGTAATAATCACATCATGTAAAATGGGGTATCCATTACCTCAAACCTTTATCCTTTGTGTTACAAACAATCCAATTGTACTCTTTCAGTTATTTTAAAATGTGCGATTAAATTACTATTGACTATAGGGTCGGGTGCAGTGGCTCATGCCTGTAATCCCAGCACTGTGGGAGGCCGAAGCAGGTGGATCACCTGAGGTCAGGAGTTCAAGACCAGCCTGGCCAACATGGTGAAACCCCATCTCTATAAAAATACAAAAATTAGCTGGACATGGTGGTGTGCGCCTGTAATTCCAGCTACTCGGGAGGCTGAGGCAGGAGAATCGCTTGAACTGAGGAGCCAGAAGTTGCAGTGGGCAGAGACCATGCCACTGCTCTCTAGCCTGGGTGACAGAGTGACTTTATCTCAAAAAAAAAAAAAAAATTACTGTTGACTATAGTCATCCTGTTGTGCTATGGAAAAGTAGGTCTTACTCATCTTTCTGTTTTTTTTGTACCCGTTAACCATCTGCCTCCTCCCCACCAACTCTCCCATTACCCTTCCCAGCCTCTGTTCACTCTCCTTCTACTCTATCTCCATGGGTTTAATTGTTTTGATTTTTGATTTTGCAAATTCTTAAGCCCACTCATCTCCTCAGCAGGAAGCCCTTCTCTGTCCCATTGCAGCCTCTTTTGTTTTCCAGCTTGGAGACAGAGAACCTGTGGGGAAGGAAGGGTGTTTTCTGTTAACAGCACGAGACCCTTACAATCAAGTTGCTGCCCTCACTTTAGAGAGATACCAGAGAGAGGCAGTGCAAGAAAAGGCACCATTTTAGCCAGGGCCTCATCTAGTTTCTACTTGGGCTTAATTTCACTTTCTTGAAGCTACAGGCTACATTGGATTTCTCCTCTACGATATTTAGCAGAGCTGAAATAAATGAATCCCTGAGCAGAAGCCAATATTCTTGCCTGATTGCTGGGACTAATTGATGTTTTGGTGGGCATTGCATTGGTTGGAAGTTAAAACATTTAACATGGCTCAACGTTAAATCAATTTAAAAATACATTTTTCAGGTGTCTTCCATTTCCTTGGGACTCAGCTGAATGGATGGCTGTGAAGTTATCATTAAACTCTCAAAATATTCCCTGTTTTTGGTGGAGATGGTGGTGGCTCTTCTGGTTTTAAGTTGCTCTGGGCTTTGGGGAATTGGTTGAAATAAAAAATAAAAGTACATTGGGTAAGTCAGTCACTGATGTGATCCTGGCGGGCTGAGAAAACTCCACCCACTGGCTCGATCCTGCTAGAATGAAGTTACTTCCGGGAATTGCCAGGATGCTTTTAGCCTTAGGTTTAGGAAGTCAGGGCTCAGGGAAGGGGGGCAGCAGTGGTGTTTGCAAACACCTTCTCGAAGACAGCATCACAGCTGCTTGTCAGGGCGTTTCCCTGGTGGCATCCTAGGTGCTTCTGTTCTGCCATCAGCACACCTTGGGTTCTCCTCCTAGTCACCTATCCACAGTAGACATCTCATCTGGAGGTAAGAAAACTGCATGTTTCCGAAAATCTTGGTGTCCCTAAAAGGCGGTGGATTTTACAAAGCGTCATGAGTAGGTGTTGCAGAGGCTGGAGTGTATTTTCAGAGGTCACGTGGTTTTATAGAAAACTAAGACTGCAGTGTGAAAGGTGTGATCCTGTGATCCTGCACGTGTTATTTAATGTCTGACTTGGTTTTCCTTCATCCTGGCAGGGAAGTAGCAGCAAATGGGTGCTCCTCAGGTACAGAACATTAATTTTTTTTGTTTTTGTTTTTGAGATGGAGCCTCACTCTGTCACCCAGGCTGGAGTGCAGTGGCATGATCTTGGTTCGCTGCAACATCCACCTCCCGGGTTCAAGTGATTCTCCTGCCTCAGCCTCCTGAGTAGCTGGGATTACAGGCATGCGCCACCATGCCCAGCTAAGTTTTGCATTTTTGGTGGAGACGGGATTTCACCATGTTGGCCAGGCTGGTCTTGAACTCCTGGCCTCAAGTGATCCGCCTGCCTTGGCCTCCTAAAGTGCTGAGATTACAGGCATGAGCCACCGTGCTTGGCCCAGAGCATTAATTTTCTTACAAACAGCAGCCCCCAGTTTAGCTGGGCTGGACCAGCTGCTTGGAGAGGGGTTCTTGATGAAAACCTGTCTGCACAGACTCCCATGAGGATGTCCTTGGATCTCAATCGGTATTCTCACTTTCTGCCAGTCTTGGATTATCCTGGACAAGAAAAAGCAAACAGTAACAAAATCCACTCTCCTGCGAGTCAGGCTTCACACTGCCGACTTCATGTAGCTTTTGTATTTCATCTCTCTTTCTGGTCATTTGTTTCTGATCTAATTCCTGTTTCTTTCCTCCCATCTTGAATAATGACTCCCATTACAGAGGTCTGACTCTGGGTCAGGCTGTCTAAGGGCTTTCACTGTGTCATTAGCTCATTTCATTGTGGCCATGCTCCTGCCAGGTAGGCACTGTTAGGATTCCCATTTACCAGATGAGGGGACTGAGTGTGAGAGAGGTTAAGGAGCTCTTGTCTAAGCTTCCCAGATAGGACAAATTTGAATCCTGACTTCTTTATCTCTGTACTGTGCTGCCTCCTGGACGGGTGTCCTTTAACTTCTCTAATAAGTCAGATCAGAGAGAGATTCTGTAAATCCCTTCACCTCCTCCTCTGGCGGGAGGACAGTTTGCCTCACAGCACATATAATTGGTGATCATCCCAGGCAGGAAGACAAATCTAGCTGATGCCCTGCAGGAACCCCAGGGTCTCAGGTTGAAATGCACCGTCCTTTGCATGCAGGAAAGCAGCAGGTCACGCTGGCAGGTGCTGCTCCCATTCACCTTTCAATGTCAGCTCTCCTGATGGATTTCTAGCCTCCATCCTTCACAGCCCTCCTCAGCTGGAGGCAGGGATCACTGGCACTTGTATGCAGATCACAGCATGTTGGCTCTGGTTCTTATCGGTCAGGACCTGTGCCATTCTGGCTTCTAAATTTTTTGAATATCACCCCAGTTAGATCCTTTTGCAGAATCTCTACCTTCAGGCCCGCTCCAGACACCAAGCCTGGCTTGATGGGGGCTGCAACTTCAGCCTAACATCCAGTGGAACTTACAATGAAGTTATCCTCTCTAGTCCTGGTACCCAGGGGTTCAGCCACAGCTGCTTGTGATGGGCTGTACTACCAAACAGAGGTTACTGTGTCTTGGGGCATGTGTGTGTTTACTCTGCTTTACTGAAGTCATGGAAGAGAGTTACAACACAGTAAACAACTTAATATTCAATACTAGGCATTTTTTGTCCTTAAAAGTCCTTTGCCCACTTTTGCCTCTTGAGGGGCCTTTAGAAATATTGGGCCAGGCCTGGTGGCTCATACCTATAATCTTAGCACTTTGGGAGGCTGAGGCAGGAGGATCACTTGAGGCCAGGAGTTCATGTCCAGCATGGGCAACATAGGGAAATCCTGTCCCTACCAAAAAAAAAGAAAAAAAGGCTGGGGGCAGTGGGTGGGTCACTCCTGTAATCCCAGTATTTTAGGAGGCTGAGGCGGGCAGGTATCTGAGCTCAGGAGTTCAAGACCAGCCTGGGCAACATGGTGAAACCTCGTCTCTAGTAAAATACAAAAAATTAGCTGGGAGTGGTTGCACGTGCCTGTAGTCCCAGCTACTTGGGAGGCTAAGCAGGAGAACTGCTTGAACCTGGGGGGTGGAGGTTGCAGTGAGCTGAGATTGCACCACTACATCTGAGTCTGGGCAACAGAGTGAGACTCTGTCTCCAAAAAAAGAAAAATTAGCCCCCGCCTGGTGGCACACACCTGTAGTCCCAGCCACTCAGGAGGCTGAAGTGGGAGGATCAGTTGAGCCCAGAATTTTGAGGCTGCAATGAACTATGATTGTGCCACTGCACTCCAGCCTGGGTGATGGAATGATCTATATCTATCTGTATATGACATATATATCTCTCATATATGAGAGATATATATGTCATATACAGAAAAGCGTAATACAAACTACCTATGGTATTGGAAGAATCCCAGGAATCGTTGGAGGTCTTGAATGAATTTGAAGAGGGTACTCAGTTCAAGACTACTTTAAGACACACATTTTGTAGATGTCCCAACTAGACACTGTGTGGCCTGGGAATATAGATGTAGATAGATATCTATATCTGTATATGAGATATATAGCTCTCATATCTTATATATATGAGATATATTTCATATATATAAGAAAATAATATATATGAGATACATATAACTCATGTATATGATAATATATCATATATAAGATAATATATGAGATATATATCAAAGATTATATTTAGATATATAATATATCTATATTATATTTAGATACATAAGCTATATATAATCTTATATATGATATATATTTCTTATAAATATATTATAACATAATATAATTGAAAAAAAGTAAACATTGCAGAATTCCCAGGCCACACAGTGTCTAGTTGGGACATCTACAAAGTGTGTGTCTTAAAGTAGTCTTGAACTGAGTACCCTCTTCAAATTCATTCAAGACCTCCAACGATTCCTGGGATTCTTCCAATACCATAGGTAGTTTGTATTACGCTTTTCTGTTGTCACTTCCCCGATTACTGATTGTTTCAGAAAGAGACATGGGCTTGGCTGATCCATGGAGATATCTGCAGCTTGCCAGCAGCTGAAGTCTTTATTTGCCTTTATCTCCGTTGTGGCCTCTGATGAGCCAGACTACAGAGATGCTGATGAAATCTGGGAGGCAATGGTGGAGGCTGTAGTTTCCCAGGAGAACTCTGGCCCTGGGGAATTCCTTCCAGTCTCTGAGTCCCTGTGGCACATCTCCATGTGTGGCGGACTAGGTGATTGCTCCTAGTGATTCTGCTTAGTTCCTTTATTAGAATTATAAGCTTTTTGCCATGTGACTTTGTAGTACATCTCAATAGGTAGAGTCTAATTCCTTGCCCTTCTAACTTTGGGCTTTGGTCATTGGAATGTGAGCAGACACATTTTCCCCCAGCAGAAGTTTTAAATGTGCTGCATGATTTGACTTGACCTCTTGGCAATTGCTTCTCATGTGAAGGGACATGTGGAGCAGACCTGAACTCAACCCAAACCTTGGAGCCAAGCTGAGCTCAGCAGAACCTAGCTGAGCTCAGCCAAGCCAAACCCAGTGTAATCACAGCCAACCTGAAGACTCAGAAGCAAGAAACAAATATTTGTTATAGGGATCTATTGGGATTTGAGAGCTATTTCTCTTTTTTTAAGTTATTGTTATTTTTTGAGATGGAGTCTCACTTTGTCACCCAGGCTGGAGTGCAGTGGAGTGATCTCGGCTCACTGCAACCTCTGCCTCCTGGGTTCAAGCACCACTAGTGCCTCAGCCTCCCGAGTATCTGGGATTACAGGCAGTGCCACCTTGCTTGGCTAATTTTTGTATTTTTTGGTAGAGACAGGGTTTCGCCATGATGGCCAGGCTGGTCTCAAACTCCTGACCTCAGGTAATCCACCCGCCTTAGCCTCCCAAAGTGCTGGGGTTATAGGCATGAGCCACCGTGCCAGGCCTAGGGAGTTCCTTGTTATTGTAGCAAAAGCTGTCTTATATATCATGTCATTAACATGCCCACCTTACACAGTGCTGGTCCCATTCTGATGACAGGAAGATGATACATTTTATCCTTTACCCTTACCATCATTTACTATGTACACTATGCCCATTTGTCAAGCTCTTCTGCCTCCAAAAAGTGCTATGGTACTTGATACCTAATAATGGTCTTTAACTTCTGTCATGCACCCATTTATTTCCCATCTTCAAGACCAAGGGTCCTAGAAATCACAGGAAAGCTGGGGTCAGAACTTATACTCATAACATGGTTGTTCCACCTACTTTGCCATGGCAGACTTTGTATCTCATGGCTCACTTAACTACTTCCCTTGAGCACTCACTGTTCTAACACTCATTTCCCCCAAATCTACAACTTAGCTTCTCTCCCTGGTGCAGTCAAGGCCCTTTTACCTGGAGTCTCCCAGAAGGATTTTCAGGTCATGTGCTATATTAGCTCATCCTTAGGGAAGAACGTTCCAATTGAAGAAGCCATCTGACTCTCCCCCAGGTGTGTGGTCATCTTCTTTGCTCATGCTGGAAGATGGAAGACCCTTTGAAGTAACTTAGTTCAACAAATCTGCCCTTAAGTTGTCTTCCCCCTGGGGATCTGCCCCATCTTCGTCTTCTCCCTGCCACACCAGGTTCATTGAGAGCTCACTCTCCCCCACGGTCCTCTCTCATGTTCCCTGGCATCTTGCAACAGGGAACTTGAGATGCTGATGGGCAGTTGGGTGGATTCTCAATGGTGGCCAGTCCAGCTCCAGGACCTGCCATACTGGAAAGGGTTTGGGGTTGGAGGAATCGGCATGACAACTCACCAGCCTGTATTCCACCCGAATGTAAGCTTCTGTGGGCAGGAGGCTCATCTGTCTTGTTCGCTGCCGTGTTGCTACTGCCAAGCAGTCCCCAGTAGGCTGGTCATGGCTGGTGTCCATTACATATTTGTGCAGCGTATGGGTGAACATACACACATCCTTTCTGAAACAAAATTGAACTCAGTAGGACACTCACTCAGGCAAAGTTTGGGAAGCTTTAGATCCATTCTGGAGGAGGGGGGAGATAGAATCAGAATATATTCATTTAACAAACATTTATGGAGAAGCTACTTTTTTGGCAGACCCCATGCTACAGAAGCAACAGTACACAAAGCCCTGCTTTCATGAAGCTTACAGTCTACCGGGGACTGGGAGAGGCGGACCATAAACACACACATGCACACATATACATGTTCACATCCACACACCCCTGTATCAGATAGTGATAAATATTATGGAGCAAAGAAATCTGGAGGAAAGGATCGAGAGCTCCAGATGGTGATGGTAGGGATAGGGGTGGTGCAGAACAAGCTTTAATAAAACATTAGGTGGTCAGTAAAGGCTCTGCCCTCAAGAGGGATACAATCGCTTCTTAAAGGTCCCACCTCTCAATGCTCCCACTTTTGGGATTCAGTTTCAACATGAGTTTTGGGGGGTCATTTGAATCATAGCACATGGTGTCCACCATCAGCTCTAAGTTTACAGCCTAACACTTCCGCAATAACAAGAAAGAGAGAGAGAGAGAGAGAGAGAGAGAGAGATCTTTCCTAGTTACTTCAGCAAAAGTCCCCAGGTTAGGTCTGATTGGGCTTGCTTGAGGCAGGTGCCCATTTCTGATCTGACCACTGTGGCCCAGACAATGGTTACACCAATTGGCCAAGGCTAGGTCTGATTACCCTAAATCCTACCACAAATAACATTGACTGAGCAGGAAAGGACTGATTCCAGAAGAGATCAATTACTAAAATGTGGTAGGCAGAATTCTGAGATGGCCCCCAAGATCCCTGCTCCCTGGTGTGCACAATCTGTGCAATCTCCTCCTCTCCAGTGCTGCACAATTAGAGGATGTGATGGAATAGCCCTGCCCTGACTGGGCTACTAGTTAGTTGATTTTGAGTTAATCAAAAGGGAGAACATCTGGGTGGGCCTGACCTAATCAGGTGCACCTTTAAAAGGGACTAGGCCCTTCCTGAAGTCAGAGATGCTCAAAGTGTGAGAAAGCCTATGGAGAGGCCACAGGGCAAGGACCTAGGTTTGTCTTTAGGAGGTAAGAGAGGTCTCTGGTCGATAGCCAGCAAGAAAACAAGACCTCAGTCATATTGATGCAGGGTAGATGAACTCCAAACTGGGGCTTAGCCTGTGAGGGTTCTTGGCCTTGCCCAGGAAAGAATTCAAGGGCAAGCTGGAGGTAGAAGAAAACAGCTTTACTGAAGCGGTGGTGTTACAGCTCCTGCAGTGTTACAGCTCCATGACGGCTCCTGCAGAGCAGGGCTACCCTGTAACCAGAGAGTGGCATCTCTGGGCAGTTTTGCAGTCATATTTATACCTGCTTTTAATTATATGCAGATTCAAGGGTGGTTTCTGCAGAACTTTCTAGAGAAGGGGTAGTAACTTTAGGTCATCAGGTCATTGCCATGGAAAGGGGTGGTAACTCCCAGGTATTGCCGTGTCAATGGTAAACTGACCTGGCACACTGGTGGGTGTGTCTTAGGGAAAGCTGCTTCCCTCCCAGCTCTGTTTTAGTTAGTCCTGAACTTGGTCCGGTGTCCAAGCCCCACCTCCAGAGTCAAGTCCTGCCTCCTATCTCAAGATAATCAGAAGGAGCGGAAGTCTGAAAACAACCAATCATCCTGGAAGAAGACCCTGAGCTTTAGATAAGACTACAGCTCCAGCTGACACCTTGATTTCAGCCCCATGAGACCCTGAGCAGAGAATCCGGTTGAGCCGTGCTTGGATTTTGACCTATAGAGCTGTGAGATAATACATTTGTGTTGCTTTAGTTGATGCACTTCTGTCAATTTGTTACACAGCAATGAGAACTGAATAAGGGAGAAACAAATGCTGGGTAGACAGAAGCGACGGATGTGCATGAGGAGCTGAGACAGACAGCTGCCTGGAATTGAGCCTTACTTAGCCTGGAAGGTATGACTATGTCTGTGAATCCTTATTGGAAGAAGTTTTATTGGTCAGACATCCTGTTCCATGTCAGCCTCTCCCTCTAGGATCTTTTGCTTCCTGCAAGGAGTGGGGCCTGGTATGTTTATCTTTTGCATTTGTCATTTATAGTGAGTCAGCATCAATTCATCCTTTCCCACAGTATTGTGAATTTCCTTTGGGGAAGCACACTTTTGGTACTCTCCAGTGGATTAGGTGGCATTAGCCCCACCTTCACTCCAGTGCTGGGCCCTGATTCCCTTAAGTCAATTAGCGTACTCCATTCCCCAGGCCATAATGACTGATTCAGGGATGGACCAAAGAGAGCCAGGCTTTGGATTTTTTATTCAACTGTCAGAGTAAAGAGAAAGAACTTCTCTTTCCTCTGCACATGAATTGGGCAGCCATCTTGAAATAGTAAGAAGAGAAGCTTTATAAAGGAATGAAATTAAGAAATGGAGTGAGAAGAATGGAGTTAAGAAATGGTGTGAGGTCAGGCATGGTGGCTGACACCTGTAATCCCAGAACTTTGGGAGGCTTAGGTGGGTGGGAGGATTACATGAGCCCAGGAGTTCGAGACCAGCCCTGGCAACATAGTGAGACTCCCTGTTTCTATAAATAATGAAAAGAATTAGCTGGGCATTGTGGTGCATGCCTGTGGTCCTAGCCACTCAGGAGGCTGAGGTGGGAGGATTGCTTGAGCCTGGGAGGTTGAGGCTATAGTGAGCTGAGATTGCACCATTGCACTCCAGCTTGGGTGACAGAGTGAGATCCTGTTAAAAAAAAAAAAGAGAAAGAAGGAAAGACAAAAAGAAAAAGAAAGAAAGAAGGAAAGAAAAAAAGAAAAAAGAAAGGGTGTGAGAAACACTGGGTCCTGGCAAAAGATGTTGGCACCTGCATCAAACCATACCTGCAGGTTTGCCCCTGGACCTTTCAGTTATATGAACAAATATGGGTTGGATTTCCTTATACTTACAAGTAGTTGGGTTGCTTTCTTTTTTCCTGTTTATTTTTCTTGCTCATGAGATGCACACAAATTGTTTTTTATTATGGGTATAAGTGATCACAAAGTGCCCGTTTTCTCTATAACCTGAACAGAGAGAGTATGGGCATCTCAGCTTCACTGGGCCACAGCATCAATCTTTACCCTGAATTCAGCTTTGATGCACCTGAGTGCCTGATGAGCTACAGGGATCCTGTTTCTGAAAACTTTACGTGGGTGACAAAATAGCAAAATAGTGTGTGAGGCCTTTGCCTTGAGACCTGGGTTTGTTCCGGAGACAACTCTAATGGAGGAGAGAGATTTGCTCCTCCCACTCTCCTCGCTGACATTTGGCCTCAGGGGACTGAGTCATACCCGACTGACTCCATGTATATAAGTGTGAATGGCAGTCTGGTAGTCCAACCAGGTGATGCTTCCTGTCCCCGGAGGGTAGCCAATATCATCTCCTGCTTTTCTTCCTCCTGATTTAGCATCACTCAGGGCAGGAATTCTGGGCTGGAGGAGAGGGGCCTATAGTTCTCTTGTATGGTCTGAGTTTGCTCACACAGCAACCTGCTCTTATCTAGTCTGATTTTTTTCAACAGCATCCTGTTGTACCTTGTCATCTGGCTCTGTGGACAGGCCTTTCTGGTCTTCACACTGATGCAGGTTTGTTAGTTTTTTTCCTCCTTGTTAATGTATAGTCAGGAATTTAACATCCTTGACTGTCCTCATCATCGGACACCCTCACTAGTCTTGTCAAGTCTTAGCTATACAAATGAAAGCATGGAAGCTTGGAGGTGATATGTCATGATGCTGAATCCTAGGACTGAGCCCCGTGAATATGCTGTTAAGGTTCTTCAATCCCCACTTGCCTTCTGGGCCTGCCGCTCTTGCAACATCCTTGTGTCATGCTCAAAGACCTTTGCAGTGCCCAGTTCTGTGTTTCCTAACAGCATCTTTGTTTTGGGTGCATTCTTTGATATTGGATGCTTGAAATGGACTAATCAGGTCCTGGCAGGCAATGGATGCACATTAAAATCAATTACTTGAGGACAGTTTAGCAAAGAGAGTATTTACAGAAGCATGGACTGGGTTAAATGAAACAAAGGATGTGAGGTACTCTGGAACTGTCAACAGCACAGAGCCCTTACCAACCAGGTCTAAAAGGGAAGGGGAGAGAGACTCCTGGAATCCAGAAAGAACTGTAGTGTGATTACTCAACCTTCCTACCCACTGCATAGACAAAACCAGTTTGCTGAGACTGTGGTATTGCAGTGAAGAAAGAGTTTAATTAACTTGAGGCTGGCCATGTGGAAGAACTGGAGTTATCACTCAAATCAGTCTCCCCAAAAACTTGGAGGTTGTGGTTTTTCTTTTCTTTTCTTTTCTTTTTGAGGTGGAGTTTTGCTCTTGTTGCCTGGGCTGGTGTGCAATGGTGTGCTCTTGGCTCACCGCAACCTCCGCCCCCCGGGTTCAAGTGATTCTCCTGCTTCAGCCTCCCAAGTAGCTGGGATTACAGGCATGTGCCACCATGCCCGGCTAATTTTGTATTTTCAGTAGAGACAGGTTTTCTCCATGTTGGTCAGGCTGGTCTCGAACTCCTGACCTCAGGTGATCCCCTCGCCTTGGCCTCCCAAAGTGCTGAGATTACAGGTATGAGCCACCGCACCCAGCCTGTGGTTTTTCAAAGATAGTTTGGTGGGCAGAGGACTAGGCAATGGGTGCTGCTGATTAGTTGGGGATGCAATAGAGGTGTGGGAAATGGTCCTGGTGCTCTGAGTCCACCTCTGGGTAGGGGCCACAGGACCAGTTGAGTCATGAGTTACAAGTCCAGGTGGGGTCAGTTATTTGCCAGAATGCAAAGTCTGAAAAACATCTCACAAGACCAATCCTAGGTTCTATAATAGTGATGTTATATATGGGAGCAATTGGGGAAGTCACAAATCTTGTGACTTATAGAACAATGGCTGGTTCTAAAACTATGCCTAAGACTATGCCTCCATTTTAGCAGAATTCAGGCCCCTCCCTAATCTTGTGGCCTTTCCTTAGTTTTACAAAGGTGGTTTAAGCCCTGAAACAATGAGGGAATCAGTTTTAGTGGAACACTATTATCATCCTTGCTTTCAAATTAAACTATAAACTAAATTCCTGTCCAGGTGCAGTAGCTCACACCTGCAATCCCAGCACTTTGGGATGCCAAGGCAGGCAGATTGCTTGAGCCCAGGAGTTCAAGACCAGACTGGGCAACATGGCGAAGCCCCATCTCCACAAAAAATACAAAAAAGTTAACATGCACCTGCAGTCCTAGCTACTCTGGAGGGTGAGGTGGGAGGACCACCCTGAGACCAGGGAATTCGAGGCTGTGGTGAGCCGTGATCATGCCACTGCACTCCAGCCTGGGTGACAGAGTGAGGCCTTGTCTCAAAAAGCAAATAAATAAAATAAAAAAATTCATCCCATGATTAACTTGGCCTATGCCCAGGAATGAGTGAGGACAGTTAGCCTGTGAGGCTAGAAACAAGATGGAGTCAGCAACACCAGATTCTCTCACTGTCATAATCTTTGCAAAGGCAGCTTCAGTAGCTGTGAGAAAGAGCCGCCCAACAAGGGCTGTAGCAGCTTTTCCCAGTGGTGCCAATGCTTCCCTAGTCCAGGCTCTGGGGAATTCTCTCTTGGAAGACGCAGCAGGCTGGAGTTGAGGGTGGGGACTTTAATCCTCCTCTGCACATTGCCAGGAACCACCTTTTCCCTTCCAGAGCAGACTTTCATTTTAAAAGCTATTTTGTGTTCAGCTTCTGAAAGCCCATGTGTTTGCTCATTCCCAGGAGAATTTTTATGACTTCTACACTTTTAAAAAGCTCATGTGAAGCTGCCTGGCTTCTGTCTAGGTTTTGGATACTTTCTGCTTGCGCCTCCAAATCCGCTGTCCGTTCTTCTCAACTCTAGTGTGCCCAGGGAGCCAGACTGGCCAGTGGGGACCCAGTAGGAGATTGGAGGGTGGAAGGGGAGGTCAGGGTATTTATTCCTTTGGCTTCTTTCCTTCCGGGCTGAGAGTTTGCAGTGGCTCAGTTTCTCCCCAAAGGCCACAGTTCCTGTTGGGCAGCTCTGTCTTACAGCGACAGCTCTCTCTGGGTTCCAGGATTCTCTCTCTCTCTCTCCTTCCCTTTTAGACCCCACTGTTGATAATACCAGCGTGCTCCACATCCTTGTTTTCTCTTAATCCTGTCCACACTTCTGTAAATAATCTCTTTCCTAAACTGTCCTCAATTACCCCATTGGAGTGTGCATCTGTTTTTTGCTGGGGCCTTGATTGCTCCATTTCAAACACCCAGTGTCAAAGAATTCACCCCTGAAGGCTGCAAGGGGAACCTCAGGGAAGCTTCCGCAATGTCTCTCTGTTTCCAGGTGGTAGTCCACCTCCGGCGTAGCCTGAACCAGGTCAATGAATGCTGCCTATTTTATATGATCAAGTTTGTCATTGAGGTCGTGAAGATGCATACCTCTTACTTCTGGCTTGGGGACAGTTGGGCACTGCCCCCTAGTTAATGACTGTGGATACAGTTCTCAAATTAATCTGGGTGTCAGCTGAGTCCATCAGCCAGTGAGTAGCCCCTGATTGCATGGCCAAGGAAAACCAAAACTTCACCAGGGTTTCTGCAAATGACTGTCTCAGGACTCCTTCTGGTTGCATGCTATCGATGTACCTCCTTGCCCCAGGTGTGAATCCTCTGAAATAATTCATAGTGGAACATTGTGGTAGACAGCTTCTAAGATGACCCCAAATGATCCCTGCCACCTCATATTCACGTCCTTTTGTGACCCCTTGCCCTGACTGTGGGCTGGACCTAGTGACTAGCTTTTATTTTTTTATTTTCACTTAAAAAATAATTTCTCGGCCAGGTACGGTGGCTCACGCCTGTAATCCTAGCACTATGGGAGGCTGAGGCGGGCGGATCACGAGGTCAGGAGTTCAAGACCAGCCTGGCCAACATAGTAAAACCTTGTCTCTACTAAAAAAAAAATGCAAAAATTAGCTGGGTATGGTGGTGCGCTCTTGTAGTCCCAGCTACTTGGGAGGCTGAGGCAGGAGAATCGCTTGAATCCAGGAGGTGGGGGTTGCAGTGAGCTGACAGTGAGCTGTCTCTTTTTTTGAGACAGGGTCTTGCTCTGTGGCCCAGGATGAGTACAGTGACACAATCACGGCTCACTGCAGCCTTGAACTCCTGGGCTCAAGCAATCCTCCCACCTCAGCCTTCCAAGTAGTTGGGACCACAGGTGCACACCACAATGCCTGGCTAATTTTTAATTTTATTGTAGAGAGGAAGTCTCCCTATGTTGCCCAGGCTGGTCTTGATTTCCTAGGCTCAAGTGATCCTTCTGCCCCAGCCTCCCAAAGTGCTGGGGTTACTGGCATGAGCCACTGCGAACAGCCTATAATTTCAACTTTTATTTTAGATGTAGGGGATACATGTGCAGGTTTGTTACATGGGTATGTTGTCTGTTGCTGATGTTTGGGGTATGACTGGTTCTGTCACCCAAATAGTGAGCATAGTTTGTCAGCCCTTTTGTCTCTCCCTCTCTCTCATCTAGCAGTCCCCGTTTTTTGTTTTTTTTTTTTTTTTGAGACAGAGTCTTGCTCTGTTGCCCAGGCTGGAGTGCAGTGGCATGATCTTGGCTCACTGCAACCTCCACCTTCCAAATTCAAGTGATCCTCATGCCTCAGCCTCCTGAGTAGCTGGGATTACAGGTGCTTGCCACCACGCCCTGCTAATTTTTGTATTTTTAGTAGAGACAGGGTTTTGCCATGTTGGCCAGGCTGGTCTTGAACTCCTGACCTCAAGTGATCCACCCAGCTTGGCCTCCCAAAGTGCTGGGATTATAGGTGTGAGCCACCATGCCCAGCTGTAGTCCCCAGTTTTTATTGTTCGTATGTTTATATCCATGTGTACCCAATGTTTAGCTCTTGCTTATAAATGAGAACATGCAGTATTTGGTTTTCCATTCCTACATTAATTCACCTAGGAAAATAGCTGCCAGCTGCATCTATGTAGCTGCAAAGGGTATGATTTTGTTCCTTTTTATGGCTGTGTAGTATTCTATGGTATATATGTACCACATTTTCTTTTTCCAATCCTCCATTGATGGGCACCTAGGTTGATTCAATGTCTTTGCTTTTGTGAATAGTGCTGCAATGAACATATGGGTGACTAGCTTTTAATCAGTAGAACACAGCAAAGGTGACGGCATTTCAGTTTGAGATTAGGTTACCAAACACACGGACTTCTGTCTTGCTAGCACACACTCTGTCTTGCCTTCTTGCTGTTACTGAACCTAACTTGGGTCCCCCTGCCCAGCACAGCAAAATCAAACATTGATATTGGGATTGTAGCAAGAGGAAGTGGGGTATTTATTGGAGGGGCACCAAGCAAAGATAATTAGTTAATGCTTAAGTCCCAAGCTCCCGGATGGCTTATAGGTAAGGATTTGTAATTGCAGGAAGGCAGAGGTTACATGCAAAGTTATAAATCAATATATGGGAGGCTCTACATTGGTTTGACCTAAAAAGGCAGGACGTCTCAAAGTGGGAACCCATGGGTCAAAGGTAGATTTAAAGATGTTTTGATTTGTAATTGGCTTAGGAGGAGAAGCCTTGTCTAAAAATTTGAGATCAGTGGAATGTTAGTTCTGGCCTGGGGTGTGACTTCCTCTACTCCCCTTAGGAAGAAATTTAGAACTGAGAAAAGTGTTAAGAGTTTAGCCTTCAGGTCCCCCTTATCTGAGTCTTGTGTGTTGCTGGACCCATTTAGTGGGGAGTCCTCATTTTTGAAAAACAATCTATGAACATTAGTTTTTATAGGGAAGCCAAACATCCCATGATTTTAACTTTTTTGCCCATTATTCTAAGCTACTATTATCTTCTTGCTTATTAAGTTGTTTATTGATGTATTTATTTATTTCTGAGACAGAGTCTTTCTCCATTGCCCAGGCTGGAGTGCAATGGCATGATCTCGGCTCACTGCAACCTCCACCTCCTGGGTTCAAGTAATTCTCCTGCTTCAGCCTCCTGAGTAGCTGGGACTACAGGCATGCGCCACCACTCCTGGCTAATTTTGTATTTTCAGTACAGATGGGGTTTTGTCATGTTGGCCAGGCTGATCTTGAACTCCTGACTGCAAGTGATCCACCTGCCTCAGCTTCCCAAAGTGCTGGGATTACAGGCATGAGCCCCCGTGCCCGGCCTTATTTATTTTTTAAGGGCTAGCTAAGTGCCTGGAATTTTTCTTAAAGGAACTTAAGATTTTTCTTTATTTCTATGTTTGAGGGTGGGAGTGCTGCATGTCCCTAAGAGAGGTCCCTGTTCTGCCTCATTGCCTGCTTGCTCTGATAAATCAAGCTGTTGTGTTGTGAGCTGCCCTTCGGAGAGGCCCACGTGGCAAGGATCTGAAAGCGGCTTCTGACAACAGTTCATGGGAAACGAATCCTGCCAATAATCATGTGGGTGCACTTGGAAGTGGATCCTGCCCCAGTTGAGTCTTGAGATGAGACCTAGCTTACACCTAGATAGCAACCCATGGGAGACCCTGAAGCAGGGGGCCCATCTTTGAATTCCTAACCCACAGAAACTGTGAGATAATAAATGTGTTGTTTTAAGCCACTGAGTTTTGGAATAATTTGTTACACAGCAATAGATAGCCGATATAGCAGTGTAGACTTTAGTTGATGATTCCGGTGGGGAGACCAAAGTGAAATTTACATTGCACACTTCACAAAAAGTAACTAACTAACCAACCCATCAGTCATTTCTGTGCTTCCTCAGCCCTCTCAATGCTGAGGGCTCCTCTTTCTTGCTCTTGTTCTCTCTCAATATCATTTTCTAATTTGGCCATGTCTAGCTTCATTGCATATTATCTTTCTCTGGATTGTCAGTTTTTTCTGTGTCCATTTTGGCAGAGAATTTTAGTTTTTTATGATTTTTTTTCTTTAGAGATGGAGTCTCACTCTGTTGCCCAGGCTGGCCTCAAAGTCCTGGGCTTAAGCAATCCTCCCCACTTGGCCTCCCAGAGTGCTGGGATTACAGGCATGAGCCATCACACCTGGCCCTTTCTACTTCTACTCCCAAACGTGTTGGCCAACTCCTCAAGGTATTCAGCAGGAAAAAATCCTCTCTATTAATGCAGCGCACCTTTCCTGGGCAGCAGTGTGGGTTATAGATACATGAAATATCTATTACATAAGTCTCTCAGCTTCTTCCTGCATATATTGCTATTCAACTGCTTAAAGCTATTGAAAAATTCATGCAAACAAAATTTTAATCTAACAGAGAAAATATCTTTGTGACATTGTTCAAATCAAGTTATATCATGTATGAAGGAGAAGCACATTCCACCGAGAAAAGCTTTTTAAACCCTCTGCTTTTTGACATTTTAACCAGTATGTTAGATAAGAAGGCTGGTATGGAAATATAGTTAGCAACATTGTTGGAAAATATAGGCTAGAAAAGAGTTCAAGAATATGTATCCATTGAACTTGATGAAATAATTTTAGAAGCTGAGGCTGTGAAATCTTGACAGCAAAACTGAAGAGACACTGTAGAGTTCCCATTTTGCAGATTTATATTTGGTTGGTTCATGCAGGCAGACTCCAGGAGAACTAAGACTTTGTTAAATACCTAACACATACCCAGTAAGAAGGATAAATGTAGGTGTTCACATCAGGGTTTTAAACACGTGATCCAATAAATCAGCAAAAAGGCAGCAAAGCAATTGTAGTAATGGTTAAAAAAAAAAAAAAAGGAGTGGGGAAGACTTCAGGAGCAGGAATTGTATAAAAATACATCCAAATGTGGCTATTTCTGACTACTTCATTTAAATGTGAGCCTCTATCCGTTCTCACCTGGATTCCAGCAAGAACTTCCTAGCAGTTTTCTCTGTTTGAGATTTGCTTTCTTGGGGTCTATTTTCAACAAGGCAACTGGAATAATACTTAAAAAAAAAAAGTATCAGGCTGGGCGCGGGGGCTCATGCCTGTAATCTTGGTACTTTGGGAGGCTGAGGTAGGAAGGATCACTTGAGGTCAGGAGTTTGAGACCAGCCTGGGCAACATAGCTAGACTCTGTCTTTACAATACATAAATAAATAAGTAAATACATACATTAGTCAGGTGTGGTGGCACATGCGTGTAGTCCCAGCTGCTTGGGAGGCTGAGGTGGGAGGATCACTTGAGCCTGGGAGGTTGAGGCTGCAGGGAGATGTGTCCCTGCCACTGCATTCCAGCCTGAGTGACAGAGTGAGACCCTGTCTCCAATCTCTCTCTCTCTCTTCTATCTTCTATTTAATTTATCTATCTATCTATACACACACACGAAGTATCAGAACATTATTCATGATAGCCAAAAGGTTAAAAAAACCCCAAATGTCCATTAGCTGAATGGATAGTTAAATTGTTGTACAGTATATCCATACAATGAAACATTACTTGGCAATTTAAAAAATGAAGTATGAGTAGTCATATTTATAGAGACAGAAAGTACAATGGTGGTTGCCATACCAGGGACTGGGGTGGGGTGGGGAATGGGAATTGTTGTTTAATGGGTACAGAGTTTCAGTTTGGAGAGGTGACAAGAGTTCTGGAGATGGATGGTGGGTATGGTTACACAACAGTGTGAATATACTTACTGCCATGAAACGATACACTTGAAAATGGTAAAGATTGTTAAAAAAAAACTCAAAAGGACTGAAGTGCTGATATATGCTACAACATAGACGAACCTTGAAAATCTTATTCTAAGAAGCCAGATGCAAAATGTCACATGTAGTATGATTCCATTGATATGAAATGTTCAGAATAGGCAAATGTATAGAAAGTAGATTAGTGGTTGCCCAAGGCTGGGTAGGGGTTTTGCGGGAAGGGTTGAGAAAATGGGGAGTGATGGCTAATGGGTAAAGACTTAAATGGGTGATGGGATGATAAAAAGTTCTAACGTAGATTACGGGCAGGTGCTGTGGCTCATGCCTGTAATCCCAGCACTTTGGACCCGAGGCAGGTGGATCACTTGAAGCCAGGAGTTTGAGACAAGCGTGGCCAACGTGGTGAAACCCCATCTCTAGTAAAAATACAAAACTTAGCCAGGCGTGATGGCACATGCCTGTAATCCTAGTTACTTGGGAGGCCAAAGTGGGAGGATCGCTTGAACTCAGGAGATGGAGGTTGCAGTGAGCTGAGATCACGCCACTGCACTCCAGCTCTGGACAATAGAGCTAGACTCTGTCTAAAAAAAAAAAAAAAATTATAATGATGGTTGTACTACATTGTGAATATATAAAAATCCATTGAATTGTAAACTTTAAATGGGTGAATTTTATGTCAATTAAAGCTATTTTTTAAAAAAGACCTATATGAAAAACTTGAATTTTGGGGAGTTAGTTGTATTAACCAGGCCCTATCCAGTCTTTTTTTCAAAATTAGAGATGGGGGTCTCACTCTGTCACCCAGGCTGGGGTGCAGTGGCGTGATCATAGCTCACTTCAGCTTCCCAAAGAGCTGGGATTACAGGCGGATGCCACAATGTCTGGCTAACTAAAAAAAAATTTTTAAGAGATGAGGGGTCTCACTATGTTGCCCAGGCTGGTCTTCAACTCCTGGCCTCAAGTGATCCTCTCGCCTCAGCTCACAGGCGTGAGCCACCATACCTGGCTTATCTAAGAAAGCCACCATACCTGGCTTATCTTTCTCTCATCTTGAGAAAGAATGAATTCAGTTTGGTTACTGCACATTGAAGAGTAAGCTATCCTCAACATCCAGTAACACACCATAGCCTTTCCAAAGGTAGAAATGGTGATAGGGTCAAATAAGTATTTGTTTCACAGCATTTGAAGAAAAAAAGGCAGATTATGTTATTCCTTTGCTCAAAACCTTCCAGTGGTTTTCCATGTTAATGAGTGGAAACTAAAGTTCTTAAAATTGCCTACAAGGTCCAATACACTCAGTTTCCCACCTGCGACTTGTTTGAGCTTACCCCCTACTTCCTTCAGCCATGCTGACCTTCTCCCCATCCGTCCCATGCCCTGGACCCACTCCTGCCCCAGGCCTTTGCACCTGCTGGCTGTGACCTCCGCCTCCGAAATTGTTTTGCCAAATTCCCTCATAGCTTGCTCACTTATACCTTCTTTAGTTCAAATGTCACTTCTTGGCCACCTGTCTGGCCACCCGCCACGGAAGTGCATTCCTGACATTTTCTGCTTTTCCGCTTTTCTTCCCTCCTTCATTTTTTTCCCATGACACACCTGCACAATACACAGTTTGTTCATTCTTTGGTTCATTGTCTCCTCACACCCACTCAAGAATGTAGTACAAAGGCAGGGATTTTTGTCCATCTTGTTCACCGCTGTATCCTCAGTACCTTTATAATGGTGTTTGGCACATAGTAGTAACTCAATAAGTATTTGTTAAATGAACAAATGAAAAGCTGCCATGTGTTCAAGAAGTCATTGTGTGTTGCATAGGAAAACAGTAGCTGTTAAGGAGATACCAGCATCCTACAAATAGTGGAGGAAAATGCCATGCAAGTTGCCAAATTGATTAAAGTGTGCCTTTTAACTTGTAGACTCCGGAGGGTAGCTTACACAAATATGAACAATTGTTCCCTTATATGTACAATTTGCCCCTGATTTTTCATTCCAGCTGTCACACAATTGCCTGGAGGATTTTTTTTTTTTTTTTTTGAGACGGCCGTCACCCAGGCTGGAGTGCAGTGGCACGATCTCGGCTCACTGCAAACTCCACCTCCCAGGTTCACACCATTCTCCTGCCTCAGCCTCCTGGGTAGCTGGGACTACAGGTGCCCGACACCACGCCCGGCTAATTTTTTTGTATTTTTAGTAGAGAGAGGGTTTCACCTTGTTAGCCAGGATGGTCTCGATCTCCTGACCTCATGATCCACCCACCTCGGCCTCCCAAAGTGCTGGGATTATAGGCGTGAGCCACCGCGCCCGGCCGAGGATTGTTAAACATCATTTAATAAGTGGGTCTTTGCTGCCCTTCTCCCAGGAATAGAGTGTATAGAGTTGCCCATGTGAGAAGCAGCCAAAGCCCAGGTCAGCACCTGCAATGAGGAGTGGCTGCCTGGTTGAATGGAGCGGGGCTTCTGTTTGAAACCTCACTGGTTTTCTCTGTTGACAACATCTTGATATATATGGCATGTGTCTCCTGACCTTAGTGGCCTCTCACAAAACTCTGGAGCATAACAGTGCATCTCTTTGAGATTCTCTTAGCAGCATAGTCCATAGGTGAATTCTCTATGGACTATGTGTCTTATATTTTAAACCAATTTAAACCAAACCCATCACAAAAGTACCCTCCAACTTTGGTGAAAACCTGTCCAGCCATTTTCTTATGATATTGTAAGACAGAAACTTAATTTTTTTTTTGGAGACAGTCTTGCCTTGTTGCCCAGGCTGGAGTGCAGTGGTGAGATTTCAGCTCACTGCAACCTCTGCCTCCTGGTTTCAAGCGATTCTTATGCCTCAGCTACCTGAGTAGCTGGGACTGTCGGCACACACCACCACACCCGGATGATTTTTGTATTTTTAGTAGAGACAGGGGTTTCACCATGTTGCCCAGGCTGGTCTTAAACTCCTGGCCTCAAGCAATCCACCCACCTTGGCCTCCCAAAGTGCTAGGATTACAGGCATGAGCCACCACGCCCAGCCTGTATTTTAATCTCCAGGTAAAATAAGAACCAGAAAGACTGGGTCTTGTGTTTGCAGTATGTGGAACTGCAAATTAAGACTTTCAAATAAGGTTGAAGCCCGAGAGACAATGGTAGGTAAGGGATGGGTCTGTGGAGGGCTCTGGACAAAAACCTATGTCTACCCACAATTGGTATGCAGATTATCTTGAGTAGTTGGGATTACAGGTGCCTGTCACCATGCCTGGCTAAGTTTTGTATTTTTAGTAGAGATAGGGTTTCACCATGTGGCCAAGCTGTTCTCAAACTCCTGACCTCAAGTGATCCACCTGCCTTAGCCTCCCAAAGTGCTGGGATTACAGGCATGAGCCACCACATCAGGCCTAGAAATGGTATTTAAGGTTTACTTATCTGATAACCTGATTTCCTCCCTAGAGAAAGAATTAAATTGTTTTTAGCTGATTGAATGGGGGCTTGGGTGACATTTCAGGAGAGTTAGAAAGTGTACGTGTATATTTAAAGACTGATTTGTAAGTTGACACTTGAATATATGTAAGAGTAGTCAACTTGGTTTGAAACAGTCTTTTTTATTCTTTTTGGTTTATTGGTAACTGTGAGTTGATTTATCCCTAAAATAGTTCAAAGCCTTTTCTGTTTTAGCTCTGGGAATAATGTTTTTCTTCTTTTCAAAGATGTAATATTTCTGTTAACACTATAGAAAGATAAGAAAGATAAGAACCTTCAGGGCTCTTTGAAGACAAAATTGTATTCTGAATTGGGCATTCATTAGACTGAGCGGATAAATCTCTAAATCTGGGTTTTATGATTTTAGGTTTGTTTGTTTAATGGATTTCTTTGCTTAAACTTCAGGTGCATGCATGATAATTTTGAAGAGCAGAGAGATGGACAAATGTGATTTGATTTATAAGTCTTTTCAAAGGCATTTGAAAATGTATTTCAGGTTTAGTTAAGCTTATTTTTCACACTCTTAGTTGAAGGCAGGAGTGATTGTTTTCCTCCCTCCACACCTCGAAAGATGGAATGGTTTTTCACTTATAAATTTTTCCATCTCAGAAAAGGAGGAGCAGAGGTTTTCCAGAAGGGTTAAGAATAAAGGTGGGGAAGGCAAGCCCTTGTTACCATAAGAGCAGGAATCCATACGGAAGAGTGGCTGGTTTAGATTTGCTGGCTTGAGAGTGGATTATTTTATCCAACTCTTGATCAGTGTTGTGAGAATTAAGTAAGATAATGGATTTAAGGGGCTTAGAAGTGTCCAATCAATGTTAGCTACTGTTGTTATTCTCAGTACTACATGTAGGCTTGATGGATATATTTGGAGACATTTGTACCAAGGGTTATGGGGCAATAAGTGCGTGGTTCACCATTTGGCCCAGTGAACTTTTCAGGACTTAGGATGAGGAAGGCGGGAAAAGCCCTGGGGCTGGCAGGTTTAGAGGGAGACTCTTGCATTATGGTCCTGAGAGCCCCAGGATAGGAGATGACCTTTATCACAAGATCTGAGAACTGCTGCTATCTCGGGCTTCTGGGATAATGAGCTGGAAGCTCACACTCTGACAATGGAGGGATTTTTTTTTTTTTTTTTGATGGAGTCTTGCTCTGTCACCCAGGCTGGAGTGCAGTGGCGCGATCTCGGCTCACTGCAAGCTCCGCCTCCCGGGTTCTTGCCATTCTCCTGCCTCAGCTTCCCGAGTAGCTGGGACTGCAGGTGCCCGCCACCACGCCCGGCTAATTTTTTGTATTTTTAGTAGAGACGGGGTTTCACTGTGTTAGTCAGGATGGTCTCAATCTCCTGACCTCGTGATCCACCCTCCCCGGCCTCCCAAAGTGCTGGGATTACAGGCATGAGCCACCGTGCCCGGCCCAATGGAGGGATTTTTTATAGCATTATGTCTACCTGGCTTTTCATATGACTTGTGTCCTGCTCATGCAGCTTTGATGACTTCTGAAGTACAGATGTTCCTTGACTTACAATGAGGTTGCATCTCAATAAACCCACTGTAACTTGAAAATATCTTAAGTAAAACTTGCTTTAATACACCTAACCTACTGAACATCATAGCTTAGCCTAGCCTACCTTAAACATGCTTAGAACACTTACATTAGCCTAAGGTTGGGCAAAGTCATCTAAAATAAAGCCTGTTTTATAATAAAGTGTTGAATATCTCACATAATTCATTGAACATTGTACTGAAGGGGCAAACCAGAATGGTTGTATGGGTACTTGAAGTACAGTTTCTACTGAATGCACATTGTTTTTGCACCATTGTAAAGCTGAAAAATTGTAGATTTAACCAATGTAAGTTGGAGACCATCTGTGTTTTGTTCCTCCTTAAAGCATACAAAAGTGTAGCCAAAGAGTGTTTCAAAGCTGGATTACATAATGAATTATTATTATTTTTTTTTGAGATGAAGTCTCGCTTTGTTGCCCAGGCTGGAATACAGTGGCGTGAGCTCGCCTGACTGCAACCTCCGTCTCCTGGGTTCAAGCGATTCTCCTGCCTCAGCCTCCCGAGTAGCTGGGATTACAGGCATGCCTGGAATTACAGGCACACGTCACCACACCCAGCTAATTTTTGTATTTCTAGTAGAGACAGGGTTTCGTCATGTTGGTCAGGCTGGTCTCAAACTCCTGACCTCAAATGATCTACCCGCCTTGGCCTCCCAAAGTGCTGGGTTTACAGGTGTGAGCCACTGCACCTGGCTGAAAATCCAGATTTTTGTCCAAGATTGCAGAATAAATTGCCTGGGACAAGTCAATGAGTGAGGAGAGATAAGTCAATGGACTGAGAAGGGGTAAACTCAGTCTTGCATAAACAGAATACAGAGGGGATTTGGGTGGATGGGGAGCAGTGAGTGAATGGGCAAAGATAGGACAAAACCAAGCCCACTTAAAGAACAATAATATTACAAAGGACAAAGTTGAGAATAAGAGGCAAAGGGAGGAAATTTAAAAAGCACATTTTTGAGCACTGACTAGTGATGCTTTCCCTGCATAATCTCATTTAACCAGTTTAACAACCTTAAAAAGGAAGTAGTAGTGTTCTTATTTCATAGATGAGGAAACTGAGGCTTGGAGACAGGAGAAATGTTCAGAGAAGACTGTTTCTAAAAGGGTATGTGGTTAGCTATATTCTAAACATTCTTGATACCTCCCCCAACCCCCCTGCCCTTGAATAGTCACTGTCTTCCCAGCCATCATCTATTCTACCTTCAAAACATATCCCCAGTTCATCCACTGCTTCCCATTTCCTGCATTGTCACCCTAGACTACCACTGCGTCTCAACATATACAGCCTCTCGATTCTCCTATTTCCTAATCTGCCTTCTGCTTAAATTGTTCTTTCAACAAAATCCAGAGAAACCCCAAACAAGTGCACATCTGATAAAGATACTGCCCTCATTAAAACCCTCAAAGGCTCCCTTGCAATTACTTTAAGAATCTCAAGTGCTCATGCTGGCCTGCAAGACCCAGCATGACCTTGTCCCTGCCAGCCTTTCTGGTTACATCTTCTTCATCATCTCCTTCATCCCGGTGCCCCACCAATGCAGTCCTTTCATGTCTCTAACTGCATCCTCGCTTTCCTTCTCCGTGGTCTTTACTCATGCTCTCCTTGCTACTTAAAATACTTTCTTTCCACTTTGCACTGACAAAGTGACTTGTCTTACAGTTCTCACTTTAAACATCACTTTTCTAACTTTCCAAATTAAAGTAAGCCTCCTGTACTTATTAAGAGTGGCATATTTTTCTTTGGGACACTTCACAATATAGAATTATGTACTTGTTTGTGTGATAATTTTTTTTTTTTTTGAGTTGGAGTTTCGCTCTTGTTGCCCAGGCTGGAGTGCAATGGTGCGATCTCAGCTCATTGCAACCTCTGCCTCCCCGGTTCAAGCAATTCTCCTGCCTCAGCCTCCCAAGTAGCTTGGATCACAGGCATGCACCACCATGCCTAGCTAATTTTGTATTTTTAGTAAAGATGGGGTTTCACCATGTTAGTCAGCCTGGTCTTGAACTCCTACTCCTGACCTCAGGTGATCCACCTGCCTCGGCCTCCCAAAGTGCTGGGATTACAGGTGTGAGCCACCATGCCCGGCCTGTGTGATAATTTGTTTAACATCTATATCTCCCTAGTAGACTATAGCTCCACCTGGTGAAGGAGTGTGTTTTTATTGCTCACTATTGTATTTCCAGGGCCTCATGAAGTGCTGCCAGGTAAATAGGCCCTCCATAAATATTTATTGAATGAATACGTGAATGAATGAATGAATGAACTGCACCTAGGATTGCTGACAATTCTGGCTTTTGGGACTTTAGTGTCATTTTTCATTTACTTTCTTAAAGAGCAGTAAGTTTAAACTTATACTTTCACCTAGAAGACAGAAGAGTTTTTGAAGCAAAACCTTGAAGCTCGTGACGTGTGCCATGTAATGAATGGATGTTCACCCAATTCAAAGTCCCTGTGTTGTGATCTGACATGACCTCTGAGCTTGCCACAATGAACTTGACCACAAAGACACTGCGTGCACTGCCAACCACAACTAGCAATTGAGTAGCAAGCAGTGGTGTCAATCTTAAAAGCCTAAGATATTCTTAGATGCTTATTTTTATAATCAGTTTTATTATAGAGTTGCTAAAATGGGCCCAAACCATATGTCTCTCCATCGAGAAAAGTCAGCACTGACTGCATGAAACAAAACACTTGCAGAGACATTGAAAAGCCACTTGTTTGACTTTGGAAATAGAGCGCTAGTATTTTTTGCAACTCAAAAGACAAGCCTTGTCTTGGAGCAGTACAAGGAGAAGTGCAATCAAACAAATAGATAAAAAATCATTTGTCTCTTCATTCGAGGTCGGTTTAGAATCACTATGAAAGGTATATGCAATAATAGAAAGCCTGGTGAAGCCCGGAGCTGCAGAAAAGGGTTGAAATTATTTTGGGTCAAAAAGAGGCAGCCAAGTTGAAAAAGGTGCCCTTATTGAGTGACACCATCAAATGGGTTCAAAAGACGTGCTTGAAAATTGGTGGAGAGTCCCAGAGGCAGCTAGTTCTTTACATTTTGATGAAAGGGGGAGACATCCATGACTTGGCTATTTTGCCATCTTTAAAATAATGAAGTCTAAGAAGGTATGCTGATTTTCCCAATGCTGAATGGTATAGCAGCTGGTGAATTTTCAATAAGATACACTTTTCTCCTGTTCTAGCAAGTTTTGATATTTGCCATTTGGTTCCAGAAACTTATTGTGTCTATGTTCCTAAAGCACTTTGACTCTGAGAGAGAGGACAAACTGAACCTGATATATGATGTTTGTGCCCCTTGACGGAGGCTGAATTTTCTGAACTTGAATGATCAATACAACAGTGTCTTGCTAAAAATTGTCTCGCAGAAAATTTTTCATTCATTTTTCTTGATGGCAAGTAATGTATTCCTTCATCAGAACAATTAAACATCTTTAATGATTTTTAAAGACAGGGTGTAATTACATGCACATGATAAAAATTTAAGCAGCACCAAGGGCGTACAGTGAAAATTAAGTCTCTTTCCTGACTGGAGATCATAGTATGAGTGTTTCATGGCTCCTTTCAGAGAGATTCCATGTCTAGCATTTATACATGCACATAAATTCATTTCCTTTTTAAAATTAACACAAATGACAGCATGCTGTATTCTCTCTCTTTTAAAACATTGAGATGGGGTCGGGCACGGTGGCTCACGCCTGTAATCCCACACTTTGGGAGGCCGAGGCAGGCAGATCTCCTGAGATCGGGAGTTCAAGACCAGCCTGACTAACATGGAGAAACCCCGTCTCTACTAAAAATACAAAATTAGCCGGGCGTGGTGGCACGCACCTGTAATCCCAGCTACTCAAGAGGCTGAGGCAGGAGAATTGCTTGAACCCAGGAGGCGGAGGTTGTGGTGAGCCGAGACTTTGCCATTGCACTCCAGCTTGGACAACAAGAGTGAAACACCATCTCAAAAAAAAAAAAAAAAAATTGAGGTGAAATTCACATAGCAAAATTAGCCACTTTAAAGTGTACAATTCGGTGACATTTTACTCCATTCACACTGTTGTTCGGTTATCACTTCTGCCTAGTCCCAAAACGTTATGTTCTCTTTTGCAATTTACTATTGCTCTTTCACTTAAAAATCTATCATGGAGATTGTTCCATACTAATACATATAGATTCATGTCTTCCATCTTCATCCTATGGGTAACCCTTGTGCCAGACCTGGAGATGAGCTGCTCAGATCTTCCTTAAACAAAGGCTCTCTGTCCAGCTGTGGGGAGTGAGGAGCTGATAGCCTTAACCTGGCAGCTCTTTCAGGGTCCCCTTAGCTGTTAAGTCATGGTCATGCTCTTCTTGGAGTGGCTCCCATCCAGTGACTGAGGGTACAAGGGCCTGACCATTTCTCTAACAGGCAATCTTTGCTGCCTTCTGAAATGGTGGTAGCTCTAAATTGTGCTCTAATGGCCCCTCCTGCCCAATCCTATCTCTTCTGCTTTTCTGGCAGAGGTGTTACTCCCTAATGAATCTTTTGCATTCTATCCGGGCATGCGCTTCTCGGAGAACCCAACCAACATGTACAGTATCTCATGTACACAGTCTTCTAAGGATTGACACTGAGGTTGCTTCTGGATTTTTGCAATTACAGATAGTGCTGGATACAAATCTTTGCAAATATACCTTGCACGCATGCATGAGAATATCTGGAGAATAAATTCCTAGGGTCTAATTGTGGGTCTATTTAAATTTTGCATAAAAATTTGATACATGTTTTCTAACCACCTGCTCCTCCCAAGAGGTTGCACCAGCTTACAGTCCCACCAATCAGGGAAGAGGGATTTTTTTTTTTTTTTTTTTTTTTTGGGACAGGGTCCGGTCCTGCCACCCAGGCTAGAATACAGTGGCGTGATCATGGCTCATGGCAACCTGGTCTTCCCCAGTTCAAGCAATCCTCCCGCCTCAGCCTCCCCAGTAGCTGGGATGATAGCCGCATGCCACCACACCCAGCTAATTTATATTTTACTTTTTGTAGAGACAGAGTCTCACTATGTTGCCTAGGTGGATCTTGAATTCCTGAGCTCAAGCGATCCTCCCACTTTAGCCTCCCAAAGCTCTGGGATGACAGGTGTGAGCCACCATGCCCTGCCTGAGAATTGTCTTCTCACACCCTTGTTAATAGAACTATTATCACATTTTAAAATGTTCTCAATTTTGTAGGTGAAAATATGTCATAGTAGTTTTAATTTGCTTTTATTTTATGATGAGTGAGGTTGATTGTATTTTCAACTCCTTAAAAATGATGACAAGCAAATGAAAACTATTTCATACTAAAACAAGCAGAGAAGATAAACATTTGCCATGGAATCTTGAGATAAAACACAATGCTTTAAAGAAATCCTCCGCTTGTAGAGGGCTACTTTGTGCTAAATTTCCATACATCTTTTGGCACAAATTCTCCTTCCTATTAAGAAAACTGTGATAGAAAAATTTGAGAAGTCCCGCATATTGATGTAAGATTTTCTTAAAGTACAGGAGGAAAGGTGTCTACCTGTATAAGGGATTTCCTGAGTACTGAATCTATTAGGTTTGGACATTAAGCATGTCATAATTTAATATGTATAATGAGTTAAAATGATTTTTTTCGGGAGTTGTTGTGAGTTGGCAATTAGAATGTTTTAATTCCTACCATTGGTTACACTCTGTCAGGCTCCATGAGATAAAGGTAATGGCAGAAATAATTACGTTTCCTGTTTTCCCAAATGAGTCTAAGGAGGAACCAGGGCAGGGAAGGCTAAGCTCCCATTTCAAATGTAACAGCTGTGAGTGCAAAGGACCAGTGGGGAATTTGTCCTGTCTGATGACAGGGGCAAGTTGAGGTGACATAGGAAAGGAATATCATAACATTCTGAGCTTTGGTCACAGACCAAGGCTATATCTATTAATTAATGGTCTATTTATTTTTATTTTTATTTATTTTTTTGAGACAGAGTCTCACTCTGTTACCCAGGCTGGAGTGCAGTGGCATGATCTCGGCTCACTGCAACCTCCCCCTCCTGGGTTCAAGCAATTCTCCCGGCTTAGCCTCGTGGGTAGGTGGGATTACAGGTGCACAACACCACGTCCGGCTAATTTTTGTATTTTTAGTGGAGACAGGGTTTTGCCATGTTGGCCAGGTTGGTCTCAAACTCCTGACCTCAAGTGATCCACCCGCCTTGGGCACCCACAGTGTTGGGATTACAGGTCTGTATCTATTCCATTTGGATGATGTTTTGAGACTCATTTTGCTTCTTTGTCTCCCTTAGGAGCAGGAGACTTGGTGAGGTATATTGATTAGACTAGAGGGTAGGCTGCTGTCACAAAGAAGCCCTAAAATGCAGTGCTTCAAAAATATGATTAGGACTTATGTTTTTCTCATGTTATAATCCAGGTGGGCCCAGGGTTGGATAGGTAGCTTGGTTCTGTGAACTCATCTAGGGACTTGGGTTCCTTCTGTCTTATTGCTTAGTCATCTCCTGGAGTTTGTTTTTATTCATGTGACTGAAGCTGACTCACCAGCATCACATGCATGTTCTGGCTCATTGGAAGGGTGAAAGAGAGGAAGTGGAGGACCAGCAGTTCCCTTTTTAGGAAAGTGATGAAGATACTGACACATCACTTGCACTCACATTCTGTTCATGAGAATTTAGTCACAAGGCCACATCCAGTTGCAAGGGAAGCTGAGAAGTGAGATCCCAGTAGGGTGACCACATGCCCTGTTAAAACTCCATGGGAGGGTATAAATGGAAGAAGAGAGGATAAATTTTGGAGGACAATTAGCCATCGATGCCACATGGACTCAGAGCCTGGCAGAATTATGATCCAAGAAAGGCAATAGGTCTACGTCTATCATTAGCCACATCCATTCCAAACCTCCTGAACTGGCACCACAAGTGGGCAAGATAGTGGCAGGGGAGAAGGTAGCACCACTTTCTTCTTTGATCCTTCAAATAGGCCAGAATCTGTTATCAAGGGTGCCCAGTTAACTAACTTGGAAGCCATTCAGTCATTCGACAGATAATTAATGGAGCATCTGCTATGTGTCTGGCATTGCCTAGGCACTGGGTGCAGGGATGTCCTTGTGGAGTTTCTAGGAGAGTGGAGGAGGTAGATGTTTAACAACAAAGAACTTTGCTAGATATATAATTACAAATTATGACAAATGCCATGAAGGAAAGAGTAGAGGATTCTGTGAAGAACTTGAGATATGGATTTCATTCATATTAGAGATAGAGGGAGGTCTTGGAGGGAGTATTTAAGCTGAGATCTAAAAGATGTGCTGGAATTGGCTGGTGGATGATGAAAGGGAAATAATGGTCTAGGTAGACTGTCTTAGTCCATTCAGGCTGCCGTAACAAAATGCCATAGGCTGGGTAGCTTATAAACAATAGAAACTTGGCCGGGCGCGGTGGCTCACGCCTGTAATCCCAGCACTTTGGGAGGCCGAGGCGGGCGGATCACGAGGTCAGGAGATCGAGACCATCCTGGCTAACACGGTGAAACCCCGTCTCTACTAAAAATACAAAAAATTAGCCGGGCGTGGTAGCGGGCGCCTGTAGTCCCAGCTACTCGGGAGGCTGAGGCAGGAGAATGGCGTGAACCCGGGAGGCGGAGCTTGCAGTGAGCCGAGATCGCGCCACTGCACTCCAGCCTGGGCGACAGAGCGAGACTCCGTCTCAAAAAAAAAAAAAAAAAAAAAAAAAAAACAATAGAAACTTACTGCTCACAGTTCTGGAGGCTGGGAATTCCAAGATCAAGGCATTGGCAAACTCGTATCTGGCAAGGGCCTGCTTCTTTTTTCACTGTATCTTCACATGGCAGAAGCAGCAAATGAGCTCTCTGGGTTCTCTTTTATAAGGTTACTAATCCCATTCATGAGGGCTCCACCCTCATGACCTGATCACCTACCAAAGATTTACCTTCTAATACCATTACCTTGGAGATTAGGATTTTGACATGAATTTTGGGACACAGACTATAACACAGAGGAATTAGAATAGTAAATGAGAAGAGAAAGAAATTGTGTGGCTGGAGAGAGAGGCAGCATAGTTTTTCTATAGACTTGTAGGCCTATATGTATCAGAGAGCTATTGTTGCATATCAAATTCCCCCAAAAGGTAGTGACTTAAAACAATAGTCCCTTATTACTTCATGATTTGGCAGGCTGGCAGTCTAGGCTAGACTCAGCTGGGAGGCGTTCTGGATCTAGGCTGAGCTCCCTTATGCATCTGGAGTCAGCTGTGGGTCAGCAGATGCCTCTGCTTCTGGGGTAGGCTGGTTGTTGGCTGGGGCACCTCAGCTCTCTTCCACATGGTCTCTCATCCTCCATTAGGCTAGCCCAGGCAGGATTGTTCACATGGTGGCAGGGTTCTAAGAGAAAGTTGCTGCATGCAAAGCCTCTTGAGACTCATGCTTAGAACTGTCACGCCATAATTTCTGCCACATCTATTGGCCAAAGCAAGTCCCATGGCCAGCCTAGATTCAAGGGGTGAGGAAATAGATTTTAACTCTTGATGGGAGGAGCTGCCAAGCCACATTGTAAAGGGGGCAAGATAGAGGGAGGGGTGAATTATCAAGGGCATTTTTGCAACCAGGTAGGAAATTTGTGTGGTTGGAAGTCACAGGAGATTTTTAAGCAGGGACCAGCAATAACAGGGCACATAGCCAAGGTCATTTGTGCTGCACTGTGATGGAAACTTTCAAGAGCTTGTGTCTTACCTTGCCGTTGTGGTTATGAGTTCTTAGGATGCAAAGTCTGCGATGTCCTTTCCCAAGGCTGGACACAGTGCCCATCTGCCAACTCAACTCCCTTGGTTGCAAACAAGAATTGAAAGCTCTGTTTTCAGCACCTCCAGGTTTGCCAGTGAGGTGTTGTTGAGGAGATTTCACACAGACAGCTTAACTTGTTTGGAGTTGTGAAGCTAATACCATCACCACAAGCTGAGCTGTGAAGAATCCCAGACTTGTCTAAATTATAATTTGTTTGTTGGGCCTTAAGGGGGTCTGAAAAGCCTGTTCCAAATTCTTTCTCTCCAACACAAAAGCATATTTACCCAAACTGGCATTTCCCCTTTTGAGCATGTTTTTTTTTCAATGATAGTGTTTTGCCAACTATGGTGTGCTGGTTGTTAAGCTATTGTCTCTCGATGAACCCATGAACCCATCCTTCTAGACTTTTCTCTGCAGTAGCCTCTCTGCTTTCTCTCTCTCTCTCTCTCTTTCTTTCTTTTTCTTTTTTTTGACAGAGCTTCGCTCTTTTTGCCCAGGCTGGAGTGCAATGGTGCGATCTTGGCTCACTGAAACCTCTGCCTCCCAGGTTCAAGTGATTCTCCTGACTCAGCCTCCCAAGTAGCTGGGATTACAGGCATGCACCACCATGCCTGGCTAATTTTGTGTTTTTAGTAGGGACGAGGTTTCTCCATGTTGGTCAGGCTGGTCTCGAACTCCTGACCTCAGTTGATCCACCCGCCCTGGCCTCCCAAAGTGCTGGGATTACATGTGATAGTTTTTCTATAGCCTTGTAGGCCTATATGGATCAGATAGCTATTGCTGCATACTGAATTCCCTTAAAGGTAGTGGCTTAAAACAATAGTCACTTATTAGTTCATGATTTGGCAGGTTGGCAATTTAGGCTAGACTCAGCTGGGAGGCGTTTGTGTGACCTAGGCTGAGCTTCCTCATCTGCAGTCAGCTGTGGGTCAGCAGATGCCCGTGTGATGTTGGGGTGGTGCTCTGTGGAGCACCTTTTCCCGTCACCAGCCAGATGCTCTGTCATGAGGGAGACTGGAAGGAAGGAAGAAGGGGAAGGGACACCCTCCTTTTTGTTTGCTTGCTTTTCCAGTAGCATCTCTTCAGCAGTGATTCTTTACCCTGGCAAGGGTCATTGATTACAGAGGAAATTGTTCCAGTTTCCAGTTTCTTTCCCTACACTGCTAGAATCAGCCTCAGGAGCTCCCTTAGAGACACCAGCATTGTCAGGGGCCAACCCTCTCCTCATAGGGTCCCAGCTCCTGGTGGTTCCAAACTTCTAGGTTCTAATAACCCCATGCTCTTCCCTTTATTCCTTCAGGACAGTAACTGCTTTATGTAGTTCTTATCTCCTTGTTAACTCAAGGGTTCCCTTTTTTACTTTTTTAGTTCTCCCATACTGTTTAAAAAATTCTGATAAAATAAACTCATGCAGTTTCTGTTGTGTTGCCCAAACCTTGGCTGTTATATATAGTATATAAGATTATTTTAAATGATACCCACTTGAGCACTCAAACAAAAATTTGAATGGGCATTTATTAGTATAATATATATTATGGAAAAATATAACGAATACACAAAACTCATTAGTTCTTGAATATTATTGCTTAAGATTAAAACAATAAATTAAGAATGGGTTAACTTAAAGAACAATATTATGCAAATAGGACGAGTGGAACACAAGCAAAATAGCTGTGGGTGTAGGCTAGCTGCTGGCTGGGGCACTTCAGCTCTCCTCCACGTGGTCTCTCATCCTCCATTAGGCTAGCTTTCGTAGGCTTGTTCACATTGTAGTAGAAAGCATATGCATGCCGGAGAAAGCATATGCATGCAAGAAATTTTGAGAGTACGCTAGTGAGGTATGTCTACCCTGCCCATTACTGTAATAAAATGACCTTTTAGAAGGAAAATCATCTTGATTCCAAAAAAGGATCCCGATAGAGAGATTAGAAAAGTCATAAATTCAGATTTCCTACGTTTCTTTACATTCCCAGGTCCATATATGATGTCACCAGGGTTCCCAACGTAGCAGCCAACCGTGGTCATTCCCCAGCACCTGAACTCTATCCTATAGCTGACTGTTTGCTGGGTTTGAAGGCTGAACTTTACATATTCAGATCAACCAACAGTTGAGAGGGTTGGCTGCCATTTTGAAAGTCATATATAGAAAGAGCTGCACAAAAGCAACCAGTGGAGTCTCCAAAGTTGGTGGCCCAGATATTTGTGTTTCATCATCATGGTGTTGCTGAGCTCTGAGTTGCTTTCTGGGTGGCAGTCTGGAGGTCAAATACCACACCTGGGAAGACTGTGTAGCGAGGTCGGAGAGGGAGTTGGGGAGGCTTGAGGAGCCACTCAAATATCTTACCTGTAGCTGACAAGGCACAACCCGTAATGACATCCTGTTCTCAGAACTCTAATGCTATCTTGTTTTTTGCTTTCGTGACAAGGAGTTGAGGTAGTTATTTTTGTTCCAAGCAACTCCAGATGGGTGAAAGTCAACCCACACAGTCTGGAAAGGATACTAATCCTTCAAATCAGAGACTTCACAAGAAGCACAGAGGTGGCCAGGCCTAATGAGGTTACCCCAGTGGAAACTGTGAACCCAAAATGTGACTTCTGGATTATGTGCAAATGAGTAGAAAAGTGCAGCCCACTAAGTGGGGACCTGGCATTAGACAGTTGTCTCTGGAAACACTTCAGCAAAGGCTAAGTGGGGAACGTGTCCCTCCATGACTGACACTCAGTGTCATAGCTTTAATTTTATTTCACTTCTGAGAGGAAAGTTGACATAGGTGAGCTACAGATGGAAAGGAAGGGGATATGAAGAACGATTTCTCTTTTACCTAAATGTGACAGCAAAAATTTTTCAATTTATACATTCAGTCCTTCACAGAGACTTCTTAATCTTCAGAGAGATTGTGATGTGCTGAAATTTTCTGGTTGAATGTTTTTCTTTAGGATTGGTGGTTCAGAGATAGAGGCAAAAGCAATTGAGAACCACAATTTTTCTAAGATAGCTAACAGTTCCACTTGAAATGATCAATATGATATAGAAAAAAATGGTTCTTTGGTTTCTGCATTGATTTTAATCTTTTTGGAATTTTTTTATACACAGTGTCTTAAAAAGGACCAGGTTTGCTATTTATTGATAGATCTTCCTGAATGTCTCATCACCAAAACTTTTTTTAAAACATTGTTTCCTTAATCACTAAAGTTTGCCAAGTGTAGGAATGAAGTGTATCAAGGCAACTTGCTTGTTCTTGATTTCTGAATTATTTTTGACTTGTTCCTTTTCTCTGCCTATATCCAATCACTTCCCAAGCCCCACACACTGGGGCCATTCACTCATTCATTCATTCAACAAATATTTATTGAGCACCCGATATGTGCAACCTTCTTCCTCAACCTGGAGATATTTATCCTCAAAATTTTCATTCAGTGCTTTTTATTGTGGACCCTTAGCATCTGGTGACATGAGGTATCTGCCATTGGCCCAGAAAGTGTTCTGACATCTTTGGCATCACAAGCATCACTTAGATTAGTTTATTGCCTCTCTTGTGTCTAGGCATAAGTATGATAATGATCAGGTTTGCATATATCCATCAATTTAAATAGAGAAATAAATATAACAGAGACAAGGCGCGGTGGCTCACGCCTGTAAGTGAGGTCAAGGTGGGTGGATCATCTGAGGTCAGGAGTTCGAGACCAGTCTGGCTAACATGGTGAAACCCCATCCCTACTAAAAATACAAAATTAGCCAGGTGTGGTGGCGCATGCCTGTAATCTCAGCTCCTTGGGAGGCTGAGGCAGGAGAATCACTTGAACCCGGGAGGTGGAGGTTGCAGTGAGCCAAGATCGCACCACTACACCCCAGCCTAGGAAAAAAGAGTGAAATTTCATCTCAAAAAATAAAATAAAATAAATATGACAGTAATCTCTGTTTATTAAACACATAATGTGCCAGGTACTATTGTGGTCACCCTGCAAAGACATGGACCCCACCACCCAAAATTTGTTTTAGATGTCAAGACTGATGATACACCACATGCACCAAGAGGGTAGGAAAAGGTTTATTGCTCATATAATGAAGCTTTCTGAGAGAGCAGGGCAGATTCCCAAGCAGGTCCAAAAATGGCTTCAGAAAACCAGGCAAGGAAACTCCCTTAGCATTTATGGTGGTTAGGGATGGGGATGGGGATGGGGATGCGATGGGGATGGGGATGAAATGTGGGTCTGGTGGGAGGGCTAGGGCTTGTTGGGTATGAATTTCCAGCTGGTGCCAGAGGAGAGAGCAGCAGGCTTTCTTAGCTTGCCCAGATGTGGGGCAGAGGGGGAGAGGGAGGGTGGAAGATGTTAGCAGTCCCATATCAAAAGTGGAGGCAGACTGTTTTTCCCTCTACAATTTTTTTTATTATGGTAAAATACACAACATAAAACTTACCATCTTAACCATTTTGAAGTGCACGGTTCAGTGGTATAAAATAAATTGATATTGTTGTGCAACCATCACCACCATCCATATCCACAAGTCTTCATCCTGTAAAATGAAAACTCTGTACCCATTAAACAATAATTTCCCCACTCTGTCTTTCTGCAGCTGCTGGGGACCACCATTCTACTTTCTGTCTCTCTAATTTTGACAACTCTATGGGCTTCCTTTAAGTAGAACCATACAGTATTTGTTTTTCTGTGACTGGCTTATTTTACTTAGCGTAATGTCCTACAAAATCATTCATGTTGTAGCGTATTGCAGAAATTCCTTTTTTTTTTTTTGATGGAGTCTTGCTCTTGTCACCCAGGCTGGAGTGCAATGGCACGATCTCAGGTCACTGCAACCTCTGCCTGCTGGGTTCAAGTGATTCTCCTGCCTCAGCCTCCTGAGTAGCTGGGATTACAGGCGCCCACGACCACACCCAGCTAATTTTTGTATTTTTAGTAGAGACAGGGTTTCACAACGTTGGCCAGGCTGGCCTCGAACTCCTGATCTCATGATCCGCCTGCCTCGGCCTTCCAAAGTGCTGGGATTACAGGCGTGAGCCACTGTGCCTGGCCTTCCTTCCTTTTTAAGGCTGAATAATATTCCCTTGTATGGATATACCACATGTTGCTTATCCATTTGTCTGTCAATGGATAAGCATTGGATTTTAACCATTGGGAATTATGCTGCTATGAACCTGGAGGGGTATATAAATATCTTTTCAATAATCTGCTTTCAATTCTTTTGGGTTATATACCCAGAGTCAAAATTGTTGGCAGGCCTTTCATTGCAATTCGCCCTTGATATTTGACTGATGACTAAAAACATGCCATGTTTCAGTTAATTGAGTTTGAACTGGTTTAATTAAGCCATTATGGTTCTCTATGAGGCTTGTGTCCTGAGGCTGGTAAGGAAATTGAAAGTCCCATTGAATGACTCATTCCAGAGCCCAGCATTATGTCTGTTGAGAAGTGAAATGCGTGCTTTGTTCAGAACACAAAATGATATAAGAAGTGTCTTAGGGAGGCTTTGTACTGTGGTTTTTGTAGGTACAGAGACATGTGTGACCTTGATTTATATGTTGGATATCTATGAGGCAAGAGATTCGTGGAGTTCTGTACTCCAAAGGCAGAAACTCTGGGTAAGAAATTGTTGTTCCTGCCATTGGCAAGACTAGAAGGCCAGATGATTGGCAGTGGTCCATGAGTCTGTAAAGGTGTGTGGACGGGCTGATTATTAGCCAAGGCATCCTGGGCTAAGATTACTTCCTGAAGTTCCGCCAATTGTGTTAACCTTTGGATCCTCTCCTTTTTCAAGAATGTCCTGGTTAGGGATGGAATGCAGCAGCTTTCTAGCAAGCCCCATCACATTGAATGTGGTTAAGATCTCGCCCACAAAGATTGTGTGCAATGGCAAGGCTGTTGAGTGCTCCAGCAAAGGTATATTGTATCCCTCTGAAGGTGAAGACAAAGTGCAGCTAAGAGACTGTAAAAATAGGCATTGAACATAAGAGATTTAGCTAAATCTACGACTGCAGGGTATTTACAAGTTGCTGATTTGATGAAGTCAATAGTTTACTAATATTGGGTATGAGAACCTCAATGGGTAAGGCATTGTGACATTAAGATTACGGTATCAGCCAGGTGCAATGGTGCACACCTGTAATCCCAGCACTTTGGGAGGCCAAGGTGAAAGGATTGCTTGAGACCAAGAGTTTGAGACTCACCTGGGCAATATGGTGAGATCCTGTCCCTATAAAAAATAAAAAAAAAATTAGCTGGGTGTGGTGGTACACAGCTGTAGTCCCAGCTACTCTGTAGGCTGAGGCAGGAGGATTGCTTGAGTCCAGAAGTTTGAGGCTGCAGTGAGCTGTGATAGCGCCACTGCACTATAGTCACTCTGAGTGACAGACAGACCTTGTCTCAAAAAAAGAAAAGAAGACTTCAGTATCTATAGTGAGGCACTATTCTTTCCTTCCAAGCTAAAAGAGGTCAAATTGAGCTATTAAATGGAGAAGTAGTGGGAATAATCACTCCCTTTTCAAAACGGACCTTGCATAATGAGTTTCAATCTTAAATGCCTTGTTTTGATTTATATTAGATCTTATTAAATATTCTAACTAGGGTCAGGGACGTCTTAAATATTCTAACTAGGGTCAGGGAGGTCCAGGGGGTCACATTTTGTGTTAAGCCCATTGTAAGTGTCAAAAACCTAATTTAACTTTAAGTTATCACACTTTGGGTTAGAGCATCCCTGCCCACTATGAGATATTTTGGGGCCATGGGCATTTTAACTAGGCGGAGTTTAGGTAAGGCAATATGTCTGGTGGTTAAGGAGAGGCATACCTATTTGTCTTCCATTTATGTTCAGTAACTCTCCCAAGATTATAGGGGGTACCTTGTTTAAATTTAGTGGGATCCCAGGTATGACCATAATTTCAGCCCCCGTGTTGATGAAGGCCATTAAAATTTGCCAACGGGTACATCTCAGTAGATTTTGAAGTTAATTCACAATCTATGCTGCAGAGCTGTAAAGGCCAATCTTTTATCTTTTTGTTGTATACATTCTTTTGGTGCATCTTGGATTTCCAGTTGGGTCAAATTGAGGACTTCTGTTTCTGTTTTGTAGTTGTTGTTGTTGTTGTTTCCTCTGGCTCTGGCATCCGGGTGTTATTATTGTTATTGTTTTTTGATGGTTACTGGATATACTTCAGGGAGTGGGTGTTCTCTACCTTGCTTATATTTAGAAATTTCACCTCAAAGAGCCTGAAATTAATACAGTCCGAATTAGGGGCCTGCCTTTTAGAAATGGTTGCTTTATTGGGTTTAAGGACCCAGGGTTTAAGTTGTGTTTGAATTAACCCTTTGGCTATGTCACCAGGGTGCTAAGCGTATTTTTTTCCGTATAACTCTCAGGATTGAGAACTTTGTTGTGAGAAACACATAAGCAGCAGCGGCAGCAGCAAAACCATTCTGTAGGGTCCTAGTGAGTCACCTGTTTTTAGGAGTATGACTTCAGCATATACTTCCATGCAAGGACCACTCAATGGCATGCATATTGCATAGGGTATCCGTCTTTTCCCAAGCACTCTATAAAATGGGGACTAAAGTCCTGTTGAGACATACAACGAATGGTAACAGAGTAAGAGTCATTCCCCTGAGCCTAGTGGCAGTCATGGCTTATGCTGGAATTGAGACACACAAAGGAGTCCAGACACATGATCCAAGGTCACTTTAAGGAGGGCCCCAATCCCATGCTCCTGTTTCTAAATGCCAATTAGTGAAATTTCTGATTTAGGTTGGTTAAGTATATAACAGAGGCTTGAAAGCTCAGCAAATTCAGCAGAAAGCAGCTCAGCTCAAAGAGCAAGTCAGCCTGCCGGCAGCGGCACAACTCAAAGCGCATGCAAGCCAGCAGGCAGCAGGGCCTGTTCACAAGTCAAAGCCAAAGAAGAATGACCCCCGGTGGTGGTGGTCATTGCCTAGGCATACTGCTCACAGAGTTGTGGTCACCCTGCAAAAGTGGGATGGACTCTGTCACTCCAGATTTGTTCATATGACACACACACACACACACACACACACACACACACACACTATGACAAGGTTTATTACTCACGTAATAAGCAAGGCAGGCTTCCCTAGTAGGTCCAAAATGGCTTGAGAAAGCAAAGAATGGAGGTTGGCTTGGGTTTGATGGTAGCTGGGGGATAGGGTTGGGTTGTGGGTTTCTGCCTACAAGTCAGGCTTGTATAGTGTTGAACTTCTTGGCATCACCAAAGGAGATAACACCCAGGTTCTGTTATTGGTCTGTTCAGATGTGAGGCAGAAGAGGAAGAGGAAAGGTTGGGACTTGAAAGCTATCAGCAGTCAGATATCAAAAATGGAGCGAGATTATTGCAGATATATTATTTCCTTTAATACCTAGTTACAGATTGGAAAATAGGCTTAAATAGGCCACATGGCTATTAAAAAAATCAAATAGTGGAACTAGAGTCAAACTCTGGCCCATCTGACTTCCAAACCTATTCACTTTTTTTCCTTTTTCGGTAAACATGGGGTCTCGCCCTGTTGCCCAGGCTGATCTCAAACTCCGGGCTTCAACTGATCTACCTGCCTTGGACCCCGGAAGTGCTGGGATTAAAAAGAGCCACTACACCTGGCTCAAACCAATTCACTCAACCGCTAGGCTACATTGCCTCAGGAAGAAAGTAAAGGGTCTAAGCTCTAACAATCCAGGCTCTACAGATATCATGAAGGAAACATCATTTATCAGTGAAAATAAGGAGTTGGTCAATGTTAGAGTATAAAACAGAGAAGAATAGGGAATGTGGGCCAATTTGGGCTTGAAATGTATGTTGACTAGAGATCTCTGTCCCTTGGTATGGTTGGTCAGAGCAATTCATTATAACTCTATTTGATTATCCCCACTTAAAGTTGCTGTCCCAGTAGTCCGTACAAGCATTGGTGGACTTGCTGGATGCAGTGGCTCATGACTGTAATCCCAGCTCTTTGGGAGGCTGAGGCAGGCAGATCGCTTGAGCCCAGGAGTTTTGAGACCAACCGGACAAACATGGCAAAACTCTGTTTCTACAAGAAAGTAAAAAATTAGCCAGGTGAGGCAGAGTGCACCTATGGTCCCAGCTACTCAGGAGGCTAAGGTGGGAGGATCAACCAAGCCTGGAGAGGTGGAGGCTGCAGTGAGCTGAGATTATACCACTGCACTCCAGCCTGGGTGACAGAGCAAGACTCTGTCTAAAAAAAAAAAAAAAAAAAAAAAAGCATCGGTGGGCTGGAGTCTAGTATCAATATTAATTGCAGAGTTTCTTAACCTAGAGTAGGGGAAGAGAAAGAAGGGGTCAGAGAAGGGGCATATAGATGAGTATCAAGAGTTCTGTGCATCAGGCCGGGCACAGTGGTTTATGCCTGTAATCCCAGAACTTTGGGAGGCTGAGGTGGATGGATCACGAGGTCAGGAGTTCGAGACCAGCCTGGCCAACATGGTGAAACCCCGTGTCTACTAAAAATACAAAAATTAGCTGGGCGTGGTGGTGCATGCCTGTAATCCCAGCTACTTAGGATGTTGAGGGAGGAGAATCATTTGAACCTGGGTGGCGGAGGTTGCAGTGAGCTGAGATCGTGCCACTGCACTCCAGCCTGGGCGACAGGGTGACACTCCATCTCAGAAGAGTTCTGTGAATCAGATACGCGCGCACACACACACACGCGCGCACATAGCTTTTCTTCCAGTTTTCTTTCTGTTACTTTGAAAGTCATCTTTGAAAAAAATTTGGTGTCAAATTATATGATTATGATATTGTTCCATTTCAAACAGTTGTGGAATGGTAATATACAAAGTTTATGGTTATGGTTGTGTCAATGCCTATATTAATTTCTCACTGATAAAAATTAAAGAAGATATGCCTTGCCTTAATACTCAAGGGAATCTGTCTTTGTTCATATCAAGTTTAGCTGAATTGGGAAGTATGAAGAGATAAAAGCATGACGCAACTGACGTATCCCTTGGTTTCGCTTTCCTCATTGAACATTATGGGACACTAAAGCCACAATGGTTCTGTGAATGCAAATCGCTCATCAATGGGTGCATAAAACAAACAAAACCAAAGAAGCAACTTCCATCTCAGCATCTTTCAGTGTGGGTGTGTTTCCTGAGACAAACCTTAAATTTGGAAAGGCTGGAACTCCACCTGATCTTACATTTGCCCCAGCCCCAATGCCATATCTAGAAACATTCTACAACATTGTCACTCACATTGCCAAAAATGCAGAGTATCTGTACAACTGGGGATATCTTGAGGAAGACCAGTACCTTAGCAGTGATCAAGCTGGTTTATGACTTGGAGCAGAGAAATCAATAAAGTAGTGCCTCTCTCAGATAACCTCACCTACTCCAAAAGATGAACACTTATTTCTTTTTTTTTTTTTTGAGACGGAGTCTCACTCTGTTGCCCAGGCTGGAGTGCAGTGGCGCGATCTCGGCTCACTGCAAGCTCCGCCTCCCGGGTTCACGCCATTCTCCTGCCCCAGGCTCCCGAGTAGCTGTGACTACAGGCGCCTGCCACCACGCCCTGCTAATTTTTTTTTTTTTTTTTTTTTTTTTGCATTTTTAGTAGAGACGGGGTTTCGCTGTGTTAGCCAGGATGGTCTCGATCTTCTGACCTCGTGATCCGCCCGTCTCGGCCTCCCAAAGTGCTGGGATTACAGGCGTGAGCCACCGCGCCCGGCCGATGAACACTTATTTCTTCGGGATATTTTAAAGCAAGAATTGTAGCGATTTCTCCTTCCTTCAGCTTGCAACTGCGTGCAACTGTCGACGCCTTTCAGTGCGGAGGTAGTACTCTTTATGTACTCTTCATCCACTATGTGCATTCTGACACCTTCAGAAGAAACATTTTCTTTTGGTGAGTCCCGTTGGAAACATCATGCCTGAAAAGTTTATTTTCTTCAGACACAACTTTAACTGGGAAAAATGTCTGGGTATGGATGACAGCATCTGGCATGCCTTACAACACATATGGCTTCCTTGTTTTAATGGAGACGCTGCGTGCTTCATTACTTTCTACACTGGCATGGGGACTCGGCCAAAATCCTGAAGGGAGCCTTGTCTCGTGCCCTAAAAGCTGGCCTTTTGAGGAGTTTTTGCTACCGAATGGATGCAGAATATCGTGTTCTTCCTGTTTACATACAAGTATGCTGCCTTTCCAGGAAACAATTCCCCCAAGCTCTTGATTGAACCTGGGGCAGAATTTTCACCTTTATGAGAGTATGAAAAGCTCCTTTGCAGTTCCCCACCCTGTGTCCAAGTGTTCTCATTGTTCAGTTCCCACCTATGAATGAGAACATGCAGTGTTTGGTTTTCTGTCCTTGCGATAGTTTGCTCAGAATGATGGTTTCCAGCTTCATCCATGTCCCTACAAAGGACATGAACTTTTTTTTTTTTTTTATGGCTGCATAGGGAAGGGGCAGGGATAGTATTAGGAGGAATACCTAATGTAAATTACTAGTTAATGGATGCAGCACACCAACATGGCACATGTATACATATGTAACAAACCTGCATGTTGTGCACATGTACCCTAGAACTTAAAGTATAATAATAATAATAATAATAAGAAGAAGAAGAAGAAGAAGAAGAAGAAGAAGAAGAAGAAAAGCTCCTTTGCAGAACAATTTGGCAGGAAATTCTTTTACCACTGGACTTACTTGGAAGAAATTATTGTTCACCAGAATGAAGCCAATATTTCCATGCAAGGTCCTTCAGTTACTATTATGGTCAGTGCAGAAAAATCGTGAGCTTTTTTTGGCAAAAATGTTAACCTGCAGTGGTTAAGTCTCTGCTCTGAACTGCTGTGTGAACCAAAATCTTACCCTGCAGGGGGATAACTCTGCAAACTTCTCAAGGCTGAATGAAAGCGATTCTGCAGATTGGAGCCAAAAATGACAGCCTTATAAATTTCATGGCGCACCAAATCTGAAAACACCTTGAAACACTGATGAAGTCACTTGAAGGTTACTTACACTCAGATCATCTTCAAATTTAATGATAGATTCATAAACTCTTCCCTCGTTGACCCAGCCTCATTAACTTAAGGACAAAAGAAAACAGGCGACATGAATTTAATTTACCAAGTCTTGGAGGATTTGGTGTTTATTGACATAGCCCCACTCTAACTTGGCAAAGCAAGCAATGGGAATGTTAATTTTGTCTTTTCCTGTGCATTTTGGGGGTTCAGGGTTTTTGACCCTTAGTGCCATTTAACGGAAAATTTAAAATTGATTTGGGATTGATATCAAAGACTACTTCACAAAGCCAACTTTTGATTCAAGCCAAGAAATTATAGTATTTTCATTAAAATGTGATTTTGAGAAGAAGAAAATTTTAAACATTTGTTTTATTTGCAATTTTGGATTGACCCCCTTTACCATTTAAATAGGCCTTAACTCTTAGAATAAGTTATAAAATAATTAGATCAGGAGTTTTTTTTTTTTTTTAAGACAGCTTTTAACTTCTATTGATATACAAGACATACATTTCAAATGTAAAACAAATTAAATGCAAAAGTTTTGGTGTGTGTATTTTTGTGTGTTTTTCTGAGAAGGAGGAGCATAGCTTTCTTCAGGTTTTCAAAGAAACCTCGGATGCTCATACCGGAAAGAACTGTAGCATATGGCCAGGTTGGCTACTCTGACTTCGGTTCTACTGGTTCCAATTACTCCCAATCATAGGTTTAGGCTGTTGAGTTCTCGTCAGGCTGTTACACCTCAGCCAACTCCCCTTTTGAAAACAAAAACCCAGGAAGGTTAATCAGTCCAGTCCCTGGTCCTTAAGTTAATCAGTACAGCATTGAAGTTATGCATGAATTTCCCAAAGGTAAACAGATTTCTATTTAAATGTTATTGCTCTCATTAGCATCAGCAGTTTTCATTATAAATGTGCTGAGATGTTCTTTTCTAATCTAGTTTATAAATTATGCTTATTACTTTCAGATGTTGAAAAGAAATCATTTTTTTTTTTTTTTTTTTGGTTCCCAGTGTCCTTTTCCCTCACGCTTTTATTTACTCTGCTCCCTCGTGATGAGCAGTATTTCTATTACAGCCTTCACTACCTTTCTCAATGGCCTATTTCCCCCGAGTTCCTCTGATTCCCTGCTATTATAAATCCTCCTTTTTCTCCTTCTACTCTGAGTGTTCTTTCTTTGACTCACACTAATAATTGTAGTTACACATTTATTTTATTGTTACCTTCCATCTATGGCAAGAAATGCTGGTTTTCAATTACATTGGCTATATCATGTGTCCTATTTAGAAATGCATTTAAATTAAAAAGTGAGTTGATTTAAAGCAGGGATCAACAAACTTTTTCTGTAGAGGACTGAATGGTAAATAATTTTGGTAAAAAATTCAACAGATAATTACAGGGAACAGATAATGACAGTGGGTGTGAGAGTGACCTCAGAGTGCCAACAGATATGTGTGTGTGTGTGTGTGTGTGTGTGTGTGTGTGTGTGTGTGTGTGCAGGACCAAGGGAGCTGTGTTGGCCCTGAAAAAACTTGCCCTTTTCTATCCACTCTAGATTATCCACCAATACATTATGATACACTTTATGTTAGCCTTTGCCATTTTACAGATGAGGAAACAGGCTAAAGGGCTGGGCAGGGTGGCTTGTATCTGTAATCCCAGCTATTTCGGAGGCCAAGGTGAGCAGATCACTTGAGGTCAGGAATTTGAGACCAGACTGGCCAACATGGCGAAACCCCATCTCTACCAAGAAACAAAAATTAGCTGGACATGGTGGTGCATGCCTGTAATCCTGCTGCTTTGGAGGCTGAGGCACAAGAATCGCTTGAACCTGGAGGTTGCAGTGAGCAGAGATCACGCCACTGCACTCTAGACTGGGCGACAGAGTGAGACACAGTCTCAAAAAAAAAAAAAAGGGCTAAAGTATTGCTGAAGGTCACAGAACTAGTAGGTGGAAGAAGTGAGATTTGAGCCAGATACTCTGACCCCAAGACCCATGTGCTTCACCAATGTGCTTCCCTTGCCCCAATTATGTTGACTAAGGAATTGACTCTTCCCCTTAGGAGGTCTCAGTATAACAGAAACCAGTTCAGTCTTTAGAAAGTTGTCAACCTATGGACATGTGCTTGGCATCCTCCCTCTTACAATTTCCCTGCAAAGGTGAGCAATGCAAGCCCCGTACATGGAAGAGCTTGGCCTCTTCCCTTGTATCAGGGAATGGACTGAGAGCCTGCTTGCCAATAGTCAACTCCAGGTGTCTGTGCAGATGGGCAGGCAACTTATTTGTCCATTGTCTGCTATTGCTGTAATGATAAGGGATGTCTGCTTATGGGACAAAGCAACCACAATAATATCAACAAATAATAACAATTACGCCACACTTGTATGATTCACCAGATGTCAGACACTCTCCTAAGCACTTTGCATGTGTTGCATGTATAATCAATCCTCATTTGACACCCTCTGATGTCAATTGACACCCTCTGAGCTGGGGTATTAATGTCCCAGGGCTACTGTAACAAATGACCACAAACTGTGTGGCTTAAGACTACAGAAATCTATTCTTTCATAATTCTGGAAGCTAGAAGTCTAAGGTCAAGGTGTTGGCAGGACCATATTTCCCTCCAAAGCCTTAAGGGAAGAATCTTTCCTTGCATATTCCAGATTCTCGTGGTTACTGGCATTCCCTGGCTTGCAGATGAATCTCTCCATTCTCTGCTGTGGCCTCATGTGGCCTTCCTGATGTATCTGTCTCTGCGTCTCCAAATCTCTTCTTCCTCATAGGGACACCAGTCATTAGATTTAGGGGTCTCCCTAATTCTGCATGACCTATTCTTCACTTGATTACATCTGCAAAGACTCTATTTCCAAATAAGGTCACATTCACAGGTACCACGGGTTGAGACTTTAACATATCTTTTTTTTTTGGGGGGGGGGTACAATTTAACCCACAACATGTGGGTACTGTTATTATTTCCATTTTACAAATGGGAACTCAAAGGGACTGAGAGGTTAGGAATTTGTCCAAGGTCACACAGCTTTATCAGCAGACTCAGGATTTAAACTCAGGTATTCTGGAAGTCTCTGCTCTTAACCACTGTGTGAACAACTGCTTTGCCTGCAGAACTGCCTGGCCCTCCCAAAGCACCTGGCATTGACAAACGCCAATTGAATTAGCTGAACGTGAATGTCTAACGCATGTGTGGCCATGTCAGTGGTGGCTCCCAGGAGCCTGAGGACAGGTGAGGGACTTGGCAGAGCGTGAGGATTCTCATTCGTCTGAACAGGGAACCGGTCTCTCCGTGCGGCTGGGTGGGCACATGACCAACTCCGGCTGCCACCTGGGTAATTGGTTTCCTGTGTTCCCTTCAATAATGAACAATATTAAAGGAGGCTGGAGATGCAATGGAGATAGAAGCATTGTGGAAGAAACAAAGAGATTTTAATGTGTTGAGTCTTGGGTCCAGGGAAGATGAGGGACATGATAATCGAGTATTAAAACAGAAAAGATTATGCAGCGGGCCTGGCACCATTCATCATCACTCCCATCCTCGGCTGGCGGGAGAACTGGGCGTCTGACGAGACTCCGGCATTATCTCCGCAGTTTATTTACATCTCAAATCAGGTTGCACTCACAGGAGAGAGGAATTCCAAGGATGAAATGTAACTACATGATATATTTCCTACAGAAAGTGCAAACACAATACAGACTATCTGGTTAAATATATCAACCCAAAACGACCCAGCTGCCAAATGCTTGAGTTTGCATTTTATATTTCTTGCTGTGAGACCATTATATACCCTCTGAGACCACCTGCCTCTTCTGTCTTCTATTTTTCGGACTGCTTCCCCACCACCTTTTCTTCTACCCCACTCCTTAAACTTCCTTCTCTCTTCACATCTGTCTAGACAACTTCACCTTCTTCATGGCTTTAAATGCTGGCTGTGTGCTGATGGCTTCCAAGTTGTACCTTCCTAGGCACACAGCTCTTTTTTTCCTTTCTCAGTTATTTAAAATCTTTTTGAATGGGCACTGCATTTTCATAGTTAAAAATCCAGATAGTATAAACAGTTAGTAAAAATTCTCTCTCTTTGTTGTCTTGTATATGCCTAGTTTCTGTCCTCATGAGAGATTATTGCACTTAATTTTGCGTTTCTTTCCTTTCCTTTCCCCCAGCCCCTTTCATTTCCTTTCTTAACAAAGTCTTGCTCTGTCACCCAGGCTAGAATGCAGTGGTGCAGTCATAGCTCACTGCAGCCTCCAAATCCCGGGCTCAAGTGATCGTCCTGCCTCAGCTTGCCAAAGTGCTAGCATTATGGGTGAGAGCCACCACGCCTGGCACTCTTGGTTTCTTATGACTCATTCCAGAAGTTCTTTACACGTATGCAAAAAGATTGATATATAAATTGTAATTTTTCCTCATTTTCCTTCAAATGTATCATATTACACACAAATTCTACACTTTGCTTTTTTCACTTTAGATCTTTCTGTGATAGCATATAGAGAATATCTTCGTTCTTCTTTTTCTTCTTAAAATTTGTAATTGCACAGTGTTCTATTGTCTGGATGTCCCATCATTTACTTAACCAGTTTCCTATTGATAGGCATGTGAGCTGTTTCCAGTTGCTTGTCATGTTGGATAATTTTATGTGTCACCTTGACTGGGCCACAGGCTGCCCAGATGTTTGGTTATATTATTTCTGGGTGTGTTTGACATGAGGGTGTTTCTGGATGAGATTAACATTTGAATTGATCGACTGAATCAATCAAGCAAACTGTCTTCTACTGTGGGTGCCCCTCATCAAATCTATTGAAGGCCTGAATAAAATAAAAGGCTAAGTAAGGCTCTTTCTCTGCCTGTCTTTGAGCTGAGACATCAGTCTTATTTTGCCTTCAGACATGGACTTGGATAGAACTTACTGCATCAGACTTGGATAGAACTTACTGCATCGGTTCTCTTGGGTCTGGACTTCTCAGCTTCCATAATTGTGTGAGCCATTTCCTTATATTCTCTTTCTCTCTGTCCCTTTCTCTCTCTCCTCTTCAAACACACACTCACATATATATGCATGTACTTATACATACACATTTGTATTAGTCAGGGTTCTCTAGAGAAACAGAACCAACAGGGTGTGTGTGTGTGTGTGTGTGTGTGTGTGTGTCCTGTTGGTCTGTTTCTCTCAAGGACCCTGACTAATACACTTGCATTACAAATGATGTTGTAATGAGTAATTTCGTGCAAATACAATTCACAGTTGTGCATGTATATCCTTAGGATAAATTCTCCAAAGTGGAATTTTTGGAATAAAGGATATGTACATTCATAATTTCACTGGAGTGCCAAATTGCTCTTCAGAGTGATTATATGAAATTAAATCCTCACCAGCAATGTAGAAGCATTCCTGTTTCCCCACAGCCCTTATCAACAAAATGTGTTACCAAACGTTTGGGTTTTTTCCAATTTGATAGGTGAGAAATGTTATCCAGGTAGTCAATTTGCATTTCTTATATTATGAGTGAGGTTGAACATCTTTTTCTATATTTAAGAGCTGTTTTTGTCCTTTTCTGTGAACTGAGTGATCATATTCTTTGTCCCTTTTTTGATGTGGGTTTTTCTCTAGGGCCAAGCTCTAGATTTGAACATCTGACACTCTACTTGGATATCCTAGATGTGCCTCAAATTTACCATAGCCCCAAAGAGAACAAATCATCGCCTCTTTCCTTGCCTTAGCCCAGGACCTTCTTGTATTTTCCTAGCTTGGGTAATGAGACCCAGCCCAGAAATTTCCAAGCTATTCTAGATTCTTCTCTTTTTCATTTGGTCAAGCAGCACTATAAAAATACCTGATCTAGTTCCTTGACAGGGAGAGGTAATCTGGGTGTAAGTTTATTTTGCAACTATAGATGAGAGGCAACAGTGAAGAAGAAAGTACCCCTGCCTCTGAGCCACAGGATGTTATGAGAAAAACCTGGTACTGTATGAAAAAATGTCCCCCCAAACTGGGAAGGAGCCAAGAGACCAAAGAATGACTCGGACCAGTCCAGCTTGATGAGTAGATGAGTTTATTGGGACTTACATACAGGGTACTCCTGGGTGGCGGCAAGACAGCTCCAGAGACCCACCCGCCTCCTGTCTGTAAGCTGCTATTAAGCTACCTGTTTTGGCTCTTTACCTATTGCATACAATGAGACTTTCTCTTGGTATAATCCCAGATATGCTGTGGGATGTTTGGGTTGTCAGGGACACCTGCTCGTTGGCTGGGTGCTATGACCTTGGCCCACTGCCCAGCCTTTAGGGTTCCACCAGCAGACACACACCGTTAAGTAATCTCACGAGGATCAATCACTGTATACTTACAAAGAACAAGAAGCCCATGAAACTTGGGCATTACTACTCCAAAGAGGCTGGCTCACCTAAAGAGGGTGGATGCATGGACTTGTGAAGAATACTCTCCATCTTACACCAACAAGATGAGCTCCAGACAGGTAGAGCTAGTCCCAGTATAGAAGGTTAGCCAAATTCAGAGGGGGGTGAGAGAGAGAGGAGAGAGAGAGAGAGCGAGCCGGTGGGGGGGTGGTGGGGTGGGGAGGGGGTTGCGGGGAGAGAGAGAGAGAGAGACAGAGAGACTTTAAGAAAGATTGTGTCTGAGTGTGGTGGCTCACACCTGCAATCCCAGGAGGCCAAGGTGGGCGGATCACTTGAATCACTTGAGTCCAGGAGTTCAAGACCAGCCTGGACCACAAAGTGAGACCCCATCTCTACAAAAAGATAAAAAATTACCTGAGCATGATGCTGTGCTCCTGTAGTCCCAGCCACCCCAGAGGCTGAGTTGGGATGATTGCTTGAGCCCAGGAGGTTGGGGCTGCAGTGAGCTATGATCATGCCACTACCATTGCACGCTGGCCTGGGTGACAGTGAGACGCTGTCTCAAAAAAAAAAAAAAAAAAGAAAGAATGATTGTGTCTTTCTCACCTTTAAGTCCTTACGTTCCTTCAATGCTGGATTATGGGATGGGCCAGCCAGGCCGCTGCATGCAATGTTCGCTTATAAAGGACATTAAAATATGTCTATGATGCTAAAAAGTTCCGGAAATGTGATGAGAGGAGAACATTTTACCCATGGGAACACTCTGGGAGACTACCAAATGCAGCTGGAAAGAATCCAACTCTCACATCTTTGGGACAGGGAATGGGAACCTCTCCTTTCTTTGCAGAAGGGGGTATGATCTTAGTAGAATCACAGGTGGCTGCTAATTGGCCTTGTAAGGGGCCTTATTGATTTTGGGGCTTTGGTTTTGCTGACTGGGGCATGCAGTCGGATCAGAGAGGAATTGCTGAGGATGCATAGGAGAGGCTGTGCATTGTCAACACACACCCATCGTCTCTCCCTTTCCCCTGATAGGCCCAGTGTCTTCCTAAATACATGTTGAAAAAAATACTTAGACCTTAGAAGTTTGAAGGTCTTCACCTTATTACCCCTCATCAGGCTCTGGTCCTGTGTCTCTTTCTTTCTTCAAAGTTGGGGAATTAGAGGCCTGCTTTGTGCTGCTACAGGTCAACCAAAGGGGGTCTGGGTCTATTGCCATAGTTATTTCTCAATGCACCCTTTTCTAGGATGTCTAACAGGTAAGGAGATATCCAAGGGAAAGCGAGTGGTGGGGCAAAGACTTCTTAGAGCAGGACAACAGTACACCCTTAGGGAGAAGGAGAAGAAAATTAGAGGAGGAAGGTATAATCTCTGGCTGGGCCTCCTCATTTTGGGAATCATCATGATCTTGACTGATTTGTCCAGGATTCTGAGAAAAGGAGCCTGTGTGTTGTTGTTACAGGATACAAGTCATGGCCCATTGTTATGGACAGAACTGTGTCCTTCCTAAATTTATATGTTGAAGCCTTAACCCCCAGTTTGACTGTATTTGGATATAGGTCATTTAGGGAGGTAATTAAGGTTAAACGAGGTCATAAGGGTGGGGCCCTAATCTAATAGGACTGATGTCCTTAGAAGAAGAAGCATAGATACTAGAGAGCACCTCTTCCCCTCCCTCTTTGTGTAAGCACAGAGAAAAGACAATGTGAGGATACAGTGGGAAGTCAGCTGTCTGCAAACCAGGAAGAAAGGGCTCACTAGAAACCAACCCTGAGCTGGGCATGGTGGTTCATGCCTGTAATCCCAGCACTTTGGGAGGCCAAGGTGGGAGGGCCACTTGGGCTCAGGAGTTCGAGACCAGCCTGGGCAACATAGCGAGATCCTATCTCTTAATAAATAAATCAGTCAATCTTGTATGTATGTATTTATGAAATTATAGAAACCAACCCTGGCACCTTGATCATGGACTTTTAACCTCCAGAAGGTGAGAAAATAAATGTCTGTTTTTGTTTTTTGTTTTTTGTTTTTTTTTCTGAGACAGAGTCTCGCTCTGTCACCCAGGCTGGGGTACAGTGGTGTGATCTTGGCTAACTGCAACCTCCACCTCCCGAGTTTAAGTGATTCTCCTACCTCAGCCTCCTGAGTAGCTGGGACTACAGGCATACGCCACCACGCCTGGCTAATTTTTTTTTGTATTTTTAGTAGAGATGGGGTTTCACCATGTTGGCTAGGCTGGTCTTGAACTCCTGACCTCAAATGATCCACCCAGCTTAGCCTCCCAAAGTGCTGAGATTACAGGCGTGAGCCACTGCACCTGGCTAACAAATGTCTGTTTTTAAAGCCACGCAGTCTGTACTATTTTCTTTTAGCAGCCTAAGCAGACTAATACACCCACATCTTTGTTTCAAATTCATTTTAATTACATATGTAAGAGATGCTTTCATTCTCCCTGTAAAAAAAAAAAAAAAAAAAATTAAACATGAGAGGCTTCACACCTCTCCTCTTGGTTCTCCAGACCAGGAGTTGGAAAACTACTGCAGGCCCAATCTGGCTCGCTGTCTTTATTGAAATAAAGTTTTATTAAAACACAGCTCATTCATTTGTATATTATCTGTGGCTGCATTCACACTCCAAAGGAATTGCTGATTAGTCATGACAGAGCCCCTAAGGCCTGCAGAGCCTAAAATATTTACTATCTGGCTTTTTACAAAAGAGGTTTACCAACCACTCTCCTAGATAATCTCGAGAAACAAGCACTGTTGCCAGTTTGATGTGAATTGTTTCAGCTTATAAAGCTCTGTATTGATGTATGTGTGTGACATTAATGTATTATATATTTTTGCACATTTTTCTTTTACTTGTTGTCTAGTTGACAAATAAAAATTGTAAATGTTGACCATGTGTGGTGGCTCACGCCTGTAGTCCCAGCACTTTACGAGGCCAAGGTGGGAGGACAGCTTGAGTTCAGGAGTTTCAGACCAGCCTGGGCAACATGGTGAGACCTTGTCCCTACAAAAAATACAAAAAGTAGCTGGGCATGGTGGCATGTGCCTGTGGTGCCAGCTACTCAGGAGGCTGAGTCTGGAGAATCGCTTAAGCCCAGGAGTTCAAAGCTGCAGTGAGTGATGATTGTGCCACTGCACTCTAGCCTGGGCGACAGAGAGAGACCTTGTCACAGAAAAAAAATTGTATGTTTATGGTGTACAGTGTGATGTTTTGATATATGTATACATTGTGGGATGGCTAAATCAACCTAATTAACATATTTACCACCTCACAGACTTATTTTTTTTTGTTGTGAGAGCATTTAAAATCTATTCTTAGCCTGGGCGTGGTGGCTTACACCTGTAATCCCAGCACTTTGGGAGGCCAAGGCAGGCAGATCACCTGAGGTCAGGAGATAGAGACCATCCTGGCTAACATGGTGAAACCCCATTTCTACTAAAAATACAAAAAATTAGCAGGGTGTCGTGGTGCACCTGTAGTCCCAGCTACTCAGGAGGCTGAGGCAGAAGAATCACTTGAACCAAGGAGGCTGAGGTTGCAGTGAGCCGAGATCACACCACTGCACTCCAGCCTGGGCAACAGAGTGAGACTCTGTCTCAAAAAAAAAAATCTACTCTTAGCAATTTTCAAGTATACAATACATTATTATTATTATTATTATTAATTATTATTATTATTACTTTGGACAGAGTCTTGCTCTGTTGCCCAGGCTGGAGTGCAGTGGTACCATCTCAGCTCACTGCAACCTCCCCCTCCCCAGTTCAAGTGATTCTCATGTCTCAGCCTCCCAAGTAGCTGGGATTACAGGCGCACGCCACTATACCAGGCTAAGTTTTGTATTTTTTGTAGAGATGAGGTTTCACCATGTTGGCCAGGCTGCTCTCGAACTCCTGAACTCAAGCTATCTGCCCACCTCGGCCTCCTAAAGGGCTAGGATTACAGCCGTGAGTCACTACACCTTGCTTACAATACGTTATTATTAACTATAGTCACCATGCTATGCAATGGATCTCCTGAACTTATTCCTAACTGAAGCTTTGTACCCTTTGACCTACATCTGCCCATCGCTTTCCCCTCCCCTTGCCCCTGACAATCACCATTCTCGATTTTTCTTACGCAATAGTAAATCTTGGAGATTTGTCCATGTTAGTAGACATACATCTACCTCGTGGTTTTAACTCCTGCATAATATTCAAAGTATGAACGTGCCACAGTTTATTCTGTAACTCCATTAATGGACATTTTGGTTATTTCTACTGTGTTTTCCTCTATAATAAGCAGTACTACAACAAATATCCTTCTATATACCTCCTTATGCACATGTGTGAGTGATTCTCTATGGTTGATACCAAGACTGAAATTTCTGGGCCATGAGGCAGGCCCATGTTAAAATTAAGTTCTCCTTTTTGAATAGGTCACACATTTAGTTAATTCAAAAATAAAAAATGATATGCAAGATATATGTCACAAAGTCTTTCCCCCATCTTTTTCCTAATCTATTTTCCCTTCTCTCACCCCTGTAGATATTAATTTGTTGTGTATACCTCCACAGTTCCTTTATGAAAACAAAGCAAAGAAGAACATGTATTCCTATTTTCTCTTCTTTCTTACACAAAAGATACCATACTATATATATATATATATATATATATATATATTCTTCTTTATTTCACTTTTTTTCACTTGATAATATATCTTGGAGCTCTTCCCATAACCATAAATCTTCTATAACTATAGAGAGTGTATACTCATGCTATTTTTTTTTTTTTTTTTGGAGACAGAGTCTTGCTCTGTGGCCCAGGCTGGAGTGCAGTGGCACAATCTCAGCTCACTGCAACCTCTGCCTCCTGGGTTCAAGTGATTCTATTGCCTCAGCCTCCTGAGTGGCTGGGATTACAGGCACGTGCCACCACGCCTGGCTAATTTTTGTACTTTTAGTAGAGATGGGGTTTCACCATGTTGGCCAGGCTGGTCTTGAACTCCTGACCTCAAGTGATCCACCTGCCTTGGCCTCCCAAAGTGCTGGGATTACAGGTGTGAGCCACAGCACCCGGCTAACTCATGCCTTTTTACATAGTATTTAATTTACATAGTATTTCTTTACATAGATGTGCTATAATTTTTTTAACTAGTCTCTTATAGATCACTTTTCCCTGATCTTTTGCTACTACAAACAAGACATAAGCATTTTATTATTTTTTAAAATTTTTGTAGATTTAGGCTTTGAGATGTTTTATTCATTCATTTAGTTATCCAAGTATGTATGTCTGTACTAAATATTTGCTAAGGTCTTGTGTGGTGGCATTATCTTAGGCACTGCTGATAACAGGATTCACAGAACAGGCACAGCCTTTCTTCTCACAATGCTTAAGATCTTGTTAGGACAACAGACCTTGGAAAGAAAACACAATCGTAATGTATTTCCATAATGAATATGAACCTCTGTTAACCCATCCAAGATTTTTTTTTTCCCTCGTGATCGCACATTTTGTGGAGGAAATGTATAATTATGCTTGTGAGACAGAGAAAAACTAACTGGGCCATGAGGACCTGAATCCATTGCCTCCGTAATTATTACAGAGACAGGCACATTTTAAATTTCAATAGACATAGCCATGCTGCCTTTCAAAGGGGTTGTGCAGTTTACATGTCCACCTGGGTGGATTTTATTTTTAAAAGCTTTTTATTTATACTTATTTAATTTAAAAAATTATTTATTTATTTAGAGACAGGATCTCACTTTGTCACTCATGCTGGAGTGCAGTGACGTGAGATCGTAGCTCATTGTAGCCTTGAATTCCTGGGCTTAAGGGATTCTCTTGCCTCAGCCTCCCTGTAGCTGGGCCTACAGGCACACCTCACCATGCTTAGCTAATTTTTTATGTTTTGTAGAGATGGGGATGTCTTGCTATGTTGCCCAGGCTGGTCCTAAACTCCTGGCCTCAAGCGATCCTCTCACCTCGGCCTCCCAAAGTGTTGGGATTACAGGCATGAGCCACAACAGCTGGCCTTGGGTGGATTTTTAAAGGAGCCAAAATAGAACAGACACTGGCACCTTCTGCTTTAGCCAGATAAAACTCCTGTGGTTCCCAGAACAGGACGCACGTCGTCAAGTGTTCTTGCAACAGCAAGAGAACACTCTTGATGGAAACCCCCCTTTCTACAGTTTGTCTGTCTAGCTAACATCTTCCTCTAAGCTACACCATGAAAATCTGTGGCACCATCTCCAACCCCTGTAGGTAGAGTTGATCACCCCTCCTCTGTATCACCACTGACATTTGCCCATATCTCTAGTTTTGTACTTGTTCCTAGTTCGTTTTCTTTCCCGGCCTCGTCTCACTTCCTTCATTGTGGACTTCTTGAAGGAAGAGACCATATCTTTATTTACCTTTGTATTCCTAAAGCCTAAGACAGTGCCTGTTTCCGAATAGCTGCTTCATCATGTTGGCTAATGAATAAATTAACAAATAAATGATCACTGAAAATGGAGATGAAACCACCAAATTGAATTTGGACAATGAATCCTGGGGTGTGTTTATCCACTAGTTTGCCAATCATGCAGATGAGCTTATCTGCATCTGCTGATGGGATTTCGGCATAATTTGCATGCTAGAGGAGGAGGCTGCCAATTCACAGAGGATTCTTCTAGGCATTTGTCATTCATTATAGAACATAAGCTTGCATTGGAGTCTATGCAGCACAGCATCAGCCAATTAGAGGAGATTGTAGCTTTGGAAACAAACATCTGCTTGATGCTGGGTAAATAATATTTAGAGTCTGGTGTTTTATGCCTGTCCATGTGATTAATTTGAATCCTGTATAATTTTGTATTTGATCATGTGGGACTCACAGAGATCATTTCTATTACCTAAGTTACAAAAGCCATATCTGGCATTTCCCAGGATTGGTCCCATGTTTTAGGAGAGGCTTTCTGGTTGGGGTCACACCTGGGACTGGAGGTAAGTGTCTATACAGTGGTAGCCAACTTCCATAAAGGAAAATAGAGAAGGACGTCTGTCTCCAAATTCTATCCTGGATAACACTTCTGTAGAAAATTCAGGAGTACTGGGAAAACGTGAATGTCTTTTCTTAGCTGTTGCTAATTGGTTCTCCTCTTTCCAGGGGTAAGGAGGTTAAAAGAAATGTAGTGAGTTGAGTACCATTTATAAAGTTCCTACTCCATGGCAGTTCTTCCCCAGATGCTTTTCTTACATTTTCCCCATTTGAAACTCTTTTTTTTTTGGATGGAGTCTTGCTCTTGTTGCCCAGGCTGGAGTGCAATGACGTGATCTTGGCTCACTGCAACCCATGCCTCCCAGGTTCAAGTGATTCTCCTGCCTCAGCCTTCTGAGTAGCTGAGATTACAGGTCCTGGCCACCATGCCCAGCTGTTTTTTTATTTTATTTTATTTTATTTATTTTTAGTAGCAATGGGGTTTCACCATGTTGGCTAGGCTGGTCTTGAACTCCTGACCTCAGGTGATCCACCCACCTTGACCTCCCAAAGTGTTGGGATTGCAGGCATGAGCCACTGTGCCCAGCCCCATTTGAAACTTATATTACTGTGGGGTCAGTAGAATTCTTTCCAGTTTTACAAACAACAAACAGGGTTGAAAGAACATATCCTGGGCCCCCAGCTAGCAGGCAGCAGTGCTGGGAGTTAAAGCCAATCTGCTACAGTCTCTGCTCCTCCCAGGACACCATCCTGCCTTCCCAGGGGATGCAGCCAAAGGTATTCAACAGAGCTATTTGCTGTAACATAGCTGTGATTCTCTGCAGAGAGTGCTGGGTGGATTGGCTGTGAATTTTGCCTCCCTTGCTTCCAAATGAAATAATCAAATGCATTGGCATCCTCATCCATGGGGTTCTCAAGTATATCATCCAAATGCTTTTTGTAAAAAGATGAGAGACCCAGTAAAGAGCCTGCTGCTGGTGGGCTTGGGTATACAGCAAATGCTAGCCAAGTGGTTAAGAGTACAAAATATTTGCTAAGCTAATAGTACTGCCTAGCTCTGTAGCTACCATCAGAATTAAACAAAGAGATAGGCCACTGCATTTCAACAGAATCACCTATGGAGCTTGAAAACATATGCATGTCTGGTCACCACCCACAGATATTCTGATTCCATTGGTATTTTAAACGAGCTTCCCGTGCTATTCTGATGCACAGTCAGGCTTTGGAATCTGTGATCTAGTCTATGGATCATTTGAGTCATCAGAACTTGAATAAGAATTGCTTTCTTTGGATACATCTTTTCTTTATCACATCAAATCAATCTCCCCCCAACCCCCACCTTCCCTCTCCCTTTTTCTCTAGCAGTCAGAAATTCTTAAAAGCTTTTTGCCACTAAACCATCTGCTGGAGAAATCTCCCACTAGGTTTCAAATGCCAAACCTTTCCCAGTAGCAATTTTCTTTATTATTTTGGGGGAAAAGAATGCATTACATTTCTTCCCTATGAAATAAAGTACTTTAAAAATAAAAATGTTCATTATGGAACCATAGCAGTTGCTTATATTTTAAAAAAGAAAATAGCTGTATTAGACATGTGTCCTGGGAGTTTACTCCAGGCTTCCTTCACAGGCTTGATTCGGACTTCAAGGACAGGAAGTGTGGCTGATCATAGCACCACGATGCCCCGGTGAAGAGCAGTCACATAGAGAATGGAGATTAATTTCAGTCAAAGAATAGTAGGATGCTTTCTTGGCTTCCCGATGCCCACAAGCTTTATGGCAGCAGACCACGCTTAAAGCCTAATTTAAAGGTTTATGTAGGTTATAACCTTGTCACACTGCATAATCCCCTCCCAGTTCGAAGTCTTTACCCATTGGCATAAAAACCTATATCCTGTGACAGGGAACAGGAGTGTTAAGAGACTTGGAAAGAATAGGCTGGATGTGGTGGCTCACACCTGTAATCCCAGCACTTTGGGAGGCCAAGGCAGGAGGAATGCTTGAGGCCAGGAGCTTGAGACTAGCCTGGGCAACATAGCAAGACCTGAACTCTCTAAAAGAAAAAAAATAGCTAGGCATAGTGGCACCCGTCTGTAGTCCCAGCTAGTTGGGAGACTAAAGGAGGTGGATTGATTGAGCCCAGGAGTTCAAGGCTGCAGTGAGCTCTGATCCCACCATTGCACTCCAGCCTGGGTGACAGAGTGAGATCCTGTCTATTAAAATAAATACATCTGAAAATGTTGTGTTTTTTTTTCTTTTTTGAGACAGAGTCTCACTCTGTCACCCAGGCAGGAGTGCAGTGGCACGATCTCAGCTCACTGCAACCTCCACCTCCCAGGTTCAAGCAATTCTCCTGCCTCAGCCTCCTGAGTAGCTGGGACTACAGGCATGCACCACCACGCCCGGCTAATTTTCATATTTTTAGTTGAGGCAGGATTCACCATGTTGCCCAGGCTGGCCTTGAACTCCTAACTTCAAGTGATCCACCTGCCTCGGCCTCCCACAGTGCTTGGATTACAGGTGTGAGCCATGGCGCCTGGCCTGGAGATTTCTTAAGAGTCTCATTAGATGATTTTCTAATTCTAAGTAGAAGATCATCTGAGTCCTTTGCAATTCATTGGCTGTGGCAGATGACTAGCTATCCACGAAAAATTCCTGATCCCCTTTCTACAGCATGAAGTGGTTGCTGTGAGGCAACTTCTAGGCCAGCAATGCCATTTCCCAGTTTCCCTCACATCAGCAGGGAGTCATGTGATTAGTTCTCATCACAGGAACACGAGCAGAAGTGATGTGTGTTACCTCTGGGTTAGCTTTACTTATTTATTTATGTTTTGTGAGAGTTTCTCTTCTTTTTTTTCCCCCCAACTTTTATTTTAGAGGTACATGTGCAGGTTTATTGTAAAAGTGTATTGTGTGATGCTGAAGTTTGGAGTACAAATGAGTCTGTCACCCAGGTAGTGAGGATAGTACCCAATAGGTAGTTTTTCAAATCTTGCCCCACTTCGCCCCTCCTCCATTTTGTATTCCCCAATGTCTGTTGTTCCCATCTTTACGTCCATGTGTTAGGTCAGGATTTTTTTTTTTTAAGAAGTGGGTACCCTCTTTCCTTCTTTATTTCTCTTTCCTTCTCTGCCAGCGGAGTGCAGATAATCCCAAAGCTTTAGGGAAAAGTGGAACTGTAAGATGGAAAGAGCCTGGGTCCCTGAATCACTGTGTGGAAGAAAGTTGCCTGTTGATCAGATACACCCCCACTGTGCTTTATGTGCATGAGAAATAAGCAAAACCACTGGAATTGGAGGGATTTTCTTATGACGTTGGTTTGGATCACCCTCATTAACCATACACTGACCAATCATCAGGATACTGAAGACTTTCATCTGGCTGGAGGCACTTTGGCTTCCTGACACAGGGAAGCTGCTAAGAGCAAAGATGGTTTCTAATGTCTGGCACGAAGCATATGGGATGGGTAAAGAGTTTTTGTCCTGTGACAAACATTCTAGGTGAAAAGGGAATAATATTTGTTATCAGAAAAGAGTAGATAAAAATATTAAGGATGAGAGAGGTCTGTAAAAGCCATGCCCATTGTGACAAACAGGCAGACAAATAATTTCTGCCCCTTAAGATGGGAGAGTATTTCTCACCCCAGTCCTGTTCAAGCCTCCAGTAATAGGCTCTGTATTGTCCAAGCACTAACCATGCAGTGACAATTGTGGTAGTAACCAGGGAGGAGGATCCCTTTGCAAATAACATGTATCAATAGCAGTAAATAGGGCCAGAATGCAGTGGCGCGATCATAGCTCACTGCAGCCTCGACCTCCAGGCTCAGATGATCCTCCCACCTCAGCCTCCTAAGTAACTGGGATCACAGCTGCATGCCACAATGCACAGCTAACTTTTTGTATTTTTTTTTTTTTTTTTTTTAGAGACAGGGTCTCCCTATGTCATCCAGGCTAGTCTCAAACTCCTGGGCTCAAGCAATTCTCCCACCTCGGCCTCCCAAAGTGCTGGGATTATAGATGTGAACCAGCCAATAAATATCCTTGAAGGTCTACTACAAACCAGTCAGTAGGTTAGGTACAGTGAGGCCAAAAAAAAAAAAAAAGTTGCCCAACTGTATGTCTTCACAGTGCTTACAAAGCAGTCAGGGTGACAGAACATAATAACAAGAAATATTAAGCAACAGAGGCTAAGTATGAAATAAGTGGGAGGAAGGGAGCTGACACAGGCCTGCAGAAAACAATGAGCACACTCAGGTGCATGACATGACATCAGGGAGAGTCTTGGGTAGCAATCCCAATTCAGCAGCTTGCATCTGGGCGAAATGCAAACCAGAATCATTTTTAAAATTTGGGTAAGCCTATGAGAGTGAGTCCTTTATGTAAAAGTCATTTGACATGTGAGTCATGACCGCAATAAAAATTGCGAACCGATGTTCTAAAATTCTTCCAGCAGGAGCGTCATTATGCAATTCTGATTGGAGCCAACATGAGGTTTAAAAAAAAAAAAAAAATCACCACTTTTTTGGGGAGGGGAAAAAGACGATATTTTAAAAATTAACAATTTTCCCAGCCTGTAAACAGATCAAGCTGAATGGACCCTGCCCTTAGAATTATATTAGGGAATCTGGAAGCTCCCGGATGTACTTGGTGTTAACCCTTCACCTGCTGGATCGTGAGTGGATTGGGGAGAGTTCTTGTGGGGCTTGGGACAGTGGCTTTCTCCAGCTAGTACAGAAGCATTTTATTATTTTAAATACCCACACAGCTGGTGAAACATACTGCATATTAGCCACATGTCAACCCAATATAGAATCTGCTATGGTCTGATTATTGGTGTCTCCCCAAATTCCTAAGTTGGAACCTAAACCCAGTGTGATGGTATTAATAGTGGGGCCTTCAGTAGGTGATTAGGTCATGAAGGCCAAAACCTCAGCTAAAAGTTGCTCTCAGTGAGGAATGGGACCTCACTAGGCACTGAATCTGGCAGTGATATTGGACTTCTCAGCCTCTAGAACTGTGAGACATGGAATGTTTGCTGTTTATAAGCCACCCAGTTTGTGATATTTTTGTTACAGCAGCCAAACAGACTAAGACAGAATAATTATAAAAAATGAAAATACTGGTGAGAAAGTAAAATCTCACTATGATCCCTCCTCTCAGAGATGCCTACCATTAACAGTTTAGGGTATATTTTTCCAGACTTTGAAAAGTTTTCTATGCAAACATAAACAAGATTATACTGTACATTCTATACTACAAGCTGTCCTTCCCTTCCCTCTCAAAACAGAGTATATTGTGAGTATGATGCTATGTGAGCACATAAAGAATTATCTTTTTCTCTTGCTCTTTCTTTTATCACCTAATTAGAAGTTTTGGACCTAAACCAATACTGTTATTGCAGTGTTTTTGTGCACTACCAAGCTACATCCTTACACTCAGGCTGCATTTTTAAGTGTACACAGTTCTTCGGTGTTTCTGAAACTACATTGAGTCCTCTCCTCATGAACATTTTCACAAAAAGACATACATGCAGCCAACAAGCATATGAAAAAAGCTCAATATCACTGATGATTAGAGAAATGCAAATCAAAACCACAATGAAATATCATCTCACATCTGTCAGAAAGGCTATTATTATTATTATTTTTTGAGACAGAGTCTCACTCTGTCACCTAGGCTGGAGTGCAGTGGCACGATCTCAGCTCACTGCAAACTCTGCCTTCCAGGTTCAACCGATTCTCTTGCTTCAGCCTCCTGAGTAGCTGGGACTACAGGTGTGTGCCACCACGTCCTGCTAAATTTTGTAATTTTTTTAGTAGAGATGGGGTTTCACCATGTTGACCAGGTTGGTCTCGAACTCCTGACCTCAAATCTGCCTGCCTTGGCCTCCCATGCTGGGATTACAGGCATGAGCCACTGTGCCCAACCCTGAATGGCTAATGGCTATATTAAAAAGTAAAAAAATAACAGGTGCCGGCAAGGTTGTGGAGAAAAGGGAACACTTATACACTGTTGGTGGGAGTGTAAATTAACCATTGTGGAAAGCAGTATGGCTATTCCTCAAAGAGCTAAAAACAAAACTGTCATTCAACCCAGCAATCCCATTACTGGGTATATACCCAAAGAAATATAAATCATTCCATTGCAAAGACACATGCATGCATATGTTCACTGCAGCACTGTTCACAATAGGAAAGACATACATTTAACCTAAATGCCCGCCAATGGTAGACCGGATGAAGAAAATGTGGTACATATACACAATGGAATGCTACACAGCCATAAAAAAGAATGAAGTCATATTCTTTACAGGAACATGGATGGAGCTAGAGGCCATCATTCTTAGCAAACTAATGTGGGAACAAAAAACCAAATACCGCATATTCTCACTTATAAGTGGGAGCTAAGTTGATGAGATCACGTGGACACAGAGGGGAACAACACACACTGGGGCTTATCAGAAGGTGGAGAGTGAGGGGAGGGACAGGATCAGAAAAAAATAACTATTGGGTACTGGGCTTGGTACCTGCGTGATGAAATCATCTGTACATCAACCCCCTATGACACAAGTTTACCTGTATAACAAGCCTGCACATGTACCCCGAACCTAAAATAAAAGTTTAAAAAAGTGAGTCCTCTCCTGAAGCTACCCTTCTTTCCATTATCTCCCCACGCCATTTTCCCAGTTTCTCTCACCCTATATTCTGCAGGGCTCACTCTAATCTTGACTTCCTGAATGAACTTCAGCCTTTGGAAGGATCTGTTGAGCATGAATAATTTTTCAGCCAGTTCTCTTGTAGTGTAGCATTTGAGGAGGTCAGTGGGGCAGTGAGGGATAGGACAGAAGGCAAGATACATAGGAGGCTGATTTAAACCTAGATTTGTCAAAAGGGCCACTGGGAGAGCTGTCCAAGGTGCTACACAATGGGTTCTGACACATCCCTGAATATGAAATGTATCAGCATGGTTTTTGTCAGCAACAGCAGGGGCACGAATCAAACAAGACTCACAAGATAGAAGCTTTTCTTTCCTGGCTGTTTCTTCTTTACATAAGGAGAGTCAGAACAAATATAGGAGGCTGGCTGAATTTTCTTTCTGGACATATCCTCTTGAGTGCCTTGCAGTCATCTCAAATTCAGCATGTCTAGAAATGAATTCATCACCCTTACTCATCAAACCTACCCCTCCTTCAGTTTTCCCTATCTCAAAATGACACCATTGTCCTTAAAAGGTTAAATCAGCTTCCATGCTAACTTCTCTACCTTCATATGCTTGTTGGCTGCCTGTATGTCTCTGGCCTCATGCAGTCTCTCACCAGGTTTTGTTGCACTTACCAAAAACATGCCTAGATACCATCCATTTCATTTCCAATGGTTTAGCCACTGGAAATGGCCAGCTTTCATCTGGACAATTGCAAAGGACTGCAATTTACTTCCTCCTTGTTCTCTTATTTCTTCCCACACAGCCATTAGAATTATCTTTAAGAATGCAAATAGATCCAGTCACTCCTTTGCTTAGATCATTTAATGGCTTTCCCCTGCCTTCAGGATAAATATGGACTCCCTGAGATGACCTGTCAGGCCCAATATGATCCAGTATCTTTGCTTTATCTTACATCACTCTCTTCCTTGTTCTATAGTTCTTTCTCTTATTCAAAGCTGACATACTCTATCCTGACTCAGGGCCTTTTCTCACATTATTCCTTCTGCCTGGAATGATTCGTCTGTCCCCCCTACTATCCAGCTAACAACTGCTTCATTTCTTAGCTCAGATATCACTTACTCCAGGAGACCCCATGCTGGTTTAGATCTACCATGATATGTTTCTGGTGTACTCTGTACATCTTCCCAATAGCCATACTCTGTACATCTTCTCAATAGCCAGTTAAATTACTCAAAGTTTGTTTTCCCTTGTAGACTTTGTTTCCTGAGGGCAGAACCTGCATCTTTCTTGTTCACCATTGTATCATCAAGAGCAATGTTTGGCACATAGCCGGTGCTTAGCAAGTATTTGTTAAATAAATAAGCAGAAGTCCAAGGACCCAGACTCGTTGGAGACTGAGATAAATACCCTAAGACACTTCATGTTTGTCCACAAGCCTGAAGTGACCTCAGAGAGGGAACGGTTACAAGTTTAAAACAGCTGCAAAGTGCAGAGAAAAGGCCAGCAGATGTTCTGACTGTTAGATGTTCCCGGTGGGTTGTGTGCTGTGTCATATGGGACTGCCAGCCAGGGCCTGCCATGTCGGGAGACCTTGGGGGAAGGAGCAGATCTCAAGCTATAGCAGATGGTAAGTGCTGTCTTTAGTCTTTAACATTTAAGGAAAAGAACTGGGAATAGACGTTCGGCTCAGTAGCAGTTATGATGCATTTAAATAAGCCTTGCAAATCATTTACAGAATGCATATGCCTCCAAAATTCTTCATTGCTCATAGATTTTGTGGGAGCTTCCTCTGGTCCATCTTTGTATCCTCAATGTACAGTAGTGTCTGTGGCATGGGGCGAACCTTCAGTGTGGGTGGGCTACCCACTGAAGGAAGGCACATACTTGAGACATATTGGCATTTGGCCGGCTGTGGGTAATTGATCATCTTCCCCAGGAGAGTCACGCCCCCTAAATGCAGAGACTGTGCCTTGTGCCTTTTTGTACTCCCTCTCCCACTTTACTCAGTTTCTTGTTCCCCTCCAGCTAATATCAGGGCAGGTGGGTGGGACACTACTCGCCCTATCTTAGTTCAGGTTGCTGTAACACAAATACCATAGATTGTGTGGCTTAAATAGCAGAAATTTCTTTCTTACAGTTCTGAGTCTGGGAAGTCCAAGATCAAGGTTCTAGATGATTTGATTTGGAGAGAGTTTTCTTCCTGGTTTGCACAGACACCTTCTTGCTGTATCTTCACATGACAGAAAGAGAGAGAGATGGGGGTGGAGTGAGGGATGAGAGAGAGAGAGAGAGAGAGAGAAAGAGAGAGAAAGGAGAGTGAACTCAAGAGTGCTCCATCTCATCTTAGAAAGGTACTAATGCTGGCCAGGCATGGTGGCTCATGCCTGTAATCCCAGAACTTTCGGAGGCTGAGGTGGGTGGATCACCTGAGGTTGGGAGTTCAAGACCAGCCTGATCAACATGGAGAAACCCTATCTCTACTAAAAATACAAAATTAGCCAGGCGTGGTGGCACACTTCTGTAATCCCAGCCACTCAGGAGGCTGAGGCAGGAGAATCGCTTGAATCTGGGAGGCAGAGGTTGCAGTGAGCCGAGATCGTGCCATTGCACTCTAGCCTGAGCAGCAAGAGTGAAACTCTGTCTCAAAATAAATAAATAAATAAACAAATAAATATATAGGTACTAATCCCATCAAGAGGGCTCCACCCTCATGACCTAATTACCTCCCAGAAGCTCATCTCCAAATACAATCACATAGGGCATTAGGGTTTCAACGTATGAATTTTGGGGTGACACAAACATTCAGCCCATAGCATGCTCTATCATATTTTCCTGGAGAACCGTGGTTTTGGAACAAGGGAAGTAGGGCTTGGATATTTCAATTAGCTTCCATTTGAAAATGGGAATGAGAATACCTGCTTCATAGGATTATTGTAAAGATTAAATGAAATTGCATATTTAAAATGCCTCAGCCTATGCCCGACTCATGATAAGTAGTTAGAAAATTATGGAATTGAAGAGACAGTATGCCATGCCATTATGGTCATGGGCCTTGCAGCCATAGAGTCCTGGGCTTCATTATGGGCCCTGCCACTAGTAAGTGAACTTGACAAGTTATTTAACTTTTCTGAGCCTCAGTGTCCTCATGGGGAAAAACAGGGCTAAAAATCTGTCTAGCTCATGGAGTGGGTGTAGGATTAAATGCAATATACATATAAAATGCCTTGCCATATAGTAAATGCTCAATAAAAAGATAGTAATTGTTATTACCATCGTTATTATTGAACAGCAAGTGATAAATTGGGATATCCTGACTGTCCTAAATTGTGTCAGAAATGTGGGATCTGGTTCATATTTATAGAGACTTCTTGTTCTTTCAATTGTTCAACCTAAAAAGCTTAGAGTTGTCGTTAAATCTTCCATTTTTCTCACTTTCCACAACCTGTCCATTGGATATTCTTGTTGATTCTACCTTATAATCTAGGTAGAGTCAAGCTACTTCATTTTTTTTTTTTTTGGCAAAATTCAGAAGACAATGTAAAATACATGTTATCAAATGCATTACAAATAACATTTCTATATTGATCAGTGATTTTTTTTCCTTTTCAACTTCTATTTTAGGTTCAGAAGGTATGTGTGCTGATATGTTACATGAGTAAATTGCGTGTCACTGGGGTTTGGTGTACAGATTCTTTTGTCACCCAGGTAATGGGCATAGTACCCAACAGGTAGTTTTTTGATCCTCACCCTCCTCCCACCCTCTATCCTCAAGTAGGCCCCAGGGTCTGTTGTTCGTTTCTTTGTGTCCATGTGTATTCAGTGTTTAGCTTCCACTTATAAGTAAGAACAGGCAGTATTTGGTTTTCTGTTCCTGCATTAATTCGCTTAGGATAATGGCCTCCAGTTCCATCCATATTGCTGCAAATGACATGATTTCATTCTTTAGTATGGCTGCATATTATTCCATGGTGTGTATGTACCATATTTTCTTTATCCAGTCCCCCATTGATAGGCATTTTGGTTGATTCAATGTCTTTGCTATTGTGAATAGTGCTGTGATGAACATATGCATGCATATATCTTTATATATTTTTTGAGACAGGGTCTCACTCTGTTGCCCAGGCTGGAGTGCAGTGGTGCAATCAGGGTTCACTGCAGCCTTGACCTCCTGGGCTCAGGTGATCCCCCCACCTCAGTCTTCCGAGTAGCTGGGACTACAGGGGTGTGCTACCATGCCTGGCCAATTTTTGTGCTTTTTTTTTTTTTTTTTTTGTAGATACAGGGTTTTGCCATCTTGCCCAGGCTGGTCTCAAACTCCTAGGCTCAAGCAATCCACCTGCCTTGGTCTCCCAAAGTGTCAGGATTACAGGCATGAGCCACCACACCTGGCTGCATGCACTGTGTCTTTATGGTACAATGATTTATATTCTTTTGGGTATATACCCAGTAATGGGATTGCTGGGTCTAATTGTAGCTCTGTTTCAAGTTCTTTGAGAAATCTCCAAACTACTTTCCACAGTGGTTGAACTAATTTACATTCACACCAGCATTGTATACACATTACCTTTTCTCTGCAACCTCACCAGCATCTGTTGTTTTTGACTTTTTAATAGTAGCCGTTCTGACAGGTGTGAGATGGTATCTCATCGTGGTTCTGATTTGCATTTCTCTGATCAGTGATATTAAGCATTATTTTCATATGCTTGTTGTCCACATACATGTCTTCTTTTGAGAAGTGTCTGTCCATGACCTTTGGCTATTTTTTAACGGAGTTGTTTGTTTTTTGCTTGTTAATTTGTTTAAGTCCCTTATAGATTCTGGATATTCCAGAATCTAGCTACTTCTTAACACCTCCATTGCCTTCTTAACGCCTCACTCTTGTCTGAGCCACTGTTGTCTCTCTCCTAGATGCTGCTACAGCCTCCTAGCTGGTCTCCCTGCCTCTCCATCCTTGATCCCTACAGGCTTCTTTCAACATAGTAGCCAGAGGGATCCCGGTAAAAATACAAGTCTGTCTGTGTCTCTTCTGCACTCAAAACACTCCAATGGTTCTGCAACTACCCCAGAGTAAAAACCAAAGTCATTCCAATGACCTAGGAAGCCCCACGTGCTCTGCTCCCTCCCTGATGCCTCTCTCTTCTCACCTCCTGCCAGTCTCTCCCTCATTCAGTTCATTTCAGCCACCTAGTTTATTTACTGTTTCTTGAACACACTGGGTACATTTCTACTTTGGGGACTTTGCACTGGCCATTCCTTCTTCCAATGCTCTTTTCCTAGATATTTGCCTGGCTAATTTCCTCTTCTTCTACAAATCTGTTTTCCAACGTCACCTTCTGTATGACCACTGTGTCTAAATATCAGTAGGCAACCCCTGCATGATTTCCAGTTCCCTGCCCACTGTGCTTTTTCTGTCTTTTCTTAGCACCTCTCCCATTTAACATACCATATGCTTTACTTATCATGTTTATTGCTTATGGTCAATCTCCCTCTTCTAGAATATAGGCTTCCTAAAGACAGGGATCTTTGTTTTCTTCATTGTTCTATCTCCAGTGCCTACAACAATGCCTGGGACATATTAAGCATTCATTAAGTATTTGTTAAAGGGGAAAATGAACCAAAGGGAAGGAATAACCAAAGGGAAGGAATAAGTTTTTTAAAAAAACTTTGTTGAAAAAAGTTTTTTCTTCCCACTTAAAAACGTGGTTTTGTTTCCGATTACAATCCAAATACACAAATTTTAAAGAAGAGTGAAATGATTTGCCATCATTGGACCCTCATTCCTTCATGGCAACTGTGGGCAGAGTAGAGAAAAGTTGCCCTCTTTAGATCAGGCAGACCCTCTCCAGTTTGCTGTGGTGCCAACTGAGCTCACTTTCCTCTTAGAATTCTGACACCTGGAGGTATCAGGGTTTGCTTCCTTTGATACACTTTGCTAGGAACTGGAGTGTCTATGCTCCCATTTGCAAGGAAGGAGTTCCGTTCCTGGGAGCTGGATCTTCCCCTCTGCCTGGGCTCTCTATTCATGTTTGCAGTAATTAGATACCAGGTTGATTGACCATGAAAGATAAGTTCTCAATCACTCCTGAACACATAAACATACCATGAGTACATGAAATAAAAATGTTACGTGCTGGGAACATCAATCAGAAGGGTAATGTTTATGTAGCATTGTTAATTGGATTTCTACAATGGGATATTCGGTGGGTTGGGGTTTATCTGATAACACCGTAGTCTGTGACAGCAACTTCTGTGACTCAGTGTGGCTTCAAGGTCAAGGAACTGAGCGTCCTCCTGACCAACAGGCTGAGGAGATTGTTGGGAGTTCTTGTGGGCCAGGCTCTTATCGGTGAGCTGTATGGAGAACACCATCTCTCAGATTTATCCATAATTTTAATGAATGCTCTGTTTGAGATAATGACCCATATCTTGACTTGCACAAAGCCCTGAAAATACTTCTACGAATTGTGTTTTATCTGAAGTACTGCAGCATGCAGCATCCAACATTACCATTGATATCATCTATTGAGAACTCTTTCCCAGGTTCTTTATTAAGGTTTAATTAAATTTTATGTCTTATCAATTAGGATTAATCTACATTTAGTCTGAATTAGAGGGAGCCAATTATAAATAACACCACTTCTCATTTATTCCTGAATACAAAATGAAGGTTTTTAAACTTTCTTTGGAGGAAAAAATAAAAAACCTCACAACCCCCCTGACTCAAATGTGTCCCTTTAAAGAGTTTTATGCCCAGGAGACCACAAATTCTATTATAATAAAGTGAAAAGATGATAATTCCTATAGGAAGGTGTTACAGACAGAAATGGGGGTCCGGAGGGAAAAGAGAGAGAATTTCTGTTATGATGTGGGCAATTAAAACAAAGAGATTTTCAACTTTAAAGTTTTCACTTGGAGCAATGGCACAAAGATAAACTGAATTTTCCAAGGTTATTGTGACATCTCTGTTTCTAGAAGAGGACAGACCAGCTTGTGCCCTGCGGTTGTGTTCAATGCTGTTAATTAAATATTTCCAATTCTGTTACTTCTGGGCACGAATTGGATCATACTCCTCCCCTCTCTTCACCTTGAAGTCAAATGTGGGCATGGGACTCGTTTGGTCAATGAAATGCAAGAAGAAGCAATATCTGTCAGTTCCATTTGGAAGCGCCCATATGGACTAGAGTGCAATTTCTCATGTTTTCTTCCTCCTGCTGCAGTGGTCATGGAAACACAATTCAGACAAAAGCCCCATTAGCCCAAGATGGGTGGCGTCTTCTCTGCCAGCCTGCATTGTTTGTGCAACATGAGCAAGAAGTAAACTTTTGTTGTGTTAAGCCATTGAGATGTTGAGGTTTTTGTTACTTCAGCGTCATGTAGCTTATCCTGCCTTATAGAAGCTCTATAAGCTTTAGTTTCTTCTAAGCTTTGGTACTGACTTCATTGGGTTGTTATATGAGGAAGAATAATGAAGTAATTAACAAAAAGTGTTTCATTTAGTGCTGGCACACAAGTACTCGGTAAATATTAGTGCTTCCTATTATTGTTGTTGTAGTTGGGGATGTCTATGTATTATGGCTAAATGATCCTATTTGGAATATTCTGATGGTATGTTCAAAGTTTATTTAAACTCTTAGTATTTCAATGTCTTGCCTTTCCACCTGATCAGAACAGAAGCTTCACATCGAGCACTTCTATTACCCCCTGCTAAAGAGTTTACAAAGCCTTCTAATGCACAGTTCTATTTACTTTCTTCTTTCCCTTACAACGCTATTGAATAGTCCTGTGGTATATAGTTTAAGAAAAGGCAAAAAGCCTTATGATAAAAGTCTGTTTAGGAAGGTACTGTGTTTTCAAATGAGCCTTTGGAGATCCGGCCTGCATAGGCTTTCTGGCAGACCTGTGAATTCAAGGACCCCCTTTCCAAAATTATCCAGAGTAACTTGTAATTTATAACTTGGGTTTCTGTACATGTTCCGGCCTGGACCTCATTTAAGTGCGTCCAGCCAATATACAGCGGTGTAAGCCATGAGGTTTGTAGAGACTCAAATTCTTGTTGTGACCAATATAACAGGTACACACTGTGAACTCGTCCCATGAGCTTGGTGCATTATTGAGCCAAGAATCCTCTAGAGGTTGCCTCATAGTAGGAAATCAGAGCGCTATCCAGGAACAATGGTGAGACCAGTTCAAATATTACCTGGACCCAGCATTTAGAAAGTCCAGTTCTTATGGATGCAAAGGTCTTGTTCTAGAATCAGGGTGTGGTCCCAATATACGCAAACTCACCACAGTTGGGAGGATTTTGGTTGCAAGTGACAGAAACCCAGCACAAACCCCAAAGGAAAATCATTGGCTCTTGTAACCCAGAAATTTAATGGATAAACCCTTCCAGCTTCAAGTATGGCTGTATGTAGGTGTCCAAATGATGTCATTAGCTCTTTCTCTTCCCCCACTCTAACTCGTTTTCTCTGTATCTACTTTCTTTTTTATCAAACTCTATCTACATGGCAGCAAATATGGCATTGGCACCTGTAGGTTCCCATTGCTTTTATTGCAGTGATCCCAGAAACAAGACTGCCTCTTTTTTTTTTTTTTTTTTTTGATAGTTTCAGGAAAAATAGTTGGGAGGGTGCCAGGGCTAGTTTTTCTGTTTCTTTTCTTTTTTAAACTTTTATTTTAAGTTCAGGGGTACAAGTGCAGGTTTGCTACATAGGTAAACTTGTGTCATGGGGGTTTGCTGTAGGTTATTTAATCATCCAGGAATTAAGCCTAGTACCTATTAGTTATGTTTCTGGATCCTCTCCTGCTCCCACCCTCCACTCTCTGAAAGGTCCCAGTGTGTGTTTTTCCCCTCTATGTGTCCATGTGTTCTTATCATTTAGCTCCCACTTATGAGAACGTGTGGTATTTAGTTTTCTGTTCATGTGTTAGTTTGCTAAGGATAATGGCCCCCAGCTCCATCTGTGTGCCTGCAAGGGACATAATCTTGTTTTTTATGGCTGCAGAGTATTCCAGGGTGTATATGTACCACATTTTCTTTATCCATCTCTCATTGAAGGGTATTTAGGTTGATCTAACCAGTGCTAATTTTTCTAATCCACAAATAACTTCTGCAAATTGAAAAAGACTTAAAAATCCAGTACAGAAATAGGTAAAGAATAGAAGTAGGCAATCTTTAGAAGTGGAAATGCAAATAGCCAATAAACAAATGAAATTATGCTCATTCTTTTCGGGGAAGGGGAAATGTAAATAAAAATGACAATAGATTACTTTAGAAATTAATCAATTTGACCCAAACAGAAATGATTTATTACCATCACTTATGATTGTATGGAGGAAGAAAGGACTCTCATACTTTGCTGTTATGAGTAAGAATTGCTTTAACCATTCAAGAAAAATCTGAAAGTAGCTACTGGAATTCAAAATATACTTATGCTCAGAAATTTCACTTTTGGCATGCAGAAATGGAAGTACCAATTCCACAGAAAAATGTTTATTACTTTAAGTACCTGATTCTTGCAAAAATCTGGAAACAAAATTAATATCCAAAAGCAGGGATTTATTGAATAAATTATAATGTTTTATGTTTCAGAATTTTATGCAACTGTTGAAAAAAGCCAGGTATATGGAGAGATGCCTATACTTTCTTGTTAAGTAAAGAAGCACATTTGTGTAATATCATCCTATTTCTGAAAAAAAAAAAAAGAAAGAAAGAAAACCTTTCATCTGGTTTTCATGTATGATGCTTGCATGAACTCAGGAAAAACATGGAAAAAATACATAGTAAATTGTTGACATTAGTTACTTTGAAGGGAAGGCGCCATGTGACATATACTGCAACTTGAATTTGAAGTGAAAATTCATTAAAGTGCATATAAAACAGGATAACTTGTACCTGTGTCCTTAAGACAAATTACCGCAAAGGACAGGTACAGTGTGACATCCTAAATCTTGGGGTAGGCATAAGGGGATATGCATGTCTTGTCAAGGTCTGTTTCATGGTGTTTAAAGAACTTTATTTTATTTTATTTTATTTTTATTTTTTTCTTTGCCTTCTTTTTTTTTCTTTTTTTTCCTATTTATTTATTTATTTTACTTTAAGTTCTAGGGTACATGTGCACAATGTGCAGGTTTGTTACATATGTATACATGTGCCATGTTGGTGTGCTGTACCCGTTAACTCGTCATTTACATTAGGTATATCTCCTAATGCTATCACTCCCCGCTCCCCCCACCCCCTGGCAGGCCCCAATGTGTGATGTTCCCCACCCTGTGTCCATGTGTTCTTATTGTTCAATTCCCACCTATGAGTGAGAACATGTGGTGTTTGGTTTTCTGTCCTTGCGATAGTTTGCTCAGAATGATGGTTTCCAGCTTCATCCATGTCCCTATAAAGGACATGAACTCATTCTTTTTTATGGCTGCATAGTATTCCATGGTGTATATTTTTTTGAGACAGGGTATCATTCTGTCGCCCAGGCTGGAGTGCAGTGGCACAATCACAGCTCATTGCAGCCTCAATCTCCCTGGGCTCAGGTGATCCTCCCACCTCATCCTCCCAAGTAGCTAGGACTACAGGTGCTCACCACCGCACCCCAGCTGACTTAAAAATATTTTTTAGTGATGGGGTCTCATTATGTTGCCCAGGCTGGTCTTGAACTCCTGGTCTCAAGCAATCCTCCTGCCTCAGCCTCTCAAAGTGCTGGGATTACAGGTGTGAAACACCATGCTTGGCCCAGAAGAAGTTTAGACAAATGAAATTTAACAGAGTTTAACTGAGCAAAGAACAATTTGAGAATAGGGCAGTCCTCCTTTTCAGAGAGACTCCTGCACTGCCGTGTGGTTGGAGAGGATTTATGGACAGAAAAGGGAGGTGAGGTGCAGAAACAGCTGGCTTGGTCACAGCTTGGCATTTGCCATATTTGAACACAGTTTGAACAGTTGGTTGCCTGTGATTGGCCGAAACTTGGTGATTGGCACAAGAGTAGATTACAGACTATTGACACATCCAGTTAGGTTACAGTTCACTAAGTGCGGAGAAACCTTAGGCCCAACTTAGAATATGTCAGGAGGGGCTGGGTGCAGTGGCTCACGCCTGTAATCTCAGCACTTTGGGAGGCCGAGGCAGGTGGATCACCTGAGGTCAGGAGTTCGAGACCAGCCTGGCCAACACGGTGAAACCCCATCTCTACTAAAAATACAAAAATTAGCCGGGTGTGGTGGCATATGCTTGTAATCCCAGCTACTCCAGAGGCTGAGACAAGAGAATCGCTTGAACCCGGGAGGCGGAGTTGCAGCGAGCCGAGATTGTGTCATTGCACTCCAGCCTGGGTAACAGAGAGAGGCTCTGTCTCAAAAAAAAAAAAAAAAAAAAATCACCAAGATGTTACAGTGTGACTCTATGTAAGGAAATACAAATGATTCAATGATGCAGATATTTTTAATAAAATATGAATTACAAAAATTGAATTATGAAAAAGTAATGTCTGGAATAAAAAAAATATACAAAAATAAAAAGTGCTTGGGCATGCTGGCTCACACCTGTAATCCCAGCAACTTTTTGGGAGGCCGAGGTGGGAGGATTGCTTGAGGCCAGGAGTCTGAGACCATCCTGGGCAATATTGTGAGATCCTGATCTTTACAAAAAATAAAAAACTATCTGGGCTTGGAGGTGTGCACCTGTATTTCCAGCTACTTCGGAGGCTGAGGTGGTAGGATCCCTTGAGACCAGGAGTTTGAAGATGCAGTGAGCTATGATCACACCACTGCACTCCAGCCTGGGTGACAGAATAAGACCCCATCTCTTTAAAAAATAAAATAAATAAAAATAGAAAAGTTAAAGTATTATCAAATGGTCATTTTAAAATAGCCTCCTTAAACAGATTTTTCTAATGTATTTGTTCTCTTCAAATTTTCTGGTGACAAATTTATTCCTATACTCAATGAATGGTTCCAGATTATAGAAAACCATGGAAAACTTTCTAATTCATTTTACGAGAACGATACAACCCTGAAATTCAATCTTGAAGAGTATAGTGGAAAAAAAATAGAACAGAAGACCAAGGCACTAGATGAAAAACTATAAATAAAATAATAGCAAACAGAATTCAATAATACATTAATAGAGTCACTAACCATGACCAAGGAGGATTTAGCCTAGGAATGCAAAGACGTTTGTTTTTCAAATCATTTTATTAAAAAAAAAATAATAAAATCTTATAGGTTACAGTGACACTTTTTGTACCCCTCCTGGGTTTTCTTCTCTTCCTTTTTCCATCCCCTATAAATTGCAAAAACCAGAGATAAGGACTATTTTGAAGTTGGTATTTATCTTTCCAATATATGTTTCATATCCCTACCACTTTTATAAGTATCCATCAATATTTAGCTACATATTATCTTGTATGTTCTTTAAAATTCCATAACTGGTTTTATTCTAGGTGTGTTCCTGTGGAACTGGCTTTTGTTCATTTAGCCTTCTGTTTTTGAGATTATCCATGTTGATACAAGTAGATCTAGCTCATTCATTGTATAAATGTACTGGTGGGGCATGGTGGCTCATGCCTGTAATCCCAGCACTTTGGGAGGCGGAGGTGGGTGGATCACATGAGGTCAGGAGTTCGAGACCAGCCTGACCAACATGGTGAAGCCCTGACTCTACTAAAAATACAAAATTTAGCCGGGAGTGATGGTGCGTGCCTTAGTCCCAGCTACTCGGGAGGCTGAGACAGGAGAATCGCTTGAACCCGGGAGGCAGAGGTTGCAGTGAGCCAAGATCATGCCTCTGCACTCCAGCCTGGGCAACAGAGCAAGATTCCATCTCAAAAAAAAAAAAGTGCCATTATTTATAATTTTTTACATGTAGACTGAATGTTTGTGTCCCTTGTCCCCCAAATTGAAATGTTGAAATCCTAACTCCCGATTTGATAGTATTAGAAGGTAGATCCTTTGGGAAGTGATTAGGTCACGAGGGTGAAGCCTCATGAATGGAGTTAGTGCCATTACACAAACAGCCCCTGGGAGCTTTCTTTCCCTCATTCCCCCATGTAAGGATACAGCAAGAAGGTAGCCACCCGCAATCCGGAAGAGAGCCCTTACCAGAACCCGACCATGCTGGCACCCTGATCTCAGACTTCCAGCCCCCAGAACCGTGAGCAATACATTTCTGTTGTTTATAAGCTACCCAGTTTATGATATTTTGTTATAGCAGCCTGAACTAAGACAAATTTGGGTTGTTTTATTTTTTTCGGTAGCTATTATAAACAATGCTATAACAAACACGGTGCACATTTTTTACACTGCCATGTGTGAATAAGGTTGTGGCAGTTTACTGTCCTATCAACAGAGTGTGAGAGTTCTGTATTCCACATTCTTGCTAACTCTTGTGTGGGATGCGATTTTATTCCCATTTTTATTTGCATTTCCCTGATTACTAGTGAGGTGGAAATTTTTCCAGTGTTTACTGATCTGGAGTACTTCCCATATTCAGAATTGTCTGTCTGTATCCATTGTCTAATTTATACTAGATTTTAAAAAAATCCCTTTCCTATTGATTTGTAGGATTTCTTTTTATATTCTCAATGCCGACCCAGGACTGTTTAATAACAGGAAATCTATTAATGTATTCTATCAAAAGAAGAGATAAAAATTCTGTATGATTTAGTCAATAAGTACCAAAAGGCATTCAATAGGCCTGATATCCATTCCTGATAAAAAAGCTCTTTGAAAATTTGAGATAGAAATGTGATAAAAATATCTCTTTTAAATCAAAGTACACATCAGGCTTGAAGAAACATCAGATATCTTCCTATTAGAGACAAGAAATGTTCACTGTTATGGATTGAATTGCATTTCCACAAAATTCCTTTTTTTTTTTTTTTTTTGAGACAGAGTCTCACTCTGTCACCTTAGCTGGAGTGCAGTGGTGCGATCTAGGGTCACTGCAACTTTCGCCTCCTGGGTTCAGGTGATTCTCCTGCCTCAGCCTCCCGAGTAGCTGGGATTACAGGTGCTTGCCATCACGCCCAGCTAATTTTTGTATTTTTAGTAGAGACGGGGTTTAGCCATGTTGGCCAGGGTGGTCTTGAACTCCTGACCTCAGGTGATCTACCCGCCTCGGCCTCCCGAAGGGCTGGGATTACAGGTGTGAGCCACGACACCCGACCCATTTCTCCAAAATTCTTATGTTGAAGTCCTAACCCCAAATGCCTCTGAATATGTCTAGAGACATTACCTTTAAGGAGGTAAATATGTTGAAGTGAGGTCGTTATGGTGGGTACTAATCCTATATAACTGATGTCCTTATAAAAAGAGAAAATAAGAACACTGACATGTACAGAGGCAAGACCATGTGAAGACACAGGGAGAAGATGGCCATCTGTAAGCCAAGGAGAGAGGCCTCAGAAGAAACAGACCCTGCTGACACCTTGATGTTAAGCTTCTAGCTTCTAGAACCAGGAGAAAATAAATTTCTGTTGTGTAAGCCACCTGGTTGTGGTACTTCATTAGGAAGCCCTAGTCAACTAATATCCTTTCATTTACTGATCTAAGTGTGCTGTGATTTTTTTTTTCTTTTGACACAGGGTCTTGCTCTGTCACCCAGGCTGGAGTGCAGTGGCATGATCTCCACTCACCGCAGCCTCAGCCTCCCAGGTTCAAGTGATCCTCCCACCTCAGCCTCCTGAGTAGCTGAGATTACAGGTGCACACCACTATACCCAGCTATCTTTTATTTTTTAAGAGATGAGGCCTCACTATATTGCTCAGGCTGGTCTTGAATTCCTGGGCTCAAGTGATCCTCCCGCCTCAGTCTCCCAAAGTGCCAGGATTACAGGCCTGAGCCCCCATTCCTGGCCTGCTGTGAAGTTTTTGACCAATGGTGTAAGTGAGAAATAAGAGACAGAACTATGAGAATGAAAGAAACCAATTTATCATTTATAAGTGACATGATTATATGATAAGAATTATAACAATCTCAATAAGACAGTTCAGGAAAGTGGTCAGATGTGAGATAAACCTCTGAAAATCAGTAACAAATAAGGAAACTATTATTAAAAGTATTTTGTGCAATAGCAATGAAAAAATAAAATAACCAGTCTGTATGTAACATAAGATGTACATGAGGAAAAACTATAAAAATTTACAGAGCAATACAGATGGTTTAAATAAATAAAGAGAGGTTTCAGTTGCTTGCATTGGAACCTAAAGAGTTTAGAGATTTAAATTCTTCCAAAATTAGCTGACAGACTCAACATATGGAATTTACAGTTTTTAGTAGCTTAATAAAATAATCCTGTGGTTCAATTAGAACAATTTGAGAAAGGTGGGAACATGAGATATAATGACTTATTTCAAAGCTCTAACAATTAAAACAAGGTGGGATGGCTAAAAATTCAAAGCCAGGGAAATGGAACAGATACCTAACCACGTGTTACTTTATTATTATTGTTATTATTATTATTATTTTGAGACAGAGTCTCACTCTGTCGCCCAGACTGGAGTGCAGTGGTATGATCTCGGCTCACTGCAACCTCCACCTCCTGGGTTCAAGCGATTCTCCTGCCTCAGCTTCCCGCGTAGCTGGGACTACAGGCATGCACCATCACACCCGGCTACTTTTTGTATTTTTGATAGAGATGGGGTTTAACCATGTTGGCCAGTGTGGTCTTGAACTCCTGACCTCAAGTAATCTGCCCACCTCAGCCTCCCAAAATGCTGGGATTACAGGCATGAGCCACCGTGCCTCACCACGATGTTACTTTACCTATTAGCAAAAGTAGTAAATAAGGAATAAATAACGCAAAGATAATGTTTTATTATTATTATTATTATTGAGACAGGATCTCACTCTGTCACCCAGACTGGAGTGCAGTGCAGATCATGGTTCAACGCAGCCTCAATTTCCTTGTGTTCAGCCTCCCAAGTAGCTGGGACTTCTAGTTCTAGATCCCTGAGGAATCGCCACACTGACTTCCACAATGGTTGAACTAGTTTACAGTCCCACCAACAGTGTAAAAGTGTTCCTATTTCTCCACATCCTCTCCAGCACCTGTTGTTTCCTGACTTTTTAATGATTGCCATTCTAACTGGTGTGAGATGATATCTCATAGTGGTTTTGATTTGCATTTCTCTGATGGCCAGTGATGATGAGCATTTTTTCATGTGTTTTTTGGCTGCATAAATGTCTTCTTTTGAGAAGTGTCTGTTCATGTCCTTCGCCCACTTTTTGATGGGGTTGTTTGTTTTTTTCTTGTAAATTTGTTTGAGTTCATTGTAGATTCTGGATATTAGCCCTTTGTCAGATGAGTAGGTTGCAAAAATTTTCTCCCATGTTGTAGGTTGCCTGTTCACTCTGATGGTAGACCCAGACATCCCATTACTGGGTATATACCCAAATGACTATAAATCATGCTGCTATAAAGACACATGCACACGTATGTTTATTGAGGCATTATTCACAATAGCAAAGATTTGGAACCAACCCAAATGTCCAACAATGATAGACTGGATTAAGAAAACGTGGCACATATACACCATGGAATACTATGCAGCCATAAAAAATGATGAGTTCATGTCCTTTGTAGGGACATGGATGAAATTGGAAACCATCATTCTCAGTAAACTATCGCAAGAACAAAAAACCAAACACCGCATATTCTCACTCATAGGTGGGAATTGAACAATGAGATCACATGGACACAGGAAGGGGAATATCACACTCTGGGGACTGTGGTGGGGTGGGGGGAGGGGGGAGGGATAGCATTGGGAGATATACCTAATGCTAGATGACGAGTTAGTGGGTGCAGCGCACCAGCATGGCACATGTATACATATGTAACTAACCTGCACAATGTGCACATGTACCCTAAAACTTAAAGTATAATAAAAAAAAATAATAAAAAAAATAGGGTTTGTAATGTAAGTTTGATATGGTTTGGCTCTGTGTCCCCACCTAAATCTCACCTTGAATTGTAATTTCCATAATCCCCACGTGTCAAGGGCAGGACCAGGTGGAAGGAATTGAATCATGGGGGCAGTTTCCCCCATGCTGTTCTTGTCATAATGAGTGAGTCTCACTAGATCTGATGGTTTTATAAGCATCTGGCATTTCCGCTGCTTGCATTCATTCTCTCTCCCACTGCCCTGTGAAGAGGTGTCTTCCACCATGATTGTAAGTTTCCTAAGGCATCCTCAGCCATGTGGAACTGTGAGTCAATTATACCTCTTTTCTTTATAAATTACCCAGTCTCAGGTATTTCTTCATAGCAGCGTGAGAATGGACTAATATGAAGTTTTAATTTAGATAAGTCCATCTTCAAATAATACTATACTCCTTCATGTTTTTTGCTAGAACCTCATGCCAGTGTTTTCCCAATTCCTCCTTCCCACCCCTTGTGCCATTGTTGTTATACACTTTACTCTTACATATGATACAAATACATAAACATTGTCACTATTAGTTATTTAACTTTTATAGCAACTAGAAGAAATTTTAAAAACTATTTTATTACTGATGTTTTAAAAATTTATTTATGGCCAAGAGCGGTGGCTCACGCCTGTAATCCCAGCAACTTTGGGAGGCCGAGGCGGGCAGATCACAAGGTCAGGAGATCAAGACCATCCTGGCTAACACGGTGAAACCCCGTCTCTACTAAAAATACAAAAAATTAGCCAGGCGAGGTGGCGGGTGCCTGTAGTCCCAGCTACGCAGGAGGCTGAGGCAGGAGAAGGCGTGAACACCGGGGGGCGGAGCCTGCAGTGAGCCGAGATCGCGCCACTGCACTACAGCCTGGGTGAAAGAACGAGACTCCGTCTCAAAAAAAAAAAAATAAAATAAAATAAAAAAATAAAAATTAAAAAAAAAAAAAAAAGTAGCTGGGACTACAGTCTTGTGCAGCTATGCCTGCCTAATTCTTGTTTTTTGTTTTTCTGTAGAGACGAGGTCTTGTTATGTTGCCCAGGTTGGTCTCCAACTCCTGGCCTTAAGTGATCCTCCTGCCTTAGCCTCCTCAAGTGCTGGGGTTACAGGCATGAGCCACCATGCCCCACCCAAAGAAAATATTTAAAAAATCAAAGAGCAAGTGGAACTTGGAGCAAAGGAGCAACATAGATCTAGTAAGGCCAGAATAGGCTGTGAATACAGTTGCTGGAAAGTTAGAGGAATCTACAGTGTCTGCCTCTGACCCTCATCTTCCCTTTGCATCTATTCCTGCTGGCTTTGGGGCAGGGCTGTGGGATGGTCACCCTAGGCATTCCATCCTTATTTCTCCTCCAGCTGGCTGCATAGAGTTTCTATAAGGGCCCCTCATGGAAAGACTTCGTGCGATAAAAGTCAGACTTGAGATGAGTGTTTCCTAGAACTCATGCAGCTCAGGGCCCTATGGTTGCCTGTACATAGCACGAGTACTTCTTAAGAAATCACTTGTGGGATGTGTGCTCCCCAGGTGAGTGCTCCACAGGTAAGTCCACTGGCTCATTCCCTGAGGTAGCAGAACTGGTGTAGGAGGCACAAGTTTTCCAGGAGTCCTGCTTGTGATGGCCTAGGCTTCACCCTACCCCTCCTCTCAACAACAGAGCAGGACAAGGAGGAAGGAAGCCAGCTGGGGCCAGGCGCAGTGGCTCACACCTGTAATCCCAGCATTTTGGGAGGCCAAGGTAGGGGAATCACTTGAGGTCAGGAGTTGGAGACCAGCATGGCCAACATGGTGAAACCCTGTCTCTACTAAAAATACAAAAATTAGCCAGGCGTGGTGGCGTGCACCTGTAGTCCCAGCTACTCAGGTGGCTGAGGCAGGAGAATTGGTTCAACCCAGGAGGCAGAGGTTGCAGTGAGTTTGCAGTGAGACTCTGTCTCAAAAAAAAAAAAAAAAAAAAAAAAAAAAAGACGGAAGGATGCCAGGGGTCTTTGCAAGCTGGCTGTGGGAGTGGGAGGATCCCGGGAGTCCCACTCAACCATCTGGAATAGGTCTCCAACTTGTGAGTGGGGTGGATGGTATAGAAATGTCCTGAAGGAGTAGGAGGAGGAGTTATGAGGAAACGCTCGCTGTGCAATGTATGTTCTAGAACAGGAATTGGCAAACTTCTTCTGTAAAGGGACAGACAGTAAATATTTTAGGCTCTGTGGACCATCTGGTCTCTTTTGGCAAGGACTCAGCCCTGCCCTTGGAGTGGGAAAACAGCCATAGGCAGTAGGTAAACAAATGGTCATGTTTTATGTTCCAATAAAACTTTATTTACAAAAACAAGGGCAGGTGGGATTTTGCCCACAGGCCATCGTTTGCAGATCTCTGGTTTTAGAACCTGTTTTCATAGTTAGACCCATCTCCACTGCTTCCTTGTAAGTCATTGGCAAATATTTCTGAGATTCTGTTTCCTCAAGTCTAAAGTGGGGGTGATAATAGGTCTGTCTCCTAATGTTGTACATAGTAAGTGCTCCAGAAATGGTATCTGTTGTTGCTTGGTTGTTAACTTCTTCATTATGATTATTATTTCTTGTGAGGAACAGAAGGTACTCAGGAAAGTCACCCTAGGACAAACACGATCTCCCCTCCTGGCTTAAAAATAAAATGGGAACACTGATTCTACTTAACACTTCTGTCAGTAGGCATGAGTCTCTAACATTTCCAAAACCCTCTAACATCTGTTGGCAGGTCTTTGGATAGACTTAACAGTAAATCTGAATTCCTGAAGGATCCAAACTCATTTTTGTAACTTCAAATTGGAGACTGAACTAGAGATTTTTATGGAACTGAGACAGGTCAGGACTTGATGGTGGTTTAGGAGATTAAGTCATTGTCCCCGTAAATCATATCTGACTTCTAGTTTCACAGTGTGGCAAGACCATCCTTCTGCACTCTAAATTTCTTTCTTGCCGGGCAGTCATTTGTTGCTGGACACTTAGGAAGGAACATACATTTTCCTTTTACCTCTCTGTGTGCTGCCCGAACATCCCCAAGTCCCTGCGCTGGGGACTGCCTGTGTGGTGGCTCTGTTTGTCACTGTGAGGACCCAACATGTGGTCTCTGAAAAGCTGGCTTTTATTTAATCAAAGGGCCTCTGGCACTAAGATGTCCAAATTATTTTATTTGATTTTTTCAGAGCCAATAAATCAGAGTCTGAGATATATCTTGCAGCCATCTCCTTACCTGTATCCCTACCGCCTTGATAGAGGCCATTGTGTTGCCTTCCTGGATTATTTTCACAGCCTCCAGACTGAACTCTATGCTTCTGCTCTTACGGGTCCTCACCACAGCCTCCCCACCGCCCCCATCATCACACAGCAGCCAAAGTGGTCTTGGAAACATGAAGATCAGATTACATTAAAACTTTTTAATGGGGATGGGCATGGTGGCTCACGCCTGTAATCCCAGCACTTTGGGGAGCCAAGGAAGGAGGATCGCTTGAGGCCAGAAGTTTGAAACAAGCCTGGGCAACATAGTGAGACCCCGTCTTTCAAAAAAAAATTTTTTTAAGTTGAAAGATTAGCTGGGCATGGTGGTGCTTGCCTGTAGTCCTAGCTACTTGGGAGGCTGAGGCAAGAGTCTGCAGTGAACTATGATTGTTCCACTGCACTACAGCCTAGACAACAGAGCTAGATCCCATCTACAAAAACAAAAACAAACAAAAACCAAAAACACTTTCTTTTTTCTTTTTTTGAGTTGGAGTCTCGCTCTGTCGCCCAGGCTGGAGTGCAGTGGCACGATCTCAGCTCACTGCAACCTCCACCTCCTGGGTTCAGGTGATTCTCCTGTCTCAGCCTCCCGAGTAGCTGGGATTACAGGCATGTGCCACCACACCCAGCTAATTTTTGTATTTTTAATAGAGATGAGATTTCACCATGTTGGCCAGGCTGGTCTCGAACTCCTGACTTCAACTGATCCACCCATCTTGGCCTCCCAAAGTGCTGTGATTACAGGTGTGAGCCACCACACCCTGCCCCACAAACACTTTTTAATGGCTTCCCGTCAATCTTAGAATAAAATCCCAACTTCCTGTGGAGGGTGGTACATGAGGGCCTGCATCATCTTGTCCACTTCTACCTCCTGGCCCACTGGGTACCAGCCACATGGATCTGTTTCACATTTCTCAAATAAAAGCCCTCCTGCCTCAGGACTGTGTACATGCTGATCCCTCTGAGGTGACACTTGTGTTAATTTCCTCTTTGTGCTGTGACTTCATGACCACGGACTTAGTGGCTTAAAACAACACACATTTCTTATCTTCCAGTTCTGTAGGTCAGAAGTCCAAGATGGATCTCCCTGGGCTAAAATCAAGGGGCATTCTTTCTGGAGGCTCTCAGGATAATCTGTTTCCTTGCCTTTTCCAGAGGTACAGGCAGCCTGCATGCCTTGGCTCATGGCTACATCACTCTGACCTCTGCCTCCATCATCACGTCTCCTTCTCTGACCACCCCCCTGTCTCCCTCCTTCCCTTATTAAGGACCCTTGTGATTACAGTGGAACAACCTAAATCATCCAGGATGATCACCCACCTCATGATTCTTAGTTTAATCACATCCAGAAAGTCTTTACTGCCATGTGAGGTTACATGTTCACAGGTTCTGGTGATCGGGACGTGAACATCTCTAGGGGCCACTGTGCTCTTGTGAAACAGCTGATCCCTCTCCATCTTCTGGTCTTGATTTAAATGCACCTTCCTTAGAGAGGCTTTTGCCAACACCATCTGCATTGACTTCTGATTTTCTCTTCCACAACACCCTGTTATTTTGCTTTATAGCAATTCCTTCAATAAACATGTCTCTATTATGTAAGCCTTTTTAAAATTAGGTAGTCTGTGTCCTAAAGCTGAAGACATCCTTGCTACAAAAACCTTAACAGCCTGCACCTCAGCCCCCTAAGATCCTCTAGTCAGAGGAACCTCCTTCTCTCCACCCAAAAGCTTGGTTCTGCCCTGCCCTGGTCGCACATAACATCTTTTCTTCTTCTTCTTCCTCTTCTTCTTCTTCTTCTTCCTCTTCTTCTTCTTCTTCTTCTTCTTCTTCTTCTTCTTCTTCTTCTTCTTCTTCTTCTTCTTCCTCTTCCTCCTCTTCCTCCTCTTCCTCCTCTTCCTCTTCTTCCTCTTCTTCTTCCTCTTCTTCTTCCTCTTCTTCTTCTTCTTCTTCTTCTTCTTTTTTTTTTTTTGACAGGGTCTTACTGTGTTACCCATGCTGGAGTGCAGTGGCACAATCATGGCTCACTGCAGCCTCCACCTCCCAGGTTCTAGCAATCCTCCTACTTCAGCCTCCCAAGTAGCTGGGACAACAGGTGTGCATCACCATGCCCAGATAATTTTTTATTTTTTGTAGAGATGGGATCTCACTGTGTTGCCCAAGCTGGTCTCGAGCTTCTGGGCTCTAGCTATTCACCTACCTTGAGAAGGAGCAGGAGCATCTTAAAGATGATCTTGGCTTACCCCCAAGTCAGTCTTGCTGCTGAGCTCCAATGTCCAGTTTGGTTGGGATCTCAGTGGCACAGACTTCTCATGCTGTCTCAGTGGGGCACTGGGCTAGTCGGGGAGAAGGTTCAAGACTAGAGGGGCTTAGCTTGTTGACATGAATATGCCCTGCCAGTTACAGTGTTACTAGCAGGACTTTATCCTTGTCTGAATCAGCAAATGGCCTGTCTGGTTAGAGTGCTTGCATGCTCTAAAATGTATGATCTTAATCACAGCTCAGTGAGAATATTTGCAGGCAGAAGACTCTCTGTTTTAGGTTGGGCTCCCTGGAAGCAGACGCTGAGACGAGGATTTGTGTAAAAGTGATTTATTATGAGGGGTTCTCAGAAACACTAGTAGGGGAGTGGGAAAATAGAATGGAGAAGAGAAGAAGCCAAGAAGGGTGTTGGATCAAGCAAGGTCCTACAGGAGGACTGCTGTGGCTCAGTCCCCAGGACAGCTCCAGGGAGAGTTCAGGCTGCTCCTTGCAGTTTTCCGATCAAGACAAGAGAGCTGGCGTGATGTTTCAGAGACAGGGGCTTGCTCTGTCACCAAGGTTGGACTGCAATGGTGCGATCATAGGTCACTGCAGCCTCAAACTCCTGAGCTCAAGCAATTCTCTTGCCTCAGCCTCCCAAATAGCTGGGACTATAGGCACTCACCACCATGTCCGGCTATTTTTAATTTTTTTTTTTGTAGAGATAGGGTCTTGCTGTGTTGCCCAGGCTGGATTTGAACTCCTGGCCTCAAGTGATCCTCCTGCCTTGGCCTCCCAAAGTGTTGAGATTACAGGCATGAGCCATTCCACCCGGCCAGCTGGCATGCTTCTAAGCCTGCCTTCACCACTAATTGGTTAAGGGCTGGCCTCCAAGGAGAGTGCAAATTCCCAGGCACTCCAGTCTCAGCACACACAGGCAAAGTGAGAGCAGCCCTCTGCCAACATGCAGGTGCTGGCTAAGAGAAAGCACACAAGGAGCTGTGTGCAGAGCGTGGTCTGAGTGCGTGTGGGCAGAGGCCCCAAGAGCCCTGCTATGTGCTCTTATTCCAAGTGGATCCATTAGTTTGTTCTGCACACATTCATCCATCTTCAACTCTGTGCCAGGCTCTGGGCATGCAGGCGACAAAGACACAGCCCTAACCCTCATGAAATTTTTACAGCCAAGTAGGGGAGACAGACATTAAGTTTTAAAAATCCTCCCAAAATGAGGAACTGTGATTGTGAGTAGCGCTGTGGATGAGAAGAACACCTGGGAGGAGACCTCGTCTAGCAGGTGGGCGGGGATGAAGCTTCTCCAAACAAGTGACGCTGAGCCAAGAGCTGAAGGATGAGTAAGAGTGAACCAGGCATAAAAGGGAAGAAGGAGCATTACAAGCCTGGGGTGCATGTGCAAGGGTCCTGGGGCAGGAATCCACAGGAGCAAGTGAAAGGCTGGTGTGACTGGGGTCCGAAGACCCAGGGGAGAGCAGTAAGTGATGAGCCTGCGGGTTGCTGAGGAGTGATTATTCCCCACTTACCACCTGGTTCCTTTTCGAGCCTGTTCAATGTCGTTCAGACCCAGATGTGTGAGCCATTCTCTGGTACGTTCCCTGGAAGCAGAGGGGAAATGGGGACATAGCGAGGATGTTAGGGTGGAAGAGACTATTTTCAATGGTTCATCTTTTCCCCACTGAAGCTTATAGCTGAAATTAATACATAAATTTACAGCCACAAGTCAGTTGTGATAAATAATCCCAGAAGTGTTCCGATTATTTACATTTTTATGGAATCTTGCCTGAGCAAACCCAGAGAGCACACCAGGCACTTGAAGAATTATGTCTTGTTCAAAACCAATTTAATAGCAATGGAAAATAAAGCCATCTGTGGGAACTTGTAGAGCAGAGTAGTAATTCTCTGCCAGATGAGCAATATACAAAAAGCACCAAATCAACCCGAGCACACCAAGCGTTTGCACAGTTCAAGGGAAAGTAACAACTGCAACTTCAATGAACCGTCGGAAGACATCAGGCCTCAGAGTGTCTTTTGCTTGTGTTTTCAGCAGATGTCAGACAGATGAGGATTCTGCTCACGTAGCAATGTGAGAAGAGTCCCTCATGGTCTCCCTATATACAGTGGGGCTGACTGGTGAGAGGCTGTGCAAAAGGGAAGAAAGATCACATGGCGGAGAGGTTAAGAGCATGCGTTTGGGGCCAAAGAGTTGGGAGTTTGCATCTGGGCTCCCCCACTTACTAGCTGGGTGACATAGGGCAAGTCATTGTTTCTTATTTTCCTAATGTGTAAAAATGGGTAATATATGTGAGTGTTTTTCTCTCCCAGTCCAGCATCCTTTCCCCCTGTGTTAGTCTGCTTTGCATTGCTGTAAAGAAATGCCTAAGTCTGGGGTCTGGGTAATTTATAAGGAAAAGGGGTTTATTTTGGCTCACAGTTTTGCAGGCTGTACAGGAAGCATGGTGCTGTCTTGGAGCTCAGGAAGCTTCCAATCATGGTGAAAGGCGAAGGGGGAGCCCATGTGTCACATGGCAAGAGAGGGAGCAAGAGAGAGAGGGGGAGGTGCCAGACTCTTTTAAACAACCAGATCTCATGTGAACTAAGAGCAAGAACTCACTTATTACTGCAAGGCGGGCACCAAGCCATTCATCAGGGATCCACCCCCATGACCCAAACACATCCCACCAGGTCCCACTCCAACACTGGGGATCACATTTCAACATGAGACTTGGAGGGGACAAATATCCAAACCATATAATCCCCAATCTAACAGCATCATGGTTTCCTCTTTTCTCTTGCTTATTTTTTCATGGTTTATTATTTATTTTTTAACAGCTTTATTGAGGTATAATTTACATACATTAAAATTCACCCGTTTAAAATGTACAGTTCGATGAGTTTTAGCAAATTCATATAATGCCACAATTATCTCTACAATCCAGTTTTAGAAAACTTCCATCTCTCCCAAAAGTTTTCTCATTTCCATTTATAGTCAATCCCAACTCCAACCTCCAGCTCCAGGCAACCACCAATGTGGTTACCATCTCTACTGTTTCCCTTTTTCTAGAAATTTCATGTAAATGGAATCATACAATATATAGTCTTATATGTCTGTCTTCTTTCACTTAACATAATGTTTTTGAGATTAATCTATGTTGTTCATTTATTTATTTATTTTTTGAGACGGAGTCTCACTCTGTCGCCAGGCTGGAGTGCAGTGGCACGATCTCGGCTCACTGCAGCCTCTTCCTCCCGGGTTCAAGCAATTCTCCTGCCTCAGCCTCCCGAGTAGCTGGGACTACAGGCGCGTGCCACCACACCCAGCTAATTTTTGTATTTTTAGTAGACATGAGATTTCACCATGTTGGCCAGTATGGTCTTGATTTCCTGAGCTCATGATCCGTCCGCCTCGGCCTCCCAAAGTGCTGGGATTACAGGCATGAGCCACCATGCCCGGCTGATCTATGTTGTTTTAAGTATGTATAGTTTATTCGTTTTTATTGCTTTATGTATACACCACATTTTGTTTACCCATTCACTAATTGATGGATTTAGATGAATTTGAATTTGGATTGTCCACTTTTTTTGGCTGTTATGAATAATGCTGCTTTGAGCAATTGGATATATGTCTTTGCCCTGATATATCCTGCATTTGAATCTTGATTAAATACTTATGAGTGGAATTGCTGGATATTTGGTGCATAACTTAAAAAACTGCCCAATTGTTTTCAAAAGTGGCTGCACAATTTTACATTCCTACCATCAATATATGAGGATTACAGTTACTCCATGTCCTTACTAACATTAGGTATTGTTGGCCTTTTCTATCTAACCATTCTATTAAGTGTGTCATGGCATCTCATTGTGGCTTAAACTTGCATTTCTGCAACAGCTAATGGTATGGAGCAACTTTTTATATGCTTATTATTCATTGGTATATCATCTTCTTTGGTGAACGGTCTATTCTTTCATTTATTTAAAAAATTAGGTTATCTATCTTCATATTATCGAGTGTAAGCATTCACTGTGTTCAGTACAGGTCCTTTATGTGTTTTGCAGATATTTTCTTCCAGTCTATGGCTTATCTTTTCATTTTTCTTGGTGGCATCTTTTAAAGCGCAAAAATGTTAAATTCTGATGAAATCTAACTTGTCAATTTTTTTCTTTCATGAATTGTACTTTTTAGGGTTATTTCTAAGAAATGTTTGCCTAGCTCAAAGTCACAGGAGTTTTCCTCCCAGCCCAAGGTCACACAAGTTTTCCTCCTATGTTTTCTTCTATATGTTTTATAGTTTTAGCTCTTATATTTAGGTTTCTGATCCATTTTGAGTATTTTGAGTTAATTTTTGTGTGTGAGGTAAGGGCCTAAGTTCTTTTTTTTTTTTTTTTTTGACAGGGTCTTGCTCTGTTGCCCAGGCTGGCGTGCAGTGGTGCAATCATAGCTCACTGCAGCCTCAGACTTCTGGGCTTAAGCAATCCTCCTGCCTCAGCCTCTCCTGAGTAGCTGGTACTACAGATGTGCAACACCACCATGCTCAGCTAATTAAAAAAAATGTTTTTTAGAGATCTTTTTAGGTCTTGCTATGTTGCTCAGGCTGGTCTTGAACTCTTGGCCTCAAGCGATCCTCCCGCCTCAGCAGCATATATGTATCCAACTGTTCTAACACCATGTGTTGAAGATTGTCCTTTTCTTCTTGAATTACATTGTCCACTTGTTGAAAGTCATTTGATCATTTGTGTGTGGATTTATTTCTAGGCTCTTTTAGTTTCCTTTTGAGGAATAAGCTCTTTTCTATTTGATGCAGATTCATAGGACAGTAATAGGAGAATTGATCTGGGATTCTCTGAGGCTTTCAACCTAGGATTTGAATCTCGAGCAGAGAGAAAGACTTTGGTTATAATAGTGGTTTCGTAGCCACAAAACTATCAATGGTAACAGCTAGCACCCATATGGCTCTAAGTGCCCAGCACTCATGCAAAACACTTTAATTATATTAATTCATTTAACACTTATAATAAAACCATCAGACACATACTATCATTGTCCCCATTTCTCAGAGGGGAAAACCAAGGCATGCAGAACCTAAGTAACTTGCCAACCTCAAAATTAGTAAGTAGCAGGGCCAGGATTTGAACCCAGGAAGTCTGGCTCCAGAGCCCATGCCTTATTTTTTTAGAGACAGGGGTCTCAGTATGTTGCCCAGGTTGATCTTGAACTCCTAGGCTCAAGCGATCCTCCTGCCTCAGCTTCTTAAATAGCTGGGATTATGGGTGAGCCACTATACCCAGTGTGAGCCTATGCTTTTAAACATCAGGCTATCCTGTGTTGGTTATGATTCCTCTTTTCTACCCTCTGGGGATGCCTTAGTTCCTGTCTTCTTCCAGGCTTGGCCATAGTATAAGCCCATCTTAGAGGATCTGGTCCCAATTTCCTCCCAGGAAATGGTACAGGAGTTGCTGAAGGGGTTTACTTCCTGGGGTAACATTGTCAGATGTACGTTTAAAAAACAACTGTGATTTCCACCACAAAGTGATATTTTCTTCAATAGTGTGTAAGTTTGCTAGGGTTGCCGTAATGAAATTCCACAGGCTGTGTAGCGGAAAGAACAGAAATTTACATCTCACAGTTCTGGAGGCTGGAAGTCCAAGATCAAGATGTTGGCAAGTTTGCTTTCTCTTGAGGCCTCTCTCCCTGGGTTGCAGGTGGCACCTTCTTGCTACATCCTTACATGCCCTTTTCTCTGTGCACACCCATCCCTGGTGTCTCTTCCTCTTCTTATTAGGACACCAATCCTATTGGATTAGGCCCCACCCTTATGACTTCATTTAACCTTAATTACCCCTTTGCAGGCCATATCTCACATTGGGGGTTAGGATTTCAGCATATGAATGAGGGGCAATAATTTAGTCTATAACAAATAGCTACAATTTGATGGAACATTTATTATCTCCTGTCTGTGCTAAGTAATTCCCATGCAGTCTTTCATTTCATCCCATACTAGCTTTGCAACCTTAGACAACTAACAACCTCTCTGTGCTGAGTTTCCTCATCTGCAAAATGGGGACACAAATAGTACCTGCCTTATAGTGTTGTTACGAGTATTACGAGTATTAAATCAACGAATATGTGTAAAGCACCTAGAACAGTGTCTGGTGCAGAGAGTTTGTTAAATAAATAAACCCGCGCTGTGAAGTTGGTAGAATTCACATCCAAAGATAAGCAAACCAAGCTCCTCTGAGGATATGAAGCAAGCACTTTGTCCAAGGTCAACTGGCAGAAACATGTTTAAATTCAGTGCTGTGGGCAAGGTGCGGTGGCTTACACCTGTAATCCCAGCACTTTGGGAAGCTGAGGTGGGCAGATCACCTGAGGCCAGGAGTTCGAGACCAACCTGGCTGACATGGTGAAATCCCGTCTCTACTAAAAATACAAAAATTAGCCAGGTGTGGTGGCGGATACCTGTAATCCCAGCTACATGGGATGCTGAGGCAAGAGAATCTCTTGAACTTGGGAGTTGGAGGTTGCAGTGAGACGAGGTCGTGCTACTGCCCTCCAGCCTAGGCAACAGAGCAAGACTCCGTCTCAAAAAAAAAATCACTGTCATCCTGGATCCTTGTAATGGGCTCAGGAACTGGCCCCAGAGTCCTGGTAGATTCTAGCGTGCGTCTCCAGGGAAGGAGAGACTGACCAATCTTACATTTGGAGAGCAGGACTTAAGAAAAAGCAATCACCAACGGCCATTCTGCCCAAGCAGAACTCGCACTCTGATCCACTGCAATCCACTGCCTCGAGTGATCGGTAGGGAATTTTTCAGGTGAGGAAGCGGGAATACAGCAGAGAAATCTATGCCATGCTTTGGGAGAAAGAGCAGGAATTCCATGTGACTGAAGCGGCAGGTGGCTGGGGGGATAGGGCAGTGGGGAGGCAGGGGCTTGGAAAGTGGGGAAGCTGAGCCACAGTTGTGCACATTGGGACTTGTCTGTCCTGTCTGCCCTTTGTGTTGTAGGCCACAAGGATGCACTGGAGAGTTTTATGCAGGATCACTGACTGCATCAGTATCAAGCCACAAAAATGGATTCTGGCCAACTTAAGCCAAAAAAACAAAAGCTAAAATAGAAAGAAAGCTCTTTTGAAAAGGCTGCCTCAAAGATCTAGGCAACAGGAACTAACTGAAAACCCATTAAGGTACCTTACCATGTTTCTCCGGAATGGGGCCTGGGGGGCACCTCCAGGCCTATTCTAGGGAGAGCTAATCTGATTGGTTTAGCCTGGGTCACATGACCATGCCTGGGCAGGCAGAGAGCCTCTTGATTGACAGTCCCACCTGACAGTTTTGAATGAGGGAGGGAGGTTCCCCAGCGTGAGGGTGGGTGCTGTTGCCTGAGGAAGGGGAGTTGTTTAAAACAAGAGGAGAAGCTGCAAGTAGACTACTAGTAACGAGAGAGCAGACCTGAGAAGCAAACCAGAAAAAGGGACTTCTATTAATTTGTCACCAGGACACACTGCCGTTTCATGTGCAATGCAGCTGTGCTTCAAATCGGCCCCCTGTGTAATTTCAAGGATAAATATAGAGCTTTTTCAATAGTTAAAAAAAATCTAATGGCAAGAACTAGATACATTTCTGTGCGTTTTATGAAGAAATTTACTATTTTTTTGAGTAGAGAATACTTGAGTAATATATTCATGTAGTTCAGAACTCAACATGATGCAAAAATATATACACGTGACAGTCTCATTCACATCCCATTCTCACCCTCAGGCTTATATGTAAGCACTTACTTGTTTCTTATATACCCTTCTGGTTTTTTTTTATTATTATTTATTTTTTATTCTGCTATAAGTTCAGATGAGTATGTATGAGTATATGAAAGATTTGTCCTGAATTTCCTTTCTGGATGGTGTTGGGAACCTGAGGAAGCCCAGGGGAAGTTGGAGGTCTATTTCATCAGCCTAGTAACACCTCTGGGATTCTCCCATTGACCCTAGGTCTTTTGTGGGGTCTTGGGTACACTACAGTCCTCGGCCCCCTGCTGTATTTCTGGGGGAAGGTCTCAGGCTTCCGGGCCTGGGAATAAGTACTCTTATTTCAATGGAATACTCCAGTTCTTCAGGCCTGGGGAATGTAGGAGTTCAGCTTAGTTTCCAGATTCCTCCCAGTCCTCTAGGGCAGGGGTCTGCAAACTGCAGTTGGAGGGCCAAATCCTGTCCATCACTTGTTTTTTTTTAAATAAAGTTTTATTGGAACACAGCCACAATAATTTGTTTACATATTACTTGTGGCTGCTTTTGCTTTATAGCAGCAGAGTTGAGTCATTGAGACAAAGATGGTACAGCTTTTGAAATCTAAAATATTTTTTATGTTGTTCTTTATGGAAGTTTGCCAGTCCCTGCTGTGAGAGCTGAAAAGGAAATGAGGACCTTGTTCTGGAAGTGCTTCCCAGTGGTTGGAGAAGCCCTTAGTGGCCCAAAACGAGGAGGCCATCACTGCAGAGAAGGAGCAGCTCAGTCAAAAGTCTGGGAGTCATCCTTGTCACCTCCTTTCCTTCATCCTATCCCCACCCCACATTCGATTCCATACCAATGACTCTTGATTTTTCTTCTCCAAAATATTTCTGGATTCTGTCCTCTTCTCTCCGTCTCCAGCAGCATCACTGCTTCATCTCTTGCCTGGACCACTGCAGTCACCTCCTCAGCCCCTTTCCTCCTGCTTTCACGGTGAGGCTGTTGCAATCCATTCTCCACCGAGCAACCGAAGTCATCCTTGCAAGGTGTGGATCTGAAAATCCTTCAATGGCTTCCTGTTGCACTTGGGATAGTGACCCAAAGCACAATCTGGCCTCTGCCCACTTCTCCGGAGCCCTCTTGTGTCATGCCTACCACCAGCTCTCTCTGCACTCTGGCCACACTGGTGGTGCTGGGCTCCTCCGGAACAGGGCTTTCCCACAGACTATTTCCTGTGCCCACATGCTCCCCACTCTTCCTGCTTTTCCAGTGAGCTCCTTCTCATCCTTCAGGTGTTACCTTGACCATCACTTCCTCTGACAAATCTCTCTTGACGTCTTTTACTGGGTAAATGCCCTCATTACAGGCTGCTGCAGCCCTGTGTCCCCATTCTCCTGAATCGTGTTGAAGTTGCAGTTCTACATGTATGTGTGAGTGTGTGTGTGTGTGTGTGTGTGTGTGTGTGTGTGTGTGTGTGTTGGTCACCTTCTCCATGAAGGCAGGAACCCACATCTGGCCTTGCTGACTATGGCGTCCCCATTGCCTAGTATAGTGCTTGGCACATAGACCCTCCATAAATATTTATCAAATAGATAAATAATGAATCTTACTCCATTCCAGCCATTTCCGGGTATGGGAGAGATTCTTCTCTGCTCTGCAACTTGCTGAGGTTTTAGGTGCCAAAGTCTTAACTTCATCCCTTGAGAACCACGTTTAACAGAGTGAGTTGGCAGAGCCAACCTAGCCTGGTGTTGATTGAATGCCACTTTGAGATGGCAGCTGCTGTATTTCTTCCAGTTGGTGTCTCCAGCCCCAAACAGGGTGTACACGACAAGCTTTTCTCCAGACTGTGTCTTGGAGATCTGTCATACCAAGAGGGATGGATGCTTGTTCCATTTGCTTTTCCAGCTTCTCTGCACCTGGTCTCCCCACAACCCAACCAGTGAAGATGCTAGTGAGGAAGGCAGACAGGTGTCTCAGCGCCTTCCCCATCCACACCCCCACTAGCTGTTAAGTATTCCATGGGATCCAGACAGAGAATTTTATTTGTTTTTCTGGACCCAAGCTGCCCCTTGACACAGCCGGTGATTGCTTTTTTTTTAAAAACCACGAAGGAGAAACTAGGTTTTTTCATATACTGATAAGGTGTCAGGTGACAGAGAGATCAGCATCCCAACACATAAATCTGCAACTAATCCTTAGAAATCAATATTTTTCATTAAGAACCTGTGAGAGTTGGACCATTATGGGGAAAATCTGTTTAGGTTGACACCTTGATGAAGTTATTCAGTTCAGGGGCTTAAGTCATTGAAAGGTAATAAAGAGCACGGAGCAATCTTGGGACTGGTTAGGGGAGAAAACGATGGGAGTATTTAGCTTCAGTTCAGTGAAAAATGACCTCCTGATTTATTGGGGAATGATGGGGTGCTGGCCTCTTGGGCAGGCTGAGCCAGACACCATGCACATGGCAGCCTTTCACTCTCACCACCTCTCCTCCCTCTGCAGTCACTGCTGTTTATAAGCTGCCTGGCAATAACAAAGCAGTAGGGATATATTTAGAGGGTTTGGGAGATTTCCAATATTCTCTAAGTCCCCACCCACATAATGCTCTTTCACATTTTGGACTTTCTCCTGTAGGTCACAAGGAATGGGGGTATTTAATTATTCTAATAGTTTAACAATGAGATTGAATTCACTTTTGTAAAATTGCCTTTATGACCTATTGGATCTGAAAGGACCCAGTTCATTGTCAGAAAGAACCAGGGTTATTCGAAGCCAATCCCTGGTATCGTCAGGATCAAAAGGGTAGCATCAAATATTTCCTCGTGGGTCTCAATTGTCCATAGACAATCACATTGGATGGGATCTAGGAAGTACATTTTCTTATCTCTCTCTCCTTCTCTCCTTTCTTTCTTTCTCTTTCTTTCTTTTTTCTTTCTTTCTTTCTCTTTCTTTCTTTCTTTTCTTTCTTTCTTTCTCTCTCTCTCTCTTTCTTTCTTTCTTTCTTTCTTTCTTTCTTTCTTTCTTTCTTTCTTTCTTTCCTTCCTTCCTTCCTTCTCTCTCTCTTTCCCTTCCTTCCTTCCTTTCTCTCTTTCTCGCCTCTCCTTCTCTTACTCTTTCTTTCTTTCTTCCCTGTCCATGATCCCAGATCCATCTTTCTCCAGTCCTCTGTAATCAATGCCAGATGACAGCCATTCCTGATTTTGTCCTGGGAACTGCATGGTGGATTCTCACATTCTTGGAGTAGACCATTTAGAAGACAAACAAATCTCTGTCTTATGACTATTGATTCCCTCTCAGCATAACTTTCATCCATTTATAAGTGCTGGCAGCCACGCTGCATGGAAATATCCCTTTGGTACCTTCTTGAAAGGTCAACAGAGTGCTGCAGCACAGTGTTTTAGATTTGATGAAATATGATATGATTTCTGATTTAATACAGTTGAAAGATGTCCTGTCTGGGTGTGAGGCTGAGGAAGTATTCAAGTGATGAAAGGTACAGAGAGTCCCATTCCACTGAAAAGCCACACTGGCAGCTGGGTGGGATGTGTGTGGGCAATTGCAGTAGGGATAGTAAGAGGAGGGTGGATTCAAGAAAGAGTTAAGAATTCAAATGGATAGGAGTGCTAACAATTTGGATTAGGAATCCGTTCATGTGTTGAGCTTTCACTACCTCCTCATCACTTAGAAAGAGTGGGAGGAAAAAGAAGATAAGAAGAGCCAAGAAGGGAATTCAGATGAATGTCAAGAACTAAGGCACAAATAGAGGCACAGTCAGAGAGAGAGAGGGAAAAGCAGAAGGGAGTGGAGTCAGGGGAGCCAAGGGTGGAGAAGGACAGAAGGATTGACCGAGCCACTGTCCTCAGAGGTTGTGTAAGATCACTACTCAAAATGTCTATTTCGCTGGGCAAATATGGTGTTTTCTATGACCCTACTCAGAACTGGCTCAGTGCGGTGATGAGAGCCAGAGAGCAGTGGATGGAGGGGTGGGTAGAACTCAAATCCTGGGGCTTCTCTCTTGCTGTGTTCCACAGAGCTATGTTTCCAGATATGTCACCCTCACAGAGCATGATGTGAATGGCACTCCTGGAGGTTCTGGATGGAAGTGGAGTCCCTGAGCATAGACTACACTACTCTTGAGTCTCTTGGCTGAGAAGAGAAGGGAGGAGGCAGTAGCTAGTGGGGAGTATCTAGCTCTGAGGGGATGGTGGTGGTGAAGAGGCATCCATTACTATTAAAAACAAAGAGGGGCCAGGTGCGGTGGCTCACACCTGTAATCCTAGCACTTTGGGAGGCCAAAGTGGACAGATCGCCTGAGGTCAGGAGTTCAAGACCAGCCTGACCAACATGGTGAAACCCCGTCTCTACTAAAAATAGAGAAAATTAGCCCGGTGCAGTGGCACGCACCTGTAATCCCAGCTACTTGGGAGGCTGAGGCAGGAGAATCGCTTGAATCCGGAAGGCAGAGGTTGTGACGATGAGCTGAGATCGTGCCACTGCACTCCAGCCTGAGTGACAAAGCAAGACTTTGTCTCAAACAAACAAACAAACAATAAAACAAACAGGGCAGGAAATAAATGAAAGGGTGGGATCTAGAAAAAAAATGGGGAACCTAACTTTGTACAGGAGCCACCTGTCTTCCACTGAGCAGCAGGAAAGGGGATAAGTGTCCACCCATCCCTAGCTCTTTAATGGAGCTCGTTCCCTGATACAACATACGCTGGGATTCTGTTGGGCTCAGTCTTTTTCTAGATCACAGTTGCCAGGCCAGACCAGGAATTGGGCTCAGTGTTTTTCTAGATTACAGTCTGGCTTGCCTACATGAGCTGTCAGTCTAGCTCTTATTTCCTGGCAGTGTATTCTAACACCTCATCCATTCACTTATCCATTCAACAAGTATTCATTGAGCACCTACTCTGTTCTAGATATTGTACTAGGCACAGGTGAGTACAAAGCTGAACACGATCCAATTCCTGTCCCCAAGGAGCTTAGAGTTTTGTGAGAGAGGCCAACAAGCAAACAGGAGATTACAGCATCATGTGGTAGGGGCTTTTCTATGGGTAAATCGCAGGCACCAGACTCAGTCTTGGAGCAAGATGCTACCTGGAAGAAGAGACATCTGAGACTAAAAGGGCAAGTGCAGTTTAGCCAAGCCAAGAGGTGGTAGGAATGGTATTTTGGGAGAAGAGCAGTCCAGTGAAAAGGCTCAATGGGTAGGGAAGGAGTGGCACATTGGATGAATGGAATAAGGCCTAAGAGGCTGGACTGTGGATTGAGAGGAGGGAAGTGGCAAGAAGTGAGGCTAGGGGAGAGTTTCTTAGCCTTGGGACAATTCACATTTGGTGCTGGGGTAACTCTTTATTACAGAGGTCTGTCGTGCACACTCTAGGATGCTTAGCATCCCTGGCCTCTTCCTGCTAGATACCAGTAGTACTCATTCCCTGCTTGTGACCACCAAAAATGTCTCCGGGCATTATTGCCAAATATCCCCAATTGGAGGTGGGGGAGCAAAATCACCCCCGACTGAGAACCACTGAATTAGAAAAATCAGGCAGGGATCCTATCGAAAAGGGTCCTACAAATCATGATAAAGAGTTAGGGCTTTATCTGGGAGGCAATGGGCAGCCCTTGAGGGTTTTAATCATGGGGTGGGGGAGGGGTTCCACGAACAAATCCATGACTTAGAAAGATCACCTTGGCTGCAATGACCCAGAGATAGAAGTGAGATCAAAGGCAGGAAGACCACTTTTGAGGCTGCTGCTGTGACCCTGGTGAGAGAGAATGGGGACACGGATCAGGGGGCAATACAGTTCTGGTGGCCCAGTGAGATGTTTTCTTTGGTTTACAAATCTCAGCTTCTCTCTCCCCCTACCCTGTTTCAGGATGTTCCCTGAGTTGGAGACAGTGGTTCTCAAACTTTGTGGGCAGTCACCAAGAGTGCTAATAATAAGTGCAGTGGCTCAGGCTCCTTGAAGGAGGAAAGGGCCCAGGCCTTGGCATTCCTCCTGGCTTCCCTGGGTGATTCTGATTCCCACCAGCATTTGGAAACCATTGACTTAGGGTATCCATAGCTACAGGCAAGATACATTCTGTGGGTCTCAGTCCCACCTGACCTGCAGAATCTGGGATGAATGTCCCACCTGATGCACAGAATCTGGGATAAATGTCCCACCTGATCCATGGAATCTGGGATGAATGTGCTACCTGACCTGCAGAATCTGGGATAAATGTCCCATTTGACTCTCGGAATCTGGGTTGAATGTCCCACTTGACCCACAGAATCTGAGATAAATATCTAACCTACGCACGGAATCTGGGATAAATGTCCCACCTGACCCATGGAATCTGGGATAAACATCTGACCTACCTGTGGAATCTGGGATAAATGCCTCACCTGACTCATGGAATCTGGGATGAATGTCCTACCTGACCCGCGGAATCTGGGATGAATGTCCTTCCCCTAGACGTGGTCTTTTCCAGGCTGCTCAGGGTTCATACTCGGAACACTTGGTTCCTGGGCGTCCCTCCTGTCACATATCTGGGAGCAGTGCATGAGGTCCTGGTTGTGAAATTGCATATCTGCCTCTTGCTGACAGCTCCTGCAGGTCAGGGGATGCCTTGAGGACAGAAGTTGGCCATGGACATGTCTGCTGCTCCCATACAAGAGAAATTCGTAGGTGATTCCAAGCCCAGCTTCCTGGCCCTGATGCAGTCATATATCAAAATAAAGAGGGGCTGTTTCCAGGGGAACCTAGGCAACAGTAATAACAATAATCAAGAACAGTAGTGATAACAGCAATGGTAAGAACTGCCATTTACAGGGGGCTTACAGTGTACCAGGCATTATGCTGAGAACATCGTATATATTATATCATTAAATCTTCACACTAAACTAGAACATAATTGCTAGAACATTACCCACATGTTACTGATAAGAAAAGGGAGGCTCACAGAGGTTAAGAAACTTGCCCGAGTTCATGTAGCTATTAAAAGGTAGAATTAGGAACTCAGGTCTGCTTGACTTGAGCATAAGCTCCTAACCACCGCACAGCCACTATAACCTTTCCCACGTCAGCCCAGCATCCATCTCCAGTAACTTGAGACAGAGAATTTGCGAGTCCTTGTTTAGCCCCTGAGTATATCCATTAGGATCATGTTTGTCTGTGACAGAAACCCCAAATAAAAGTAGTTTATGCAAGGTGGAATTTTGTCTCCTCTAAAAAAGAAGTCCAGAGGTATGCAGTTTAGAGCTGGTGTTATGCCCCTTTTACCTTGATGCTCTGTGATTCTCAGCAGACGACTGCTACCTCATGATCCAAGATGGCAGCTCACATGAAGCCATCACATCTGCATTCCAGCCAGCAGTAGGGAGGAAGGATCAAAGAAGGTGCTGTCTTTCTCCGAAGTCACACATAACCCTAGTTACATGTTGTTAGCCAGAACTTAGTCACATAATACCCAGTAGCAAGGGAATCTGCTCATCAACTAAAAATGAGTGTTTATTTCTAAGGTAGGCAGAGGAGAAGAAATTAGTGGCAGCTAATGGTCTCTGCCAGTGGAATGCTGCTAAGGATCTAGGCTAGATAATTTTTTAGATTGTTTTATTTTACAACTTTCACTTTTGTGGGTACATAGGAGATGTATATATTTATGGGGTACATAAGATATTTTGACACAGACATACAATGTGTAATAATCACATCAGGGTAAATGGGGTATGTATCACCTCAAGTATCTATCCTTTGTGTTACAAACAATCCAGTTATACTCTTTTAGTATTTTAAAATGTATAGTTAGATTATTATTGGCTGTAGTCAATCTATTGTGCTATCAAACACTAGATGTTACTCATTCTTTCTATTTTTTGTAGACATTAACCATCCTCCCCTCCCCCTATTCCCCATCATCCTTCCCTTCCCAGCCTCTGGTAACCATCACTCTAGGTTAGATAAATGTTTTGGGAGGGTAGCCATGTAATTTATCATCGTAAGTGGGACACTTTGGGGGAGCAAAAGAAAGCACTAAAAATACTGAATAGGTATGAATAGATTTAGTTCAGGCATGGGACTGTCCAGGAGAATTGGAATGTAAAATCACCCTACTGGAGGAATCTGCCTCCTGTATTAGAAACAAGACTGGGTCAAGGTCGTTCTCATTATAAACCTGATAAAGTCCGACTCCATCCCTGCAGAATGTATATGTCCACTCTCTGGCTGGCTCTCAGCACAAACATTTTGATTGAGGTTTTGTCTAAATGCCAACTTGAGGTAACATCTTTGCCTTAGGTATTTGTCCTCAAAGGGCAGCAACCACCATTGATTTCTGCACTATGTGGCAGCTGTTTAATTCATTCCTTACCTAATTTCCCCTCCACCCTCTGAGGTCTATGAGTCAGGTGCTATCATCTCCAGTTTACATGCATCCACTGAGGCTGGGGGTGGTGGGGTTGAAAGACGTTCCCAAAGTCCCTCAACAAATAAATGGCAGAGCCTGGGTTTGAACTGGTACCTTGTGGATACTGAGCACCCTTCTTATAACCACTCTATTATACTTCAGCCCCATCTCAGGCCATCCACTTGCCTACCTGACCCACTGTACTGCTCACCTGTCTTTTCCATTCCTGATTCCATAAACTGGGCTGCCTCATCACTGGGGCAACCATTTGGACCTCCTAGTTGATGTTCCTTTGTTATTCAAACCTCCTCCTTAGCTCCACATCCTCTCCTTTCCTATTCCACTCTCAGCTCTCCATGCCATCTTGGTTTCTATTCATTGGTAGCTCCATGGCCTTGGGCCCTTCATGGAGCTCAGACCAACTGGATCATCTCTGAGGTTTTCCCCACAGTGAGGAAGGATGAAGATAAGACACAAAGAATGGAAGACGTAGAGGCAGAGAAGTTTGCTGGTGGAGCGGTGGAAGCTTTAAGCTCTTCCTACTGTTGGCCACAGCTTTATAGGAGAAAGAAGATGTGGGGTCTTAAGAACTCACCTTGAAGATATGGAAGGGGGAGCTGACCAGGGGCACTTGAAAGGATGGCATAGCAGCATGAGAGCTCTGCAGAGGTTGAAGAGTTTGTATGTAGAGCTGCACCAGTTCACAGTGTGGTGTGATTTGCTTTACTATGGCTCAGTCTCCTCTGGGATGGGGAAAGAGAAGGCATGGTTGAGGGAAGCCTTGGTGTATATCCCCTGTGCTATTCTGCCTTAACTCATAGTTAATTTTTCACATGTCTCTCATCTTATCAATTCTTGTATCCCCAGGGTCAGACACAAAGCCTGACACCTGGGAAGGTGTTTCTCAGATGTGAGTGATGAATGTTTCCTTTCAGCTCTAAACCCTGATGGCCTTTCAAATGCTGAGTACTCCTGTACCCCTTTCATGATCCATCCTCTGCCTCCCTCCCCACCAAATACTCACTCAAAAAAGATGCAGCTTTTTAAAACCAGCTATATTTATTAATAGCCATTAATGCATGTGGTCATTTAAACATTAATCATTCAATAAAGCAATACATCACAACATAAAATAGAAATAACACAAAAAACAGTGCTTTCCCTTTATTTAACTAGTTGGTTGGGTCTTTGTGAGCCAGCTGTCTTTTGTAGCGAAATGTCCACATTTCATTAGGTGTTTGTGACGCCCTGGAAATAGCTTGTCGGTTCCCTTTCCTCTTCCTGCAGATGGCAGCATGGAGTAGTGGTTAAGCCCGTGGACTTTGGAATCAGGTTTTCTGCGCTCAAGTCTTGTCACTGCGATCTACTAGCTGTGTGACCTTGGGTGAGTTACTTAACCTCAGTTTCTCCATCTGCAAAATGGAGAGAATAATAAATACCTGTCTCACAGGGTTGTTATTAGATCTTTCATAAAAAGCTGTGAATAGAATTGCTACTTTCCTTTCTACCACCCAGGTGGGGTGGGAAACTTCTGCTCTTGGCAGTCATTTAAATCCTGTGCTCTGGCCAGGTGGCTCACGCCTGTAGTCCCAGCACTTTGGGAGGCTGAGGCGGGTGGATCTCTTGAGGTCAGGAGTTCGAGACCAACCTGGCCAACATGGTGAAACCCCATTTCTACTAAAAATACAAAATTGCAGGGGGTGGTGGTGCATGCCTGTAATCCCAGCTACTCGGGAGGCTGAGGCAGGAGAATTGCTTGAACCCGGGAGTCGGAGGCTGCAGCAAGCTGAGACCGTGCCACTGCACTCCAGCCTGGGCGACAGAGGAAGACTCTGTTTCAAAAAAAAAAAAAAAAAATCCTGTGCTCTGACGATCCAGTGACTTACTTCTTCATAGACAGCAAGAAACTCCTGGCCATCCGACTCTTGGTGGAGAGGAAGGGGCATTGCTTTTTAGTTTTACTCTCCATGATTTACAAAGGCAGCAGCATTTCTGAGTGAAAACGAATGCTCGCCTGCTGCTGGCTGGTTCTGTATGTATTGATTAGCGTCCCAGGGGTGGGACTGGGGGTACTGTTCTAGAAACACTCACTTTGATTCCTCAGATAAAACCCCCCTGGGTCCTGCTAGGAAACTAATTGGGAGTTGATTCTGATGAATAAATGTGCTGCCGCCGCCTGAGGAATTGACCACGCCGGCAGATGGCTGGAGAATGAGAAACACTCTGTTGTGGCCTTCTAAGGGGCCCATCAATAATAGATTGGCTCCAGCCTGGGGAGAGGGAAGCATTTCTGCTGCAGGTATGAATTATGGATGCCGTTTAGGGTAATGCGGATCTATCTCAAAGGTTCCGCTCAGTTTATGTGCTAGTAAAAGCCGGCAATTTGCTTGTGTTCCAGCTATAATTTGCGCTACATTAAGGGACCCTCCTTTCCATAATGGATGTGTGGTTGAACGCAGGCTCAGCCAGGCCTCGAGGGCAAGGCCTAGGCGGCCAGATCAGGAACACAGCTAGGTGTCATCCTCCGCAGCCCAGTCACAAGGCCCCAGACGTTTTGCTGAGGGTGCAAGTGGATGCCTTAAACTCTTTCCCAAGGTCCTGGAAAGAAACTGCACTACAGCCTTGCTGTGACTCACTGTCAAATGCAGTTAATGCACATACTGAGAGGAGCACAAAGGAAACCTATGGGCTACAGTCTGGACAAAGACACAGCAGTCTTGCAAGAGAAGCCATAGATAGGGTGGTTAAGAGCACAGATTCTGGAGCCAGATTGCCCAGGTCTGAATTCTGGCTTTGCCATTTTCTAGCCATGTACCCTTTGGCAAATTATGTAGCCTTTCTGTGCCTCAGTTTCCTCCTCTATAAAAAGGCAATAATAGCACTAACCAGTTATATGCTGAAGCCAGAGCAGACACGTGAAAGCCAACTGTTTAATTATCAGAAATTTTGCAAGCTGGTTGTTAAATACAGCCTTTATTAAAAATTAAATTTTATAAGCTTGCAATTAAAACCAAAGGTAATAAATGCTCCAAACTCATTAATTCCTAATTATTTTACTCCATTTTACTACTATCTATGCTCTTGGGGCTACTTATGTCTACTGTGTCTGCATGGTGGCAATGATACGTAATGTACGTCCCTTTCCGATGATACATGATGTGCATCTTCCCGGTGATATATGATAGGCATTTCTTCCCAACGCCAAGATCGTGACATTACACTGACAGCTTGGAATTGGCCACAGTGGGAGTAGTTACACCAGGGACATTGGCAAGTGCTACAAATCAAAGCTTTCCCATTGAGAGCTGGTTGTTAAACTTTTAAGAGCACATCAGTGGTACTGACCTAATAAAGTTGTTTGGAGGATTGAATAGTTAACATGTTTATAAATTGCTTAGAACAGAGCCTGGCACAAAGTAAGCGCCATATAAAAATTTGCTGTTATTATTTTCAGAGATTTTTACAATTTTTTTCTAGCATAGATCAAGTGGTCACTGTGTGAATGAAGTCCTCCAAGGAACTGCAATCTTTTTCTTTCTTCCTAACCCCTGTGGTCCAACAGCCTGAGAAAAGTCTTATATACTTTCTCTTAAAGGCAAGGACACACTGAAATCTGGGGGGAAAATTGGTTTGGGTTCTCCTGAGCTTTTCGAAGTACTTTCCTTTAGTGTGAGCTGGTGTGATAGTGGACTGACTTTAGTGAGGAATGGGATTCTGGCTTTATCACTGATCTGAGCAGATTATTTTACCTCTTCAAATTAGGACCACAGGTGCACGCCACCACACCTGGCTAATTAATTTTTTTTTTTTTTTTTAAGAGATGGGGTTTTCACATTGTTGTCCAGGTTGGTCTCGAACTCCCGGTCTCAAGCAATCCTCCTGCTTTGGCCTCCTCAGTTGTAAAAAGGGGGTAATAACGGCTGCCTCATGGGTTTGGGTGGTAAAGGTGATATGGTTGCCTGAGGTCCAATTCTACCTCTAGCACTTGCTGCCCCCAAGACCTTAGGAAAGCTCCCTGATTTCTATAAACCTTAGTTTCCTCATCTATAAAATTGGAGCAATAATACTTCTGTTTCCTGGTGGCTGGGAGATGAAATGGGGTAATACAATTAAGAAGGTAGCATTTTACCTGGATATAGGAGATGCTTAATAAATATTAACAGTGACCTTAGCTGCTACTTGGCAATGATACCTCTTACCATCCCTGATAACCTGGGTGGTTTTGGCTGATCTGGCTGGTTGGCTGCGGAAGGCTCCCTTTCTTTCCTCTCTCTTGCAGAACTCTTCCTCCCAAAACTGTGCCTCACTGAGCTGAAGGGCTTGTGACCTCTCATACTGAGGCTGTGTCCTCTGGGATAGAGTGTGATCAGAAGGGCTTGTGACCTTCTCATACTGAGGCTCTTCCTCTTGGGTAGAGTGTGATCAAGCAGTGCATCCTTGCTCACGCCTGCAAGCAAATGGCTCAGAGCTGTTGTGAGGATTAAATGGGATAATGTAGGTGAGGATTGAATGGGATAATGTAGGTGCAGCAGGACCACTCATTAGGAATTTAACATGGCAGAATGGCCTGCTGAGGAACGAATTGTATCTTATTTTCTCAGCTGGATGTTCATCAGAGAAGGATGAGATGTTCTTTCTCTTCTCTTGCCCAGGGGGATGAATGGGTCTTTGTGTCCTTAAGGTTTGAGTTTGTACTGTCTCCTCTGTGGGAAGGGTTAACAGAATTTTTCTTAGGCTGTTGGATCTCAGGAGTCTAGGAAGGAAGAAAGGATTTTAGCTCCTTAGTGAGGTTTGCTCAAAAGCAGTGTCTGGGTGGTTTTCTCTGAAAAGCCAGATGCTATGGGCAGGGGCTTGTGAATCATATGAGGATATCCTGAGGCCAGGCTCTGAACGGTGGGTGACCCCTGGGTTTGCTGGCCACTACCTTCTCCCAAGTGGGAAACAGAACTTATGGCACCTTTGAATACTCAGTGGGAGGCTAGGCACTGAATGTGATTTGGGGCTTTCCAGGATCACAGAAAGAGGAATGTGGGCTTCGAGATAATGGGGAGAATCTACTTATTTGTTTATTTATTTGAGATGGGGTCTTGCTCTATTGTCCAGACTAGAGTGCAGTGGCTCAATCACATAGCTCACTGCAGTCTCTAACTCCTGGCCTCAAGCAATCCTGCCTCAGCACCCTGAGTAGCTGGGACTACAGGATCACACCACCACACCTGGCTAAATTTTTTTTTTTTTTTGGAGACAAGAGTCTCACTTTGTTATCCAGGCTGGTTTCAAACTTCTGGCCTTAAATAGTCCTCCCACTTTGGCCTCTCAAAGTGCTGGGATTACAGGTATAAGCCACCACACCTGGCTTGGGAGCGGCCTAATAAATGACTGGTAACTCAACTTCTTGATAACCTTGTTCTCTTGGGGTATGAGGTTGTGTTTGAACTGGATTATGTTTGGTGCAGACAGAGAAACATGCTTTTACTTTCACTTTTCAACTTGAGAGCAATTCTTATTTGTGACTCATGTAATATGCTGGCTTCATAATAGAGGCTCAATAAATGGTCGTTCTCTTCACTCTTCTGTTTATTCTTTATTACATTTAATCACAAATCTGAACCCTATAGCAGTTTAAGGGTTGAAACCTAGGGCTTGAGAGTTCAAATCCTTGATCCACCACTTACTTGGCTGTGTGAACCTTGGGTAAATTCCTTAATCTTCATGAACCTCAGTTATACCATCTGTAGAATGGGGATTAAAAAATAGTGCTGTCTGTGAAAATGAAATGACTTTTAACCCAGTGCCTCTGGTGTAATAAGTACTAAGTAAATGGTGCCTTTATTTTTGTATGCTCTATGAGTCAAGTGGGACAAAATAAATTCCATTAAACAAAGGAAGAAATGAAGGCACAGAGAGCCGGATGTCTCCCCTGAGGTCAGTAAAGGACTCATGTACCCAACACGTGGCTCTTTTGTGATCCAAGCCAGAAGGGAACATGGTGTTCCCAGTACCGCTCAGAGCCAGGATTCCACCAGCCTGAAAGTTCCATGTTCCCAAAAGTTTTTCAAAGCTATAAATATAGATGGAGCCTTCTGAGAAATGTGCTGGGTCAGGGCTTTTGCCTAAGCAGACAACTTTGGCTGGCTTTGGCCCTTTTTCCTGATTGCCCTGTTCCATGAATCTGTTGTTTTAGTGCACTCTGTGGTTTCTAGTTGAATCTTCCAGAACCACTTAAGACTTAGGGAGGAGAGGAGGGTAGGATGCCAACCTCTGGAAAAACATGGGCACTGGAAAGACCCAGTTTAACTTAGCCAGAGTCACCACTGAATCTGTCGGGGCAATTGTTTTTAAATTTTAAGTGGCATATTTCCTTGTTTAGTTATTTTTAGAGCTGGTTTTCTGATTATAAATGCATTACGTGGCAATTATAAAAAAATAAGGAAGTCAAAAATCCCATCTTTTTTTTTTTTTTTGGAAGGCAAGCAGGTTAGTAAAAACCCAATTTACCTAAATCCCATTGGAGTTTGAAAACTATACATGCCTTATAGAATTGATAGCTTTTCCAATGAATTAATCAGTAAATCAATTAACCAGAAAATCTTTATTGAGTGCCTTTTGTGTGCTAAGGCAGATTCCAGGATGAGGTAAGAAAATGAAAAGCTCTGAACTAATAAATGTCATCCAGTCCCAGAGGGAGATCAATCCAATGGCGATGGAATTAGTGATCAAGCTATTGGTCCTTAGAAGTGGCAGGAGTTGAGGCAGACAACAAATGTGCTATGAACTGTACGAAAAATGAGCCCCAAGGTGAAGGAAAGGCTTGTTGAAAAAAACCCAGTGGGGAAACATCCTGTTTCTTAGGCCACAAGTGAAGGGAAGGCAACCATATCCATCCACCCACTCAGCCACCCACCTGGTTTGCAGAAATTGAGCCAGTGATGCATCTAGTTAAAAATTGCATGCAGTTAAAAATTTTTATTACTCTGGCAGGGCGCAGTGGCTCACGCCTGTAATCCCAGCACTTTGGGAGGCAGAGGCGGGTGGGTCACGAGGTCAAGAGATCGAGACCATCCTGGCCAACATGGTGAAACCCCATCTCTAACAAAAATACAAAACTTAGCTGGGTGTGGTGGCGCACACCTGTAGTCCCAGCTACTTGGGAGGCTGAGGCAGGAGAATCACTTGAACCCGGGAGGCGGAGGTTGCAGTGAGCCGAGATCGTGCCACTGCATTCCAGCCTGGGTGACAGAGCGAGACACTGTCTCAACAAAAAATGTTTTTTACCCTTAAAAAACAGCCTTTTGAGGTATAATTGGCATATAATGAACTGCAATATTTAAAGTGTACAATTTGATAAGTTTTGACGTAAGTCTACACCAGTGAAACCATTGACACCATCAAGATAATGAACTTATGCATCACCTTAAAAGTTTCCTTGTGGCCCTTTCTAATTCTTTCCACCTACCTTCCCGGACAACCCCTGATCTGCTTCTGTTGGTATATATTAGTCCGGATTTCCTACAATTTTATAAAAATGGAATAATACAGTATTCACTAGTTTTTGTTGAGTTTACTTCACTCAGCATAATTATTTTCAGATCTATCCACATGGTAGCATATATCAATATTTCATTATTTCTATTGCTGAGTAGTATTCCATTGTATGGATATACCACAGTTAAATTCACCTGTTGTTGAGCATTTGGGTCATTTACAGTTCTTGGATACTAAAAATAAACTTGCTTTTTGTACAAACATGTTACACAATGAGAGGTCAAAGAACAAGCCTGACAAATCCAGTTTCTCAGGAAGAAACATTTAACAGGGACTTATGAACTGGAGCAATGTCTTGGGAAGCCACAAGATGTTGGCTCACTGCATTCACCCTAAAAACATATTCTTCCTATAGTAAGCTTTTTTGATAAAACATGTGCAGCTAGTCATGTCTCAGACTTTCTTGCAAAACTCTTGACCACTGGATAGGTTAGATAAATGTCTTTATGAAGGATTATCTAAGCTATAAGAACATCTTGGTAGGCAGGAGTCGCACATTGGTCATCGTGGTGGTTTCCCTTCAAGATGGTGTCACACTCCTGCCATGCAACAGACTGTTTTCCTGCAAGACATATGCTTTCATTTGTTCATGGGTAAACTCCTAGGAGTAGAATGGCTGGTTCATATTGTAAGTACATGTGTAACTTTTTAAGAAACTGAGAGACCATTTTCTAAAGTGATTGTACCATTTTACATTGCCACCAGCAGTATATAAGAGTTCTATTTTCTTTTTCTTTTTTTTTGAGATGGGATCTCACTCCTGGGGTCTCACCCAGGAGGCTGGAGTGCAGTGGCACAATCTTGGCTCACTGCAGCCTTGACCTTCTTGGGGTCAAGTGATCCTCACACTTCAGCCTCCCAATAGCTGGGGCCACAGGTGCATGCCACCATGCCCGGCCAATTTTTTGTATTAAATATTTTGGGTAGAGACGGGGTTTCACTATGTTGCTCAGGCTGGTCTTGAACTCCTAAGCTCAAGCAATTCTCCCACCTTGGCCTCCCAAAGTGCTGGGATTACAGGCATGAGCCACCGAACCCGGCCAAAAGTTCTATTGTAACCATTCTAATTGGCATAGGAGTGATATGTGATTTTAATTTACATTTCTCTAAAGATTAATGATTGAGTCTCTTTTCATGTACATATGTCCTGTCTGTATGTCTCCTTTGGTGACGTGTCTGTTCAAATATTTTGGCCATTTTAAAAATTGGCTTGTTTTCTTAAGTTTTGGGAGTTCTTTATGTATTTGAGATATAAATTTTTTATAAACTATATGATTGATCAGACATATGATTCTCTAACTCTGTAGCTTGTCTTGTATTCTCTTCACAATGTCTTTTAAAGAGCAAACATTTTTTAAGTTGATGAAGTCCAGTTTATCGGTTTGTTCCTTTTTGGGTCATACTTTTGATGATGAATCTAAAAAATCTTTGCCTAGATCAAGATTAAATTTTTCAATGCCCTAAATGTTTTATAATTTTAGGATTTATATTTAGATCTACAATCCATTTTGAATTAAGTTTTATATATGATGTGAGGTATGGATAGGAGTTCGTTTTTCTTTTTGCATATTGGGATCTAATTTTCTCAGTACATTTTTGAAGGAACTTTAATTTCTCCACTGAATTCCCTTTGCATTTTTGTTAAAAATCAGCTGTCCATATATATGGGGCTATTTATGGATTTTTGTATTCTATTTCATTGATCTATTTATCATCTTTTATGCCAGTATTACACTGTCTTGATTATTACAGCTTTGTAATAAGTCTTGGATGGTGTTAGCATTACAACTTTGTTCCTTTTTTTTTTTCCAGAGGTATCTTGGCTATTTTAGGTCCTTTGCAGTACCATATACATTTTAGGATGCATCAATTTCTACAAAAAATGCTTCCTGGAGATTTCTGTTTGGATTTCATTGAATCTATACATCAAGTTGGGAAAATTTACACCATCTTAACAATATTGAGTTTTCTTGAACCTATAAGTATAGGTTCAAGACCAACATTTTATTTATTTATTTATTTATTTATTTATTTAATTTATTTATTTATTGCGATGGTATCTCTGTTGCCCAGGCTGGAGTACAGTGGTGCACTCCATCTGGGCTCACTTCAACCTCTGCCTCCCAAGTTAAAGCAATTCTCCTGCCTCAGCCTCCTGAGTAGCTGGGATTACAGGCATGCACCACCACACTCAGCTAATTTTAGTATTTTTAGTACAGATGGGGTTTTACTATGTTGGCCAGGCTGGTCTTGAACTCCTGACTTCAAGTAATCCACCTGCCTCGGTCTCCCAAAGTGCTGGGTTTACAGGCATGAGCCACCATGCCTGGCCTATTTTGGTATTTAACTTCTCTTGGCAGTAGTTAGTAATTTTCATAGTATAAGTTTTTCACATCTTTTGCCAGATTTATCTCTAAGTATTTAATATTTTTGATGTTATTGTGAATGGTATTGTTTATTAATTTCAATTTCTGGTTGTTTATTGGCATCATATAGATATATAATAGGTTTTTGTATCTTGAGATTGTATCCTGCAACTTCACTAAACTCAATTATTGGTTCTAGTAGCTTATTTGTTGCTTCTATCAGATATTCTGCATAGATGACCACATCATCTGTGAAGAAAGAGAGTTTTACTTCTTTCCTATCTGAATGCCACTTTTTTCTTTGCACTACTGCACTGGTTAGAACCTTTAGTACAATGTTGAATAGAAGCAGTGATAGTGAACATACTTGTCTTGTTCTTATCCTCAGAGGAAAGCACTTATTCTTTCATTATGATGTTTGCTATAGGTTATTTGAAGATGCTACATAGTTGAAAATGTTCTCTTCAGGTTCTACATTGCTGAAAATTTTTATTAGAAACGAATGTTGTTAAATATTTGCAAACGAGTTTTTTGCATCTATTGAGATAATTTTTTTTTCTTTTTTAGTTTGTGAATTTGGTAAACTACTTGATTTGTTTTTGAATGTTAAACCAACCTTGCATTTCTGGGATGAAGCACTACTCATCATAATGTATTATCCTTTTTACGTATTGTGGGATTCAATGTGCTAATATTTTGTTTTGCAGTTTTACATGTATAGTCATGAAGAATATCCATCTGCAGCCTTCTTTTCCTGTAATATCTTTGTCTGATTTTAATGGTAGGGTGATAGTGGTCTTATAGAGTCAGCTGGGGAGTATTCTTCCCTGTCCTATTTTCTGGATGACTTTATACAGAATTGGAACTTGCCAAGTATGTGAGCTTGGGGAACATGCATCTGCAAAATTGAGGAATAACAATGCAGTAGTGCCTACATCACAAAATTGTTGTGAGAATTAAATGAGATGATGTATACATTCAATAACTTTTACGTGTTATAATTATTACCATAAGCCAGTGTCTCCGAGACAAGACTAAACTGGAGAATGGGATAGAAAAGGGCCTCAAGGAAGGGTATGGACTGTTTTTCTCTCCAGATATGGTCTCACTTGGGCCTTCATGTGCCTTACTCCTTAAGGTCATTGGAAAGACAAAAACTGGCCCCCCTACTTAATCTCTGCCCACATTAATTAACTTCTGCTAGCCTTGTTTTCTTCATTCACAAGGAAGGGATATTATTAATAGCAAATATTTGTTGGGCACTTTCTAGATGCCAGACACTGTCCTGAGCACTATCCATGTGTCATCACTTAATCTTCACGGCAGCTTATGAGGTAGGTACTATTATGATCCCCAATTTTGGTGATGGGAAACTGAGGCAGAGAGCTGTTAGTAACATTTAAAGTCACACAGCTAATAAATGGCAGAACTGGGATATGAACCCAGGCAGTTTGGCTCTAGAGTGCACTTTCTTACCCTTTCTCTCTTCTTACCTTATAGATGTTGTTGTCATTGGTGGTGGTGGTGGTGGTGTGTGTGCATGTTGATTGAGATAACCTGGAACACATGAAAGATGTCAATAAATGTCACTTTACTTTCCACAAGTTCTACAAAACTCTGGAAGGAATAGCACACTGATTATTTTGTCTTCTCTCAACTTCCATCCCCATGCCAGCCCCAATCCAGGGCTGACTCCAATTAGAAGAGGCTCTGTTTCAGCAGACAGGATAAGCTGTAGTCCCAGAAGAACCCTGACTCTCAGGGTAGAGTGCAATGCCAAGGCCCCCTGGCCCTTTGCTACTCAAAGTGTGGTCCTGGGACCAGCAGCATTAGTATCATCTGGGAGCTTGTTAGAAATGCATGATCTCAGGCTTCACTATGACCTACTGCACCAGAATTTGTATTTTAACAAGACCCCAGGTGATTTGTGTGCACATTAAAGTCTAGGAATCACTGCCCAAAATCAATACTTTTTCTGCTTGATCCTTCCAAGCGGTCACTCATTTGCTGAGGTGATGGGAGTTCACCAATGCATCCCTTCACAGATGCGATGTTTATATTGAGTACACATTTATCTTCTCTGTGCAGGAGATGCAAAGTCAAATCCCTTCAGTTGGCCAGATGGGAACTCTGGTAGAGTGTGCATGTTCTGTCTAAAAGGGACAGCTACCATTTCACTCCAGCCAACTGCTACATGGAAACGCTATCCCAGTGTTTAGATCTTCTGATATTTTCTTTTAAGATGGGCCTCACTCTGTTGCTCAGGTTAGAGTGCAGTGGCATGATCACAGCTCACTGCAGCCTCAACTTCTCAGGCTCAAGTGATTCTCCTGAGTCAGCCTTCGGAGTAGTTGGGACTATAGGCATGCACCACCATGCCTGGCTTATTAATTTTTTTTTTTTTTAGTAGAGACAAGAGCTTGCTATGTTGCCCAGGCTGTTCTTGAACTCCTGAGCTTGAATGAGGTGTGATCCCCACACCTGTTGGGATCTTCTGATATTTTAATCAAAGCTGGAAATGTGGATCTTCATCTGAAATCTCTTATTTGTTAAATGTTAATAACTAATTCAAACTAGTAAAATAACTTTGAGGGCCAAAGAAGCATGTGTGCTGGCCATATTCTCCAAGGGATGCCAGCTTGTGACCTCTGACCTAAAAATGACTTCTAAAGAGTGCAGCTTCTCAAATAAATCAAGTATGTATTGTACATGACAGTCTTTTGAAAGTTCAGAGGTTTTTGCAAAGCATGCAAGATTTTCCATTACTTGGTTGTCTCTACTGTCAGCTACACTCAACCACAAATATTTAATTGCTGTTTCATCTTCTGTACTTTGGCATGTATCTGTTCTCTTTGCTTTGACTGTCCATTCCCCTTCATCCGTCTAGCTAGCTTTGATTCATCCTTCAAGATGCAAACCAAATTTCACCTCCTCTGTGAATATTTTCTGGTTTCCCTCCATTACAGTTGCCCACTAGTGCAATTCTCCACCCTGGGCCATGTTGTGCTGGAATCATTTGTTTATATCATTGTTTCCCCTATAAATGCTCAGACGTCAGGGACCAAGTCTTATTCCTAACATCTAGGAAGTGTTAGGCACAGAGTAGATGCACTCACTAACTATTGCAGCATAACCAATCACTCCACAACTTAGCAGCTTGAAACAGCAAACATTTATTGTCTCAGTTTCTGTGGGTTAGGAATTTGGGCATGGCTTTCCTGTGTATCTCTGGCTTGAGGTTGCTTACCAGGTTGCAGTCAGACCTCAAAGTCTCTTACCAGGTTGCAGTCAGAGTACATGCTGGAGCTGTGGTCTCATGTGAAGTCTCAGCTGGGGAGAATCTGCTTCTAGGCTCCCTCCCATGGTTTTTGGAAGGTTTCAGTTATTTGTAGGCTGTTGGAGCTAAGGGTCTAGGGTCTCGGTTTCTTGCTGACTGCTGGCCAGAGGACTTCCTCAGTTCTTTGTCACTGGGATCCTTGGACAGCTCACAACATGGCAGCTGGCTTCCCTTGGAGTGAGAGTGAGAGAGTGCTCCAGACGGAAGATGCCATCTCTTTGTAATCTAATTCCAGAAGTGACATCTCTCCTCTTCTGCATTCTGCTTGCTAGAAGTCGGCCACTAAATAAAGCCCACACACAAGCGGGGAGGGAATTACACAAGAGTGGGGCTACCAGGAGGCAGGGAGTATTGAGGTCATCCAAGAAGCTGCGTACCGAAATGCCCTGCTTGTAGTTATGTGCTGTGGTTACTCAGCCTTGGGATTCAGATTGCCCAGGTTCAAATCTTAGTCCTGTCACTCTGTGAAAGTTTACTTACCTGTAATGGGCATCAAGGGCTTCTTGACCCATAGAATTGATATGGGGACTGTGTTTAACAGAATGCCTGCTTGCCTCTAAAAAGGTGACCTATGATTAATGTTGTTTTAAGAAATGATGATGATGATTTTTTTTTTTTGAGATAGGTTCTCTCTCTGTCACCCAGGCTGGGGTGCAGTGCCATGAACATGACTCACTGCAGCCTGGACCTTCTGGACTTAAGTGGCCTCCTGAGTAGCTGGGACCACACGTGAATGCCACCATGCTTGGGTAATTTTTAAAATTTTTGTAAAGAGAGGGTCTCACCATGTTGCCCAGGCTGATCTTGAACTCCTGGGCTCAAGGAATCCTCCTGCCTTGGGCTCCCTAAGAGTTGGGATTACAGGTGTGAGCCACCGTGTCTGGCCAAAGTAATGATTATTGAATGTATCATAGGTATCTAGGTAAGAGAGTGACCATACGAAAAAATGGAAGAAGCATGACTGGTTATATGCTCAGTTCTCTGAATCACCCCCTCCGACTCAAGTTCCTCATTTCTAGATTTTTTCCTTCCTATAAATTAGCTTGATCTTTCCCTGGTATGACTCCTACAACTCTGCCCCGGCCTCCAAGTCTAAGTGAGCTCTCCCTATTGTGCTCAAATCCTGTCCTTTTCCCACACCAGATCATTTTAACCCTTGCCATTCTTCAAGCCAACAATTCTCCCAACAATTTATTTCTTCCGCTCCCACCACTCCAGTGCTCAGTCAGTGAGTGATTCTGGGAAGAATGGTCTGGCTGGGTTGGATGGCCAGGTCTATTTCAAGTTCATCTCAGCTGTCTGGTCATTTTTTATTTAAAAAAAAAAAAGCTTTGGGAAGTAGTCTATTTAAACACACGTAAGCAGCTGTTCCTCCCTTTCCACCTGCTTTCATCCCTTTCTCAGCAGATGGGATCATCATCCATTTTATTGAAATAACAATAATACCCCCAAGTTTTGTTTTGTTTCATTTTGTTTTTATGAGACGGACTCTTACTCTGTCTCCCAGGCTGAAGTGCAGTGGCACGATCTTGGCTCACTGCAACCTCTGCCTCCTGGGTTCAAACGATTCTCCTGGCTCAGCCTCCTGAGTAGGTGGGATTACAGATTTGCGCCACCATGCCTGGCTAATTTTTGTATTTTTAGTAGAGATGGGGTTTCACCATGTTGCCCAGGCTGGTCTTGAACTCCCGACCTTAAGTGATCCACCAGCCTTGGCCTCCCAAAGTGCTGGGATTACAGGCATGAGCCACTGTGCCCCGCAAATACCGCCAAGTTTACTGACCTCTTAACTATGTTAGATGCCAATCTAAGCCCCTTTAATGGATTATCTCCATTGTCACAATAACTCCTACGAAGATAGTACTGGGACTATCCTATTTTACATATAAGGAAAGTTAGGCTCAGAGATATGGAATGATTGACAAATGTCCAACAGTAGAGCTGAGATGTGAATCCATGTTAACCTGATCCCCAAATTGAAGCTCTTACCCACTTTTACTGAAAAGCCGTTTGGATTCTTTAGTCCACCTACTTTCTATCTCTGCTTAATGGGCTGCAAGATGCCCATTTCACTGAACTTGTTTCTCCTAAGGACCTGCAGGCTGCTTTGCTGAATGCTCCTCCTCCGCCTTGATCCTGCTTTGGCATTCCAAACTGCTGGGTTTGTGATCCTTTTTGGATCTCTTCACTAGTTTATGGGGCTCTGCATGCTCTTGGCTCTCCAACAACCACTAGAACTTCTTACTGACCGGCTGTTTTCATTCCATCCCTTAAATGTCAGCATGTTCTGAGGTTCTGTCTCAGCCTTCCTTGCAGGCTACACATTCTCCCTGGGTGACCTCATGTCCTCTCGTAGCTCCAGAATCGTTGCTTCTTAAATAATCTCTCTGTTAATTTTTTAGTCCCTGCTTTTATTTGAAGCTTCTGATCTGCCTTTCTAACCAGTGGGTGTTCTGGGAGTGCTTCAAAATCAGCTTGACTCAACTCAATGTCATCTTTCCCGAAATACTCTCTTCACCCGTGTTCCTTAGCCTAGTAGTAAAAACAGTCTACCCAGTCTGGACTTTAGTTAACAAATTCTGTTTATTTCTCCAAAGCAGTACCAGCGATTATTCCTCTGGAAAGACCTCTGTCTCAGCTCAATTTTCCTCTACCATTTGACTGGACTATTGCAATAATTTCCTAAGGGTCTCTCTGTCTTCAGAATCCTCACTGCTATCCATCTCCAAAGACATAGACCTATTTATGTTATTTGGCATCTTGAATTTTTCCTGCTATATATTTCATAAATACCAGATTTCTTGGACTAGCATTCCATGACCTTCTCATATTGCCCACACTGACTTTGCTAAGTTTATTTAATTATTAAAAGTACTATGTGGGGCTGGGCGCAGTGGCTCACTCCTATAATACCAGCACTTTGGGAGGCTGACGCTGGAGGATTACTGGAGCCAGGAGTTTGAGACCAGCCTGGGCAATATGGAGAAACCTTGTCTCTACGAAGAAAAATGCAAAAATTAGCTGGATGCGGTGGCACGCCTGTAGTCCCAGCTACTTAGGAGGCTGAGGTGGGAGGATCGCTTGAGCCCAGGATATGGAGGATGCAGTGAGCTGTGACTGCACCACTGCACTACAGCCTGGGCAACAGAGCGAGATCCTGTATCAAAGTCCCAGCTACTTAGGAGGCTGAGGTGGGAGGATCGCTTGAGCCCAGGATATGGAGGATGCAGTGAGCTGTGACTGCACCACTGCACTACAGCCTGGGCAACAGAGCGAGATCCTGTATCAAAAAAATAAATAAATAAAATAAAAAGTACTATGTGATAATTACTGATAGAAAAGCTCTTCATTTTTATAGGTTTATCTTACAACCATACAGCATCTGAAATTTCTACTTTAAGTGGTAGATATAATGGATCACAGTGATAGATTCTCCTGCATCAGCCTCCCAAGTAGCTGGAATTACAGGTGCCCACCATGATGCCCAGCTATGATGTTAAGCCATTCTTGTGCTCCTAATATAAGTGTATTATTCTTTTGATGAACTGATGAGCTTAATTTTCTAATATTTATTTACAAATGTGTATCTGTATTCATAAATGAATTTGTCTGTGGCTTTCTGTTTTTGTGCTTTCTTCATCAGGCTTAACTAATAAGGTGATTCTAATTTCATAAAAGTAGTAATATCAAATATGTATGCATGTGGGCCTTAATAGGCACCAGACACTGTTCTAAGCAGTTGATAGTTATAAACTCACTTAATCTTCACAACAATCTCCATGAAGTAGAGTTTCCTCGTCATTTAACAGAGAAGGGAGTGGAGAAAGGAAGAGAATAAATAACTTGCCCAAGGTCACACAGCCAGTAAGTATTATAGCCATGACTTGAACAAGGCAGAATGGTTCTAAGAGCTTTGTGCAAAGTGCTTTGCTAACTTCTTCGAAGTCATAGTCAACTTGGGGAGTTTCATTTTTTTCTGTAGTCTAAGATACTTTAATAATATAGGAAGAATTATCTTTTTTTTAAGGCTTGGTAAACTTGGATGTAAATCTATGCAAGTGTGGTGATTTTTAAAATGGTAGATCTTGACCTTTCCAATCGTTCATGTTATTGATCTGTTTAGGTTTTCTTCTTCTTTGGTCAATTACTTAAGTTTTAATTTTGTTAGACTTTCTTCAATTTCCCTTTGATATTTAAATCTGTTGCCATGGCCTTGCACAGATTTGAAGATATTGCTCCATTGTTTTCCAGTTAATATTTGTTGTTAATTAAAAATGTGATGCCAATCAGATTATTGTCTCCCCTATACTTTCTATATTGATTTCTTTCTTTTTCTTTCTAATTCTTTTTTTTCTCTCTCTCTCTTTTTAGTAGAGTTTCTCTGTGTTGCCCAGGCTGGAGTGCAGTGGCGTGATCTTGGCTCACTGCAACCTCCACCTCCCAGGTTCAAGCAATTCTCCTACCTCAGCCTCCCTAGTAGCTGGGATTACAGGTGTGTGCCACCATGCTTGGGTAATTTTTGTATTTTGTATTTTTTTTTTTAATGGAGTCTAGCTCTGTTGCCCAGGCTGGAGAGCAGTGGTGTGGTCTCGGCTCACTGCAACCTCTGCCTCCCAGGTTCAAGTGATTTTCCTGCCTCAGCCTACTGACTAGCTGGGATTACAGGCACCCACCATGATGCCCAGGTAATTTTTGTATTTTTAGTAGAGATGGAGTTTCACCATGTTGGCCAGCTGGTCTCGAACTCCTGACCTCAAGTGATCCTCCTGCCTTGCCTCCCAAAGTGCTGAGATTGCAGGTGTGAGCCACTGTGCCTGGCCTAATTTTTGTATTTTGGTAGAGATGGGATTTTTCCATGTTGGCCAGGTTGGTCTTGAACTCCTGGCCTCAAGTGATCCACCCACCTCGGCCTCCCAAAGTGCTGGGATTATAGGCATGAGCCACTGCATCTGGCTTCTTATATTGGTTTCATGTTGATGCTGTAGCAAATTACTACAAATTTAGTGACTTGAAACAACACAAATGAATAGGTGTGTAGAAGTCTGAAGTGGGTCTCACCGGGCTGAAACCGACAGGTGGGTAGGGCTGCATTCCTTCTGGGGGCTTTAAGGAGAATACATTTATTTGTCTTGGTCAGTTGTAGAGGTGATGCATCTCCAGCCCAGAAATAGGGCTTTATAGACAGGGAGTCACACTCTCTGTCTCTCTCTCTTTTTTTTTTTTTTTTTTTTTTTTTTGAGACAGAGTCTTGCTCTGTCACCCAGCCTGGAGCGCAATGGTGCGATCTCAGCTCACTGCAACCTCCTCCACCTCCCAGGTTCAAGCGAATCCTCCTACCTCAGCCTCCTAAGTATCTGGGATTACAGGTGCCCACCCCTACTCCTGGCTAATTTTTGTATTTTTAGTAGGGACAGGTTTTCACCATGTTTGTCAGGCTGGTCTCGAACTCTTGACCTCAAGTGATCGGCCCGCTTTGGCCTCCCAAAGTGCTGGGATTACAGGCATGAGCCACTGTGCCCAGCCTATCTCTTAATCTCCATTACTTTCTAGGGCAAATGATACAAACTTGGTCTTCTCTTCAGGGCTCATGCAGTTATTTCCCTAATCAACTTATCCCATAAATCACATGACCTACTTCAGAGACCAAATAATTACAAATAAAAGATTCCCCCCAAACCATAGATTCTTGTTGGCAATGAGCATCAGTTGAGCTCAGATTCGGTAAAAAGTAAAAATGAAAAAAGATCCATAGCTATAGATTTCTGTTAGCCTTTTTTCTATGGTTTTTGGTAACCACTGTCCAAAATACCAATAATGTAAGTATAAACCCTTCCCAATGCAAAAAGACCAGTCTTTTTTGTTTCGAAAGCCAATTTCTACCTGGTGGGATTTTTTTTTTTTTAAACAAAATCTAAAGTCTTCTTCTCTTTTAAATATTTCTGACTTGGAAAACTGGTAGGTAGAATAGCTGCTGGCAGCCCAAATGCTCAAAATCACTTCTTCATTCTTTCAATGGTTGCTTTGTTCATTTAAAACACTAACAACCACTGCAAACCATGATGGAGTGCCCACTGTGTTCCATGTGCTGAGGTTACAGAAATGATGAAGCCTGAAGGCCTTGAAATGCCTATAATCATGCATGACTTCCCCCTCCACCTTTCTCTCTCCCACTGCCTTCCTTTGGAGCTATTATACATTGGTCTCCTCTGAGTTCCTTAAAGCATCTAGATCCCTTTTGCCCAAGGCCTCTGCATGGAGAAGTTCTATTTTCTTGAAAAGCCTTTTCCTTTCTTCTGCCATCCAGGCCTCTTTCTTAGGAAAGCCTTCCCTGAGCCTCCAGTACCCGTACACCTTACTCACTGGGCACCCTGTACTTCTCCTTCCAGGCATGTAGCTCAAATGTAATTAACAATGTAAATAACTTTGGTTTATTGTGTGTTCCCTCCTGAACCCAAGTTTCATGCAAGCAGAGGCCATTATGTCTTTTTTGCTACCGTATCTCCAGTGCTTAGCACAGGGCAGACCATTGGTGCTCAATAAATGCTTGACAGGGAAGGAATGTGGACAGTTTCCCTACCCTTGGGATGTCCCCAATCCGGTGGGTTTGCTCGTCACCACCTGAGCATGATTTCACCATGTTGGCCAGCGCATTAGTGTTTTTCAAAACAGGCCTCAGATCACTAGCGTCAGGATCACCTGTGGTGCTAGTTAAAATGCAGCTTCCTTGGCTATCCCAGGTATACTGATTCAGAATCTTCAGCAAAAGTAATATGTAATTTATATAATTAAAAAGTACTTAAACGTCTTTTTTTTAATTTTTTATATATTTATTTTTTGAGACGGAGTCTAGCTCTGTCGCCCAGGCTGGAGTGCAGTGGCGCAATCTCGGCTCACTACAAGTTCCGCCTCCCAGGTTCACGCCATTCTCCTGCCTCAGCCTCCCGAGTAGCTGGGACTACAGGCCCCCGCTGCCACGCCCGGCTAATTTTTTTGTATTTTTGGTAGAGACGGGGTTTCACCGTGCTAGCCAGGATGGTCTCGATCTCCTGACCTCGTGATCCACCCACCTCAGCCTCCCAAAGTGCTGGGATTACAGGCGTGAGCCACCGCGCCTGGCCTTAAACGTCTTAAAATTATTTTTAATGAGATATTTATTTATTTATTTAGAGACAGAGTCTCACTCTGTTGCCAGGCTGGAGTGCAGTGGCGCAATCTCAGCTCACTGCAACCTCCACCTCCCGGGTTCAAGCGATTCTCCTGCGTCAGCCTCCAGAGTAGCTGGGCATGCACCACCACGCCCAGCTAATTTTTGTATTTTTTAGTAGAGACGGGGTTTCACCATGTTGGCCAGGATGGTCTTGATCTCTTGAACTCATGGTCTGCTCACCTCAGCCTCCCAAAAATAATTATTTTTAAATAATATGTTGAGATAACCTAAAAGAAAGTCACATTTCATATTAATTTTTCATATATGTCTGGACTCTCTATTCTGTTCCATTTGTTTTTGTTAGTTAGTTAGTTTGTTTGTTTGTTTTTGAGACGGAGACTCGCTCTGTCACCCAGGCTGGAGTGCAGTGGCACGATCTCGGCTCACTGCAACCTCTGCCTCGCAGGTTCAAGCTGTTCTCCTGCCTCAGCCTCCCTAGTAGCTGGGACTACAGGCATGCGCCACCAGGCCTGGCTAATTTTTGTATTTTGAGTAGAGACAGGGTTTCACCGTGTTGGCCAGGCTGATCTCAAATGGGAATACAGGCGTGAGCCACCACGCCCGGCCATAAGTTTTTGTTTCTCTTGGGAAAAAAGCTAGCAGTGGGATTTCTGGATCATATGTCAGCTGTATATTTAACTTTAAAAGAAACTGCCAAACTGTTTTTTAAAGTAGATGTATCATTTTAATTCCTACCAAGAATGTATGAGAGTTCTGGATGCTCCACATCCTTTGTCAGCACTTGGTATTCAGTTTTTATTTTAGCTATTCTAATTGTTATGTACGGGTGACTCATTAGGGCTTTAATTTACATTTTCCTAATGACCAATAATGTTGAGCATCTTTTCATGGACTTACTTTCCATTTGTATATCTTCTTTGGTGAAGTGTCTGTTCAAATCTTTGCCCATTTTTATTTTGTTTTTTCAAGTCATCCATGGAATACAAACTGTATTAGTTGGGTCTCACACTGCTATGAAGAAATACCCGAGACTGGGTCACTTATAAAGGAAAAAGTTTAATTGACTCACAGTTCCACATTGCTGGGGAGGCCTTAGGAAACTTACAATCATGGCAGAAGGCAAAGGAGAAGTAGGCACCTTCTTCACAGGGCAGCAGGATGGAGTGAGTGCAAGCACAGGGAATGCCAGATGGTTATAAAACCAGCGGATCTCCTGAGACTCACTCACTATCATGAGAACCGTATAGGGGAAACTGTCCTCATGATCCAAATACCTCCACCTAGTCTGCCCTTGACACATGGGGATTATGGGGATTACAATTCAAGATGAGATTTGGGTAGGGAAACAAAGCCTAATTACAAACTTTGCCTTTATTTTTATTATTATTATTTTTTTGACTAGATCTTCCTCTGTCACCCAGGCTGGAGTTCTGTGACATGATCATCATAGCTCACTGCAACCTTGAACTCCTGGGCTCAGGTAGTCCTCCCACTTCAGCGTCCTGAGTCACTGGGATTACAGGTGTATGCCACAATACCTAGCTAATTGTTAATTTTTTGTAGAGATGATGTCTCCCTACATTGCCCAGGCTGGTCTTGAACTCTGAGCCTCAAGTGATCCTCCCACCTCAGCCTCCCAAAGTACTGGGACTACAGGCAAGAGCCACTGTGCCCAGACCACCATTTTTTAAGTTAGGTTGATTGTCATTTTATAATTGAATTGTGACAGTTCTTCACATATTCTACATAGAAGTTTTTATCGAATAGGCATTTTGTTTTGTAAATATTTTCTTCCAGTCTGTGGTTCACATTTTTCATTTTCTTAACCATGTCTCTCAAAGATCAGAAGTTTTAAATTTTGAAATCAAACTTACTAATTTTTTCACTTATGATTTGCAATTGGGTATCATATTTAAGAAAATTTTCTCATTCCAGAGTCACAAAGATTTTTTCCTATGTTTTATTCTAAAAGATGTATGGTTTTAAATATTACATTTAGGTCTAAAATCCATTGGTGCAAGGTATGGGTTGAGATTCATTTTTGTTCTTTTCTTGGAGCAGGGACTAAGTCTCTCTCTGTGGCCCAGGCCGGGGTGCAGTGGGATGATCTCGGCTCACTGCAGCCTTAGTCTCCTAGGTTCAAGCAATTCTGCCTCAGCCTCCTGAGTAGCTGGGACTACAGGCGTGCACCAACACTCCCTGCTAATTTTTTTGTATTTTTAGTAGAGACAGAGTTTCACCATGTTGGCCAGGCTGGTCTTGAGCCACTGGTCTCAGATGATCTGCCCACCTCGGCCTCCCAAAGTGTTGGGATTACAGGTATGAGCCACCGCGCCTGGCCAGAGGCAAGGAGTTTGAGACCAGCCTGGGCAACATAGTGAGACTCCATTTCTACAAAAAAAAAATTTTTTTTTAATTAGCTGGGCATGGTGGCATGCACCTGTAATCCCAGCTACTCACGAGGCTGAGGTGGGAGGATTACTTGAGCCCAGGAGATTGAGGCTGCAGTGAGCTATGATTGCACCACTGCATTCCAGCCTGAGTAGCAGAGCAAGATACTGTCTCGGCAGGCAGATCACCTGAGGTAGGGAGTTCGAGACCAGCCTGATCAATATAGAGAAACCCCATCTCTACTAAAAATACAAATTAGCTGGGTGTGGTGGCACATGCCTATAATCCCAGCTACTTGGGAGGCTGAGGCAGGAGAATCACTCGAACCCGGGAGGCAGAGGTTGCAGTGAGCCGAGATCACGCCATTGCACGACAATTGCCCAGACAGACATTGCCTGTGCAACAAGAGCAAAACTCCGTCTCAAATAAATAAATAACGAATATAAATTTCCAGTTGTTCATTCCCAGTATATAGAAATACAATTGATTTTTATATATTGACCTTGTATCTTGTGACTTTGCTAAACATTTCCTAATAGAGTTTTATTTCTTCCTTTCCAATTTGTATGCCTTTAATCTATTTTTCTTGTCTTATTTTACTGGCTAGGATCTCCAGTATAATTTGTAATAGAAGTAGAAAAAACAAACATCCTTGCCTTTTTCCCAATCTTAGGACAGAAGCATTCAGTAATATCACCTCTGCAGGATATCAGCCACACATTTTTTCGTAGAGGACTTTGTCAGGTTGAGGAATTGCACTTCTACTCTTAGTGGGCTGACAGTTTTTAGCGTGAGTGGATGTTGCATTTCATCAAATGCTTTTCCTACATCACGTAAGATGGTCATGGGGCTTTTATTCTTTTTCTGTTGATATGGTAAATTACACTGATTGATTTCAACATTGAGTGTTGAATCAACACTGCATTCCACAATTAGCCCCATTTAGTTGTATTTATTTTCCTTTTCATATTAGCTAGATTAGATTTGCTGATATTCTGTTGAAGACTTTTGTATCTATATTCATGAAGAATACTGGTCTATGTTTTCTTATGTCTTTGATTAAAGTATCAGGGTAATACTGATAAGATGAACTAGGAAGTGTTCTCTTCAATCTTCTGAAAGAGTTTGTGTTAAATTGGTATTATTTCTTTCTTAAATATTTGGTAGAATTTACCAGTAAAACCATCTGGGTCTGGAGTTTTCTTGGAAAAGATCTAAGTTGTCAGATTTATTGATATAAAGATTTCATAATATTTCCGTATTATCCTTTATATATCTGCAGAATCTGGACTGATGCCTTGTTTTTCATTTCTGATACTGGAAATTCATGTCTTCTTTTTTTCTTGACTAGTCTAGCAAGACGTTTATCGCTTTTATTGGTGTTTTCAAAGAAACAGTTTTGGCATAATTGATTTTGTTTTTTAAATGTTATTGGTTTCTGATCTTATTATTTCCTCCTTCTGTTTAAATTGGGTTTGATTTGCTCTTTTTCTCATTTTTCTAACTTCTTAATAAAAGCACAGATCATTGATTTGAGCCCCTTTCTTCTTGTTTTGCTTCTTCTTTTTCTTTTTTCACACAGGGTCTTGCCTGTCACCTAGGCTGCAATGCAGTGGCATGATCACAGCTCACTGCAGCCTTGACCTTCCCGGGCTCAGGTGGTCCTCCCACCTCAGTCTCCCAAGTAGCTGAGACTACAGGCACACACCGCCATGTCCGGCTAATTTTTGTATTTTTTGTAGAGATGTGGTTTCGCCATGTTTCCCAAGCTGGTCTCAAACTCCTGGGCTCAAGTGATCCTCCTGCCTCGGCCTCCCAAAGTGCTAGGATTACAGGCATGAGCCACTGCACCTGGCCAAGACCCTTTTCTAATATTAGCATTTTATGCCAAACATTTCCCTCTGTGCACTGTTTTTGTTACATCCCATGAATTTTGAACAGAAGTTTTTACTTCTGTTCAATTCAAAACATTTTCTAATTTCCTTTGTGAGTTCCTCTTTGATTTATGAGTTATTTCTAAGTGTATATTAAAACTTCTAGATATTTGAGAATTTCCCAAGTATATTTCTTATTGGTTTCTAATTCAATTCCATCGTGATCAAAGGAGATACTTTATATGGTTACTATTCTTTTACATTTGTTATGGTTTGCTTTATTTCCCAGAAGATGGTCTATCTTGGTAAATGTTCCATTTGACTGAAAAAGAACATGTATTCTCTTGTGGTTGGGCAGTGTGTTCTATAAATGTCAATTGGGCCAAGTTTTGTTAGAGTATTGCTTACATCTTCTATATACTTATTGGTTTTCTGTCTACTTGTTCCGTTGATTTATTTTTTTGTTTGTTTGATTTTGGTGTTTTGTCTTTGTGGGGTTTTTTCTTTTTTTTTTTTTGAGACAGGGTCTTGCTCTGTTGCCCAGGTTGGAGTGCAGTGACATGATCACTGCTTACTGCAGCCTCAACCTCCTGGGCTCAAATGATTCTCTTGCCTCAGCCTCCCAAGTAGCTGGGACTATAGGCACATGCCACCATGTCTGACTAATTTGTTGTTGCTGTTGTTGTTGTTTTTAGTAGAGACAGGATCTCACTATGTTGCCCTAGCTGGTCTCTAACTCTTGAGCTCACACTATCATCCCACCTCGGCCTCCCAAAGTGCTGGGATTACAGATGTGAGCCACCCTGCCCAGTGTTTTCTGTTAATTTCTAAAAGAGAAGTATTGAAATCTCCACCTGTAATTGTGGATTTGTCTATTTCTCCATTCTCTTCTATCAGCTTTTGCTTCATGAATTTTGAAGCTCTGTTGTTATGCACATACATGTTTAGGATTATTTTATCTTCTTGATTAATTGACCCATTTTTCATAATATGGTCTTCCTCTTTATCATTGATAACATTCCTTCTTCTGAAGTCTACTTTGTCTACTATGAATACAGTTACTGCAACTTTGCTTAGTGCGTTTGCCTGTTTTTTGTTTGTTTCTGTTTTTGTTTTTTTTAGACAGAGTGTCGCTCTGTCGCTAGGCTGGAGTGCAATGGCATGATCTCGGCTCGCTGCAACCTCTGCCTCCCAGGTCCAAGAGATTCTCCCACCTCAGCCTCTGGAGTAGCTGGGACTATAGGCGCCTGCCACAGTGCCCAGCTAATTTTTGTGTTTTTATTAGAGAGGGGGTTTCACCAATTGGCCAGGCTGGTCTCAAACTCCTGACCTTGTGATAGGCCCGCCTCGGCTTCCCAAAGTGCTGGGATTACAGGCGTGAGCCACCGTGCCCGACCTTGCCTGTTATTTTTTTAAAGTCTTTTCACTTTTTTTTTTTTTTTGAGACTGAGTCTCACTCTATTGCCCAGGCTGGAGTTCAGTGGCGCAATCTCGGCTCACTGCACCTCTGCCTCCCAGGTTCAAGCAATTCTCCTGCCTCAGTCTCCCAAGTAGCTGGGATTACAGCAGCCTGCTATCATACCCGGCTAGTTTTTGTATTTTTAGTAGAGATGAGGTTTTACCATGTTGGCCAGGCTGGTCTCAAACTCCTGACCTCAAGTGATCTGCCCACCTCGGCCTCCCAAAGTGCTGGGATTGCAGGCATTAGCCACTGGACCCAACCTAAGTCTTTTTACTTTTAACATGTCTATATCTTTATTTATTTATTTATTTATTTATTTATTTTCCTTTTGGGAGAACAGGGTCCTGCTATGTTGCCCAGGCAGGTCTCCAACCCCTGGGCTCAAGTAATCCTCTCACCTCCGCCTCCCTAAGTGCTGGGATTACAGGTATGAGCCACTGTGCCTGATAACATGTCTATATTTTTCTTTTTTTTTTCTTTTTTCTTTTTTTTTTTGAGATGGAGTCTTGCTCTGTCACCCAGGCTGGAGTGCAGTGGCACACTCTTGGTTTACTGCAACTTCTACCTCCTGGGTTGAAACAACTCTCCTGCCTCAGCCTCCCAAGTAGCTGGTACTACAGGTGCCTGCCACCACCCCTGGCTAATTTTTGTATTTTTAGTAGAGATGGGGGTTTCACTATGTTGGCCAGGCTGGTCTGGAACTCCTGACCTCAAATGATTCACCCACCTTGGCTTCCCAAAGTGCTGGGATTACAGGCGTGAGATATCACGCCCAGCCAACATGTCTATATCTTTTTTTTTTTTTTTTTTTTTTTTTTTTTGAGACGGAGTCTTGCTCTGTTACCCTGGCTAGAGTGCAGTGGTGCGATCTTGGCTCATTGCACCCGCCGCCTCCCGGGTCCAAGTGATTCTCCTGCTTCAGCCTCCCAAGTAGCTGAGATTACAGGCACCCGCCACAACACCTGGCTAATGTTTGTATTTTTTTAAATAGAGATGAGGTTTCACCATATAGGTCAGGCTGATCTTGAACTCCTGACCTCAAGTGATCCACCCGCCTCGGCCTCCCAAAGTGCTGGGATTATAGACAGGCATGAGCCACTGTGCCTGGCCTATTTATGCTCTTAAAGGTTATTAATATCTGATATATATATGTTGACGTGCAGTGGTGTGATCACAGCTCACTGCAACTTTGAACTCCTGACTCAAGCAATCCTCCTGCCTCAGCCTCCCAAGTAGCTGGGCCTACAGATGCATGCCACCACACCCCGCTAATTTTTATTTATGTATTTATTTGTAGAGTTCTCACTACGCTGCCCAGGCTGGTCTTGAACTCCTTGATTACAAGCATGAGCCACCATGCCCAGCCTGGTGGAAATATTTTATAATGGTATGTGACTGTTCATCAATTTCCAAATTTGTGTTCAGTGATATCACATTGATATCTTGAAACTGGCCATGGTAGAAGTATTTATACAATGGAAATCAGTATAAATTATTGTGTTGGTTTATTAATTGACTGAACAAGGGGGTCAGCAAACCTTTTCTATAAAGAGCCAGATAATATTTTAGGCTTTGTGAGCCATGTACAGTCTCTGCTTCTTTGGTGGTTAGATCTCAGGCTGTACAAAAAAACAGGCCATGGGTTGGATTTGGCCCACAGGCTATAGTTTGCCTACCCCGGGTCTAGACTTAAGAAAGTAGTAAAAAAGATGCTTGTAAAGACTGAACCCAAAACTGTCATTTCTTTAGCCATTACACTGCAAATGCACAACTAATTAAGGAAATATTCTTCCCAGTATTCAAAACCTATCATTTAATTCAGCAAAGAAGTTGCTCACATCACTAGTGACCAAGTGAAGTTCTGAAGTGGGTCTTCATTGTTTCACTTTTGTCTTACTCATTAAGATAAACAAAAATATAAAACAACATTTAGGTTGGAACTACACTCCTTGGTCAATGACAGGAGTAACTTGAATAGTAATCAAGCATTTATTCAGTCTGGATTTTGTGACTCTGTTGATTCGTAAAATTTATAGTAAGTTACATATGTATAGAATGCATAATATTTTTTTTTCGAAGAGTCAGTTTTAAGCATTTCCAGCACACCAATGTCTACACATGTCCATCTGAGCTGATGATCACTCTTGGCTAAGAAAATCTGAACAGGCACAGAGAATCTGAATCAGTTAGATGAAGGTGGGCGACTGAACTCGTGTGTTGGTGGGGTGGGGGAAGGGGCCAGGTGCAGTGGCTCATGCCTGTAATCCCAACACTTTGGGAGGGTGAGGTGGGTGGATCATTCGAGGCCAGGAGTTCGAGACCAGCCTGGCCAGCATGGTGAAGCCCCATCTCTACTAAAGATACAAAAGAATTAGCTGGATGTGGTCAATTGCACACATGTATCCCAGCTACTTGGGAGGCTAAGGTGGGAGAATGGCTTGAACCCAGGAGGCAGAGGTTGCATTGAGCCTAGATTATGCCACTTCATCCAGCCTGGGCAATAGAGTGAGACTCTATCAAAAAAAAAAAAAAAGAAAAAAAAATGGGAGAAGAAGAAAAAGAGAGACAGAGAAATGAAGCAGAGGTGTCAGAAACAGCAAAAGTCACCTCAGTCCCTGCTTTCCCACTCCAGTCTTTGTATAGCTTAACCATGATTTCCTGTTCCTGGATGCCTATGAGTTTGCCTACTATATACTTCCAAAAAACCTCTTTAAAATCACTGAAATTGAATTCCCTTTTCTTGACCCTAAGAGTGTGCCATATAAATCTGGGTTATTCTCTAATTCTGGTCTTGAATTTCCCAAATCTGATCTTTTTCTTTTTTTTCTTTTTTTTTGAGACGGAGTCTCACTTGCCCAGGCTAGGGTGCAGTGGCGTGATCTCCAATCACTGCAACCTCGGTCTCCTGGGTTCAAGTAATCCTCCTGCCTCAGCCTCCAGAGTAGCTGGGACTACAGATGTGCACTACCATGCCCGGCTAATTTTTTTTTTTTTTTTTTGAGTTGGAGTTTCACTCTTGTTGCCCAGGCTAGAGTGCAATGGCACGATCTTGGCTCACCGCAACCTCTGCCTCCCAGGTTCAAGCGATTCTTCTGCCTCAGCCTCCTGAGTAACTGGGATTACAGGTGCCCGCCACCACGCCTGGCTAATTTTTTGTGTTTTTACCAGAGATGAAGTTTCGCGCTGTTGCCCAGGCTGGTTTTGAACTCCCGAGCTCAGGCAATCCACCTACCTTGGCCTCCCAAAGTGCTAGGATTGCAGGCATGACCAACCGTGCCTGGCCAATTTTTGTATTTTTTGTACAGATGGAGTTTCACCATGTTGCCCAGGCTGAGATCTTGAACTCCTGAGTTCAAGTGATCCTCCCACCTTGGCCTCCCAAAATGCTGGGATTACAGGTGTGAGCCAGGCTGGTCTTGAACTCCTGACCTCAAGTGATCTACCCACCTTGGCCTCCCAAAGTGCTGGGATTATAGACATGGGCCACCGCGCCTGGCCTGTCATTTTTTTTTTTCTTTTGAGACAGCGTGGTGGAAATACTTTATAATGGTATGTGACTACTCATCAATTTCCAAATTTGTGTTCAGTGATATCACATTGATATCTTGAAACTGACCATGGTAGAAGTCTCACTCTGTGGCCCAGGCTAGAGCACAGTGGCTTGATCACAACTCACTGCAGCCTCGAACTCCTGGGTTTGGGTGATCCTCCCACTCACCCTCTTGAGTAGCTGGGACTACAGGCATGGACCACCATGCCTGGCCAATTTTTTGTATTATTATTTCTTTTTGTAGAGACTGGGTTTAGTAATTTTGCCCAGGCTGGTCTTGACCTCCTGGCCTCAAGCAGATTTGCCCACCTCAGCCTTCCAGTGCTGAAATTACAGGCGTAGGCACCATGCTGACCTCTTACTTTTTTGATAATAGCCATTTCTTTTTAAGACGGAGTCTTGCTCTGCCACCTAGGCTGGAGTGCAGTGGCATGAGCTTGGCTCACTGCAATCTCTGCCTCCTTAGTTCAAGCGATTCCTCTGCCTCAGCCTCCTGAGTAGCTGGGATTACAGCATCTGCCACTACACCCAGCTAATTTTTTGTATTTTAGTAGAGACAGGGTTTCACTATGTTGGCCAGGATGGTCTCAATCTCCTGACCTCATGATCCGCCTGCCTTGGCCTCCCAAAGTGTTGGGATTACAGGCGTGAGCCACTGCGCCCAGCCAAAATAGCCGTTCTAATAGGTGTGACGTGATACCTCATTGTGGACTTATTTATTTATTTATTTATTTATTTATTTATTTATTTATTTATTTTTGAGATGGAGTCTTTCTCTGTCACCCAGGCTGGAGTACAATGGCATGATCTCGGCTCATGCAACCTCCACCTCCCGGGTTCAAGCAATTCTCCTGCCTCAGCCTCCTGAATAGCTGGGATTACAGGTGCCCGCCACCACGCCTGGCTAATTTTTATATTTTTAGTAGACACGGGGGTTTCACCACATTGGCCAGGCTGGTCTAGAACTCCTGACCTCAGTTGATCCGCCTGCCCTCAGCCTACCAAAGTGCTGGGATTATAGGCATGAGCCACCACACCTGGCCTTCATTGTGGTTTTAATTTGTATTTCCTTGATAATTAGCGATGTGGAACATTTTTTTCATATATCTGTTGGCCATTCATATGTCTTCTGTTGAGAAATAGAAAATCTGTTCACATCCTTTGCTCATTTTTTAGTCATGTTTTCTCACTATTGAGTTCTTTTGAGTTCCTTATATATTGTGGATATTAGCCCCTTGTCAGATATATAGTTTGCAAATATTTTACCCTACTCTGTGGATTGTCTCTTCACTTTGTTAATTATTTCCTTTGCTGTGCAGAAGCTCTTTAGTTTGACCTAATCTCTTTTGTCTATTTTTGCTTTAGCTGCTTATGCTTTTGGAGTCCTACCCAAGAAATAATTGACCAGACCAATGTTCTGCAGCTTTCTCTTTTGTTTTTTTCTGGCAGTTTTACAGTTTCAGGCTTTATGTTTAAGTTGTTACTTCATTTTGAGTTGATTTTTATATACGGTGAGAGCTAAGGGTTTAATTTCTGGGGTTTTTTTGTTTGTTTGTTTGTTTTTGAGACAGAGTCTCCCTCTGTCACCAGGCTGGAGTGCAGTAGCATGATCTTGGCTCACTGCAACCTCTGCCTCCTGGGTTCAAGTGATTCTCCTGCCTCAGCCTCCCGAGTAGCTGGGACTACAAACATGCACCACCACGCCCGGCTAATTTTTGTATTGTTAGTAGAGACGAGGTTTCACCATGTTGGCCAGGATGCTCTCGATCTCTTGACCTCATGATCTGCCCGCCTCAGCCTCCCAAAGTGTTAGGATTACAGGCATGAGCCACTGTGCCTGGCCAAAGGGTCCAATTTCATTCTGGATGTGGATATCCAGTTTTCCCGTCACCATTTATTGAAGAGACTGTCCTTTCCCTGTTGTGTGTTCATGACACCTTTGTTGAAAATCAATTGACTGTAAATGCCTGTGTTTTTTTCTGGGCTTTCTATCCTATTCCATTGGTCTGGGGTTTTGTTGTTGTTGTTGTTGTTGTTGTTTGTTTTTCATTTTTGTTTTTGTTTTTGTTTTTTTGAGATGGCGTTTTTGCTCTTGTTGCCCAGGCTGGAGTGCAATGGCATGATCTCTGCTCACTGCAACCTCCATCTCCCAGGTTCAAGCAATTCTCCTGCCTCGGCCTCCCCAGTAGCTGGGATTACAGGCATGCACCACCACACCTGGCTAATTTTTTGTATGTTTAGTAGAGATGGGGTTTCACCACGTTGGCCAGGCTGGTCTCAAACTCCTGACCTCAGGTGATCCACCCACCTCGGCCTCCCAAAGTGTTGGGATTATAGGTGTGAACCACAGCACCCAGCCCACTGGTCTGTTTTTATGTCAGCACGATGCTGTCTTGATTACAATAGTTTATAATTTATTTTGAAATCACGTTGTGTGGTGACCTTCTCCGCTATAAAATCACAGGTGAATCTACAGATGATGATGATGCAGCATTAATGAAAAACAAAAAACTGTTGTCTCACTAATAAAATTGGTCAGAGAAGCAACATGAGGTTTAAAAAATAAAAGGGGCTGGGCATGGTGGCTCATGCCTATAATGCCAGCACTTTGTGATGCTGAGGTGGGAGGATCTCTTGAACCCGGGAAATTGAGGCTGCAGTGAGCTGTGATCGCACCACTGCACTCCAGCCTGGGCAACAGCACGAGACCTTGTCTCTGAAAAATAAATTAATAAAATAAAAATTTTAAAAATAGAAGAATAATTTTAAAAAATTAGCCAGTTGTGGTGGCACACCCCTGTGGTCCCAGCTACTCGGGAGGCTGAGGCATGAAAACTGCTTCAACCTGGGAGGCAGAGGTTGCGGTGAGCCAAGATTGTGCCACTGCACTCTAGCCTGGGTGACAGAGCAAGACTCTTTCTCAAAAAAATAAAAAATAGGGTGGGTGCAGTGGCTCATGCCTGTAATCCCAGCACTTTGAGAGGCCAAGGTGGGTGGATCACCTGAGGTCAGGAGTTCAAAACCAGCCTGGCCAACATGGTGAAACCCCGTCTCTACTAAGAATACAAAAATTAGCCAGGCGTAGTGGCCGGCACCTGTAATCCCAGCTACTCGGGAGGCTGAGACAGGAGAATTGCTTGAACCTGGGAGGCGGAGGTTGAAGTGAGACAAGATCTCGCCATTGTACTCCAGCCTGGGCCACAAGAGTGAAACTCTGTCTCAAAATAAATAAATAATAAAAAAATAAATAAAATAAAAGGAAGTGGCATGCACAGCCCATGTGGTTGGTTTTCCCAGTGGGCTCTGGGAAACCCAAACCAATCCACATATGGAAATTCATTGATGAAGAGTTACAGCTGTGTCCAAGCTACAAGACTGCTTGGAAATAGCCAACGGACAGGCCTTACACCTGATATTTAACTTTCTAATTTAGAGTCAAAAAGCTCTAAAACTTGTAGGATTTCTTTTTTGTTTTATTTGCTTTGTTTTCTAAACAAATTAGAGGTTAAAATGAACAGTTTTGCCTTCTGGTACGATGTAAACTCTATAAGAACAAACACTTGAAGTTTTGTTTGAATCCCATAACAGCCGGTGTTGGCCTTGAAGAGTCCCCATGTAGTCTGTCTTGTTTCTGACTGAAAATGGGCTCCACGCCAGAATATGAATTATTGCAATGCCCAGTGGGACCAGGCAAATCAAACTAAACATAGCATCATGAAGATCTAAAACTGCACTAGGGGGGAAAGAAGATAGAGAACATAGTTTCTCCAATGGCTTCTTATTAATTCAAATTTGTTTAACAAAGGATTCGGAAAAGTTTTATCTATGAAACCATTTAAAAAGTAAGAGATTTTGGCCAGGCACAGTGGCTCATGCCTGTAATCCCAACACTTTGGGAGGCCAAGGCGGATGGATCACTTGAGGTCAGGAGTTCGAGACCAGCCTGGCCAACATGGTAAAACCCCGTCTCTACTAAAAATATAAAAATTAGCCGGGTGTGGTGGCAGCCACCTGTAATCCCAGCTACTCCAGAGGCTGAGGCAGAAGAATTGCTTGAACCCAGGAGGTGGAGATTGCAGTGAGCCAAGATTGTGCCACTGCACTCTAGCCTGGGTGACAGAGTAAGACTCAGTCTCAAAAAGAAAAAAAAAAGTAAGATATTTTATCAAACAGTTTTGATTCTTTCAAATTATGGATAGCTGAGTCACCCCTACCTTCCAGTTGCTCATACCAGAGGAAGCTGACATGTCAACCTGTGATCACAATGCCTGGTGAAAAATGCAACAGCTACAACAGAGGACCAAGGATGGGGACAAAGGCACAAAGGATAGGCACGTACATGTGTGTACTTGTAATAATTTATCTTGAAATTACCATCCAACAGGTTTTTATTTTTTTTTTAGAGTCTGAGTCTTTCTCTGTTGCCCAGGCTGGAGTGCAGTGGCACAATCATGGCTCACTGCAGCCTTGAACTCCTGGGCTCCAGTGATCCTCCCACCTTAGCCTCCCAAATAGCTAGGACTACAGGCACGTGCCACCACACCCAGCTAATTTTTTTATTTTTTGTAGAGACAGGGTCTCGCTATGTTGCCCAGGCTGGTCTCAAACTTGTGGCCTCAAGCAATTCCCCCGCCTTCGCGTCTCAAAGTGCTGGGATGACAGGGGTGAGTCACTGCATCTGGCCCATCCAACAGGTTTTAAACAAAGTGGTAGGATCTGTGCATTCCTTTCTAGTACTAAACTTACTTCCATTCAACACACTTAGAGGTTACAAGAGGAAACCAGGGTTAATAATATTATTCAGAAGTGACATGGCCTGATTTTCTGCTAAGAACTTTCACGAAGCCCAAAGATTCCTATGGTTCTCAGTTACATTCCAGATAGATTGTATTTTTCATTTAAATCATGCACAGTAAAAGGGGGCCCTTGATTACTTAGAGGCTGATTGTCCAGTCTGCAGCTTCTTTTTGGTGACATGGGTTATCTAAAATAGCACCTTATTAATTCTACCAATTGAGGAAAGATGTGAAAAAGTCAAACTATATGATAGAAGAAGAGGAGGCAGTTTGTTACATTTTCATACTAGAACCAATGGCTATTACCAGAACCTCTGTATATAACTTATTCATCTAAAAAAAATAGGTCCCATGTGATTATTAATGTGCTAGGCACTGGACTAAATACTGGGTATTCAATGGTAGGTGAAACTGCTAAAGTCTCTATCTTCATGGAGCCTACCTACCTCCTAGTGTGGGAGATAGGTCTTATTTAAATAGTCATAAGTTTGATTTACACATGATTATATAAGATGACTGTAGAAAGTGCTATGATAGAAAAACAAGGTATTAAATGAGAGCTCATTGTTAGAGGGTCTGGCTCATGCTGGGCAAGTGGAGGCCAGAGAATGCTCCCCAGAGGAAATATTTGAGCTGAGTTCTAAAGGACAAGTAGGCATTAACTAGGAGGGTTCTGCCTAGAATCATGTGCAAAACCTCCGGCCACCACTACCTCCTCCTCTAAAAGCCACAGCTGGAGCCAGGCATGGTGGCTTATGCCTGTAATCCCAACATTGTGGGAGCCCAAGGCAGGCAGATTGCTTGAGCCTAGGACTTCAAGACCAGCATGATCAACATGGTGAAACCCCATCTCTACAAAACATACAAAAATTAGCTGGGTGTAGTGGCGCTCAGCTGCAGTCCCAGCTACGCGGGGGGCTGAGGTGGGAGGATTGCTTGAACCTGGGAGGCAGAGGTTGCAGTGAGCCGAGATCATGCCACTACACTCCAGCCTGGGTGACAGAGCAAAACCAGAAGAAGAAGAAGATAAAAGATAAAAGCCATAGCTGGGAATGTCCTTGGTGCTCTGAACTGGATGACATTTGTTAGGCATGGCCATCCCACAGACTCACTGCTCCTTAAGATCACCCTTCAGTTATCCAAGAACTGATGGTTACCTACCCATGCTCTGCTCTTCTGCTGCTACTTTCTGGGCTCTGAGATGACCACAGAGGCCAGGGTCAAATGCTGGGCCACTCACCACATACTGATGATGCTGTCAAAATGTGGTTACCCTTCTGCTCCCCCTCAATTATCTATGGAAAACCTAATTTAAGGGGTATATGGTGTTTTGTCTGCCCGCATTTCTTCCTGTAAGAAACACGCTTTCCCCTCTTCCCTAGTAAACTGTCTCAGTCCTTACGAGTTGGTGGAGCTGGACTGCCTCACTTCCATCCCCAAGGTCAGGTACATGCCCAGATCTGGTCAGAGGACTTCATGTGTCAAGGTACAACTACTGCCTCAGCCATGAGCACTTGACTCATACAGTGCCCATTAGCATCCACCTGGGGACTTTTTCTGTGCTACTGGAACAAAAGTGCATGTTTCCTCACCATCTTGGGCTGTTAGCCCTATGTGAACATGGAGGTATCTTGCTGCCATGCGATGAAAAGCTTATACACAACGCAGAGGGTAAGTCAGAGAAACTAGTTAATGACATAATTTGAGATCCAAATCTGCCTGACTTTTCAGCTACAGAAGCCAATAAATTCCCTTTTTTTTCTTTTTTTCTTTTTTTTTGAGACAGAGTCTCACTGTCGCCCAGGCTGGAGTACAGTGGCGTGATCTTGGCTCACTGCAACTTCCACCTCCCGGGTTCAAGTGATTCTTCTGCCTCAGCCTCCAGAGTAGCTGGGACTACAGGCGTGCACTACCATGCCTGGCTAATTTTTTGTATTTATAGTACAGGCAGGGTTTCACCGTGTTGCCCGGGCTGGTTTAGAACTTCTGACCTTAGGTGATCCACCCGCCTCGGCCTCCCAAAATGCTGGGATTATAGGCATGAGCCACTGTTCCCAGCCCGAATTCCTTTTTTATTTAAGCTAACCTGCATTGAATTTCTGTCACTTGTAGCCAAAGTGGTTTGAATAATGCACCTTTCCAATTGGCACTTGTGCCCAAATTACCATAAACTGGCTGTCTCTGACCACTCTAGGGAAAGGATTCAGTGATTTCTAATTGACCACTACCAGTGAAGACATGGGAGGTTTGAAATAGCTGAGCCCAGATTCTGAGAACGACAGGACAAGGTCATGATTGTACTTTTGAACTTGATGTTGGAGGTGTTCACAAGCATGACGCCTCTCCTGGACTTTGTTTACTGATAGGAACCACAAGATAGACGAGACAGCAGAACTAGGCCAACAATGGGTGCAAGGTGCCAAAAAGGTAATAGAAACCCAAGTTCCACTTTGAAGCAGCATAAATCAGACATTTCTCAAACATTAAAAACGGAAGTGGCCTGATCAAGACCTTTAAACGGAGTAAAAAGCCACGAAGCCAAGGCCTTGAGCAGCTAGTCAGAGAATTATTGCAATATGTGCTCAGAGACACAGGGTTTCATGAAAAGCCCAGTCTCTGCCTGGCTGCAGCACCTCTGTGCTTTTTGTCCCAGCATTTGCTTAGCAGCAGAACCTCATTATCCTTCAGTGTTCTGTAGTTATAACAGATTCCAGCTTCAGGGGGAAAAAAATGGATTCCAGCTGCCAGGGGTTCTCTCTGGGAGATTTTCTATCTCTGAGACGAAATTGTCTTTTTCTCCCTTTTTTCATGGTGAGAGGGGCATGGAGTACACCTCTGATAATCTGCAGAGGCAAAGCCTTGCATGAGCATGCTGACAACCCTGCAGAGAGAAAGCCTTAGGCTGGAAGTTCAAGGGCAGCCAGGAGAATGAACATTTCGATGAATAAAGCAATTTGATAACTACCATGTTGTGGTCTAAGACCCACCACTTACAGGCTTACATGGTGATTACTGAAGCTGCAACTATTTTAATGGCTTCATCTACTTTAAAGTACTGGTGATTTTTCTACTACTTCATTTAATTGCTTGATGTTTCTTGGAAGAGTTCTTCGGTCTTTCTGCTAAAATGTTATCCCAAGCTAGGAGAGATGCCATGATTTCAGAGAATTTCTTTTCCTCTATAATATTATATATTTTCCTCTGGGTTATCAATGAACCTACTGACTACTTTGAGTATTATGCCTTTAGGATGTCTTCACCTCTCATTTCCTTAACATTTTTAAATGAATCTCTGATAGAAAAATGAATCTGAAGCCTTGCTTATGCTTTGATTCATTCAACAAATATTTATTGCACACTTACTGTTTTAGATGCCTGGGATACAGAGTAAATAAATCAACAATGATCCTTGCCTTCAACAAAGCTTACATTCTGGTGGAGGCAAAGAGATAATACATAAATAAATTTAATATCATCTTTTGTAATAATAACCATTACACCTCTGCTTATGAAAAAAATTGCATTCAATTTTTGCTCACAATCTTCTTTTTTTTTTTTTTTTTTTTGAGACAGAGTCTCACTCTGCCACCTAGGCTGGAGTGCAGTGGCATAATCATACTTCACTGCAACCTCTGCCTCCTGGGCTCAAGTGACCCTCCTGCATCAGCCCCACAAGTAGCTGGGACTACAGATGCATGCCACAATGCCCAGCTAATTTTTCTATTTTTTGTAGAGATGGGATTTTGCCATGTTTCCCAGGCTGGTCTTGAACTCCTAGGCTCAAATGATCTGCCTACCTCGGCCTCCCAAAGTGCTGGGATTACAGGCACTGAGCCACTATGCTCAACTAATCTTCTGTTCCCTTCCTTCCTTCCTTTTCCTTCCTTCCTTCCTCTCTCTCTCTTCCTTCCTTCCTCTCTCTCTTCCTTCCTTCCCTTCCTTCCCTTCCCCTCTTCCTTTCTCTCTCTCTCTTTTCTTTCTTTTTTCTGACAGAGTCTTGCTCTGTCACTCAGGCTGGAGTGCAGTGGCACAATCTTGGCTCACTGCAACCTCCACCTCCTGGGTTCAAGTGATTCTCTTACCTCAGCCTCCTGAGTAGTTGGTATTACAGGCACACACCACCACAGCCAGCTACTTTTTTTTTTTTGTATTTTTAGTAGAGACGGGGTCTTGCTATGATGCCCAGGCTGGTCTCAAACTCCTAGACTCAAGTGATCTGCCTGCCTCAGCCTTCTAAGGTGCTGGGATTACAGGCATGAGCCACTGCACCCAGCCTAATCTTCTATTCTCAAAAGAAGAAAGTATCCACCCGCAGGTAACAGAATTCTAAAATATTACTGTCTGGACCCTTTTACTTCATTTTCCTAGCTTATACCTGCCAAATTATTGGTAAATTCAGCTCTGTGAGGTGAAGAGGGCCATATAAATGATCATACTCTCACCTTGAATCCTATCTTTAGGATCTTCTACATCACGAGACTAAAGCAAAGTCTGACTCCTTTCCACTCTTCTGCTATCAACATCAGCTCAAAAATACATAAAATTAATAAGGTTGCTTCCTGATGGCATCAGTGAAATAACTTTATGGTCATTCATATAAAAACAGACAACCCTGGCCCAGCGCAGTGGTCCATACCTGTAATCCCAACACTTTGGGAGGCTGAGGCAGGTGGATCACTTGAGGCCAAGAGTTTCAGACCAGCCTGGTAAACATGGCAAGACTGACCCTATCTCTATTTAAAAAAAGAGAAATACAGAGAATCCTTTCAAGATCACCAAGTCAGTATCAATGAGCACCTCTGCAGAAAAAACAGGAGCTCAGAATGGACAAGGCCAGAGAAACCTCAGTAAGGTGAATGTGTCCGTATAGTTTCTTTCGAATTCGTGAAAAGAAAACTTGAGTCCCTATAAACTGTTGCTACTTCAAGAATAGAGAGGGAATTTCTCCTTTCTGGGCTCAGCCTGACATGTCCCTTTTAAGAATAATGGTGTGAGATGCATCGAAGGCTTACTATTTGCCTGGCTCTATGTCTTAGCTTGGGCTGCCATAACAAAATATCATAGTACAGGTTGGGTAGCTATTTATATATTTATTTATTAAGAGGGCCTTGCTCTGTCACCCAGGCTAGAGTGCAGTAGACCAATCATAGCTCACTGTAGCCTCAATCTCCCAGACTCAAGTGAGCCTTCCATCTCAGCCTCCCAAACAGCTAGGACTACAAGAACACACCACCAAGCCCAGCTAATTTTTTTAAACTTTTTTTTGTAGAAACAAGGTCTCACCGTTGCCCAGGCGGGTCTTGAACTCTGGGCTTCAGCCTCCTCCCACCTTGGCCTTCCAAACCGCCAGGATTATATTGTGAGCCCCAAGACCCGGCCTAGGTGGCTTAAACAACAGACATTTATTTCTCACAGTTATGAAGGCTGGGAAGTCTGAGATCAGGGTGCCAGCATGGTTGGATTCTAGTGAAGACTGTCTACCTGGCTTGTAGACAGGAAACTAGCTTCTTGTATGGGAGAGAGAAAAGGAGGGAAGAGGATAAGGGAGAGGGAGGGAGAAGGAGGGAGAGGGAGAAGGAAGGGGAATGGGGGGAGAAAGAGAGAGAAAGAGAGCTCTCTCATGTCTCTTCTTTTTTTTTTTTTTGAGACAGAGTCTCGCTCTGTCCCTCAGGCTGGAGTGCAGTGGTGCGATCTCAGCTCACTGCAACCTCCACCTCCCGGGTTCAAGATATTCTCCTGCCTCAGCCTGCTGAGTAGCTGGGACTACAGGCACACCCCACCACGCCCAGATAATTTTTGTACTTTTAGTAGATACAGGGTTTCACCATGTTGGCCAGGATGGTCTCCATCTCCTGACCTTGTGACCCACCCGCCTCAGCCTTCCAAAGCACTGGGATTACAGGCATGAGCCACTGTGCTCAGCCTCATGTCTCTTCTTATGAGGACACTAATCCCATCATGCAGGCCCACCCTCATCACCTCAACTAAACCTAATCACCTCCAAAGGCCTCATCTCAAAACAGCATCTCTTTAGGGTTTAAGGCTTCAACATATGAATTTGGGGAAGACAAAATTTAATCCATAGCACCCTGTTGGAACATTTCCCTCATTGCTACTAATTTCACAACACCCCTGAAGAAGACACTGAGGCTTAGACAGGTTAATTAAATTGGCCAAAGTTACACAGCTAGTGAGTTTGGAGCTGAGGATTTTTTACTTAGATATGAACTAAAAATCTCTTCAAGATAAAATGGTGGCAGTGCGCGGTGGCTCATGCCTGTAATCCCAGCACTTTGGGAGGCCAAGGCAGGCATATTACTTGAGGTCGGGAGTTTGAGACCAGCCTGGCCAACATGGTGAAACTCTGTCTCTACTAAAAGTACAAAAAAAAAAAAATTAGCTGGGCATTAAGGCTCATGCATGTAGTCCCAGCTACTTGGGAGGCTGAGGCAGGAGAATCACTTGAACCCAGGAGGCAGAGGCTGCAGCGAGCTGAGATCACACCACTGCACTCCAGCCTGGGTGAAACAGCGAGACTCTGTCTCAAAAATAAAATAAAATAAAAATAAATAAAATGGTGTCTCTAATACAAATTTATCAGAAGGAAAAACCTCAGTTTCTAAGAAGATGGTCATATGCTTTTAGTAGAAATGAGTTAAGACACTCTCAACTGGAAGGGATCGCCTCTGACAAATCCCATCAAGTATCTAATAGTTCAAGACCTGCCTGGGCAACTGTGAGACCTTGTTTCTACAAAAAATGTTTCCCAGGCTGGTCTCAAACCCCTGGGCTCAAGCGACACTCCTGCCTCAGCCTCCCAAAGTGCTGGGATTACAGGCATGAGCCATAATCTTTTGGGCCAAATATTTTTAATAATTTAGAATGCCACAAGTACTCATGTTCATTACAGTTAGCAACTGGACTTAATTTAAAGAACCTTGTCAAAGACACAGTGATTATCCCAATGTTCATTTCAGCAATCCTAACAAATGAATACGATTATATGTACACAATTTTTTGGAGTTGTAATTTGTGCATGTTTTTTAATATTGTCTTCTAAAATACATAGTGCTGGCCGGGCACAGTGGCTAACACCTATAATCCCAGCACTTTGGGAGGCCGAAGCAGGCAGATCACTTGAGGTTAGGAGTTCGAGACCAGCCTGGCCAACATGGTGAAACCCGGTCTCGACTAAAATACAAAAATTAGCTGGGTGTGGTGGTATGCGCCTGTAATCCCTGTCGCTCAGGAGGCTGAGGCAGGAGAATCACTTGAACCTGGGAGGCAGAGGTTGCAGTGAGCCAACATCGCGCCACTGCACTCCAGCCTGGGTGACAGAGCAAGACTTCATCTTGAAAACAAACAAACAAAAAACCCATAGTGCTGAAAGCGGGAAGTCATGTCTCACCAAAGTAATAAAATTTGACACTCAGAATATGTGGAATGTTCTAACTGCTGGCTATTTCTCACTCTTCTAGTTGACCCAATAGTAGGCTACATGAGCAATTCAGAGGAGGGTTTTTTAAATTATTATTATTTTTACTTTTTTGCTTTCCTTTCAAGGCACTATGCTTCAATGGCTTTATAGGTCAATAATATGGAAAAACATTAATACAAAAATTTACAGCTGGGCATAGTGGTTCACGCCTACAATCCCAACACTTTGGGAGGCCAAGGAGGGAGGATTGCTTAAACCCACGAGTTTCAGACCAGCCTGGGCAACATAGTGAGACCTGTCTCTACCAAAAAATAATAATAATAATAATTAGCTGGAAATGGTGGCATGTTCCCATAGTCCCAGCTACTCAGTAGGCTGAGAGGAGAGGATTGCTTGAGCCCCGGAAGTCATGGCTGCAGTGAGCTATGATCTGACACTGCACTCTAGCCTGGGCAACACAGTGAGGCCATGCCTTTAAAAAGAAAAAACAAACAAAGAAAAAGAATAAGAAACTTACAATGGAGCATTTCAGAGCTACAGCAGAATCAAGAGTATGATACAGAATTGATACTTTGAAAGAACAAAGTCCACCAGCCCCAAGTATAATACATAAGATTAGCTCGTTTCTCCCTAAGTAGCCTAATCTTTAACATGGCATAAAACCACCAATTTAGTCCTAATATGAAAAGAGGTCATTAAACAAGCAGGAGCCAGTTCTTGCCTGAGAATTTCCAGGTTGTTGCTTTAGTAAATATGGAAAGCACTTGTTTTCAAAAAGCAGTTTTAAAATTAGTTTTAAGAGCTGGGTGGGGTGCCTCATGCCTATAATCCCAGCACTTTGGGAGGCTGAGGCTGGTGGATGACTTGAGCCCAGGAGTTCAAGACCAGCCTGGGCAACATGGTGAGATCCTGTCTCTACAAAAAATACAAAAATTAGCTGGGCGTGGTGGCACACACCTGTAATCCCAGCTACTCAGGAGGCTGAGGCAGGAGAATTTCTTGAACCCAGGAGGTGGAGGTTGCAGTGAGCCAAGGTCACGCCACTGCACTCCAGCCTGAGTGACAGAGTGAGACTCCATCTGAAAAAAAAAAAAAAATTAGCCAGGCATGGTGGTATGCACCCGTGTCCTAGCTACCTGGGAGACTGAAGTGGGAGGATCGCTTGAGCCCAAGAGACTGCAGTGAGGTATGATCATGTCATGCCAGTGCATCCCAGCCTGGGCAATACCGCAAGTCTCTTAAAATATATATATATATATATATATATTAGGACTCTTTGTATCCCAGTTCCCAGCTCAGTGCTAATACCAGTAGGCACTCAAAAATGTTTGCTGAAGAAAGAATGCAAGCATGCTTAGTGGGCTGAGTGGAAGGAATAGCCCTTTTCCTTTCATATACTAGAACTTCATTGTCATTGTTTCTTCTTTGTGCAAAATGTGGACTTGTGTTGCAAGTTTTTTTTTTTTTTTTTTTTTTTTGAGACAAGGTCTCACTGTCACCCAGCCTGGGCACAGTGACATGATCTTGACTCATCGCAACCTCTGCTTCCTGGGCTCGTGATTTTCCAGCCTCAGCCTCCTGAGTAGCTGGGACTACAGGCGGACGCCACTGCACCTGGCTAATTTTTGTATTTTTGTAGAGATGGGGTCTCACCATGTTGCCCAGGCTGGTCTCAAACTCCTGGGCTCAAGTCATCTGCCCGCCTAGGCCTCCCAAAGTGCTGGAATTACAGGCATGAGCCACTGCACCCAGGCACAAATTTTAATATGAGTTGGATGTATAAAACAATTAAGACAACCCATTTCTAACTTTACTACATGAAGTACCTTATCCCAGATAACTAGAAGAGATCATATGTTGGTTTTCTTGCCCAATTAATTACCCCAGTTATAGATCTCCATTAACAACAAACTTAACCATTACATTCACTGGCTGCTGGATAGTATATCTTTGGGTCACTATTAAATAAATAAATCTATAAAATGTAGTAAAATAATCTTCCCTGCAGAACCAACATTTCTGTAACTGTATCAAGGAATCATAAACCATCTTTTGAAAATGTCAGTGGGAAGAATCATACCCCTGAGCTATACAGTTCTGAGCATGTTAACAGTAAAATAATAATTGGATATTAGAAAACTTACTCGTAGGTATGAAATTTATTTCAAATATATATTTTGCTGAATACTTCTTTTTTTGAGACAAGATCTCACTGTGTCACCCAGGCTGGACTACAGTGCTGCGTCACAGCTCACTGCAGCATTGACCTCCCCAGGTTGTGGTGGCTCACGCCTATAATTCCAGCACTTTGGGAGGCCGAGGCAGGTGGATCACCTGAGGTCAGGAGTTTGAGACCAGACTGGCCAACATGGTGAAACCCTGTCTCTACTAAATATACAAAAATTAGCCAGTTGTGGTGGTGCGTGCCTGTAATCCCAGCTACAGGAGGCTGAGGCAGGAGAATAGCTTGAACCTAGGAGGCAGAGGCTGCAGTGAGCCAAGATTGTACCACTGCATCCAGCCTGGGTGACAGAGCAAGACTCTGTCTCAAAAAAAAAAAAAAAAAAAAAAAAACCCTGTTGGGGTTTGTTGGCGAAGGCCCCCCTTCCTTTCGCCACCCGGGCGCCAACCCTGTTGCCCTTCCAATCCCATCTCCCGCTGCCCCTGACAGTGCCTTTGCCAGCTGGTGCTTCTGCCTGTTCCGTCGTGGTGGCTGCTCTCACCAGGGTCCTTTCCGCTGGTCGTCCCTTTCTGCCTGGAGCTGCCATTATCTTCACCTGACAAATAGAAACCCATCTTCAGGGCTCCACTGAAACGCCGCTTCCACGGGGGCCCTCCCGGGCGTCCCAAGCAAGTTTAGGGCCCCAAAGCCCACGCCCTCACCTCTCAGACACACAGCTTTTTATCTCTACCACCGTCTGACACTCCTGGATTCCAAGCTCTGCAAGGGCAAGTCAGAGCCTAGAGCCTCCTCCCTCTGTCCCCCGTACTGAGCGTGGTGCCCGGCACGCGGGAGAAACTCAGCGGGTGTTTTTGGATGAATGAGGGACTTTTCTTCTTTTATGCTTGCATGGCTGGCAAAGCCCCTTCTCATGGACATGTTCTTAAGACATATTTATCTTTCGACATCCTTACGTGCAGGTCTTACCTTGAGACTCGTGGTATTTGTTTCGGGGAACTGCGGATCTCTGCTGTAGTGAGATGATGACGATGCCAGTGATGATAGCAATTTTATTTTATTTTATTGTTTATTTATTTATTGAGATGGAGTCTCCCTCTGTCGCCCAGGCTGGAGTGCAGTGACGCAACCTCCACACCTCCCGGCTTCAAGCGATTCTCTCACCTCCGCCTCCCAAGTAGTTGGGACTACAGTCGCGTGCCACCACCCCCGGCTAATTTTTGTATTTTTAGTAGAGACCGGGTTTCACCATGTTGCCCAGGCTGGTCTCAAACGTCTGACCTCAAGTGATCTGCCCGCCTCAGCCTCCCAAAGTGCTGGGATTACAGGTGTGAGCCACCGTGCCTGGGCGATGACAGTAATTTTAATAATAACAATAACACCAGTCATAATAATAGTAAGTGGCTACCATTATTTGAGCTCTCACTGCATGCCAGGGACTGTTAGGGAGGTACTTTGTAAGCATCACAGTACTCAATCCTTGCCATAGGCATCATTATCCTTTTACAAATGTCTAGTCTGGGCCACAGACCTATAAAACAACTTGCAAAGCCCCACCGTGTGAAGCCAGGATTGGAGCCCACATTTGCCTGGCTTTCAAACCAGTGCCAATATGTGATGGTCTCAGAGGCTAACTTCCAGGGAGCAGTCTAGGTTCCGTCATCGCGGAGTTCTGTGGGCAGGGGCTTGCAGTGGCTGCGGCCCCTGCCTGCCTGGGGAGGTGGCACACAGAAGCCCTCAGCCTTCCCCATTTACAGCTTGGGAACGTGCATTACCCCCGAGAGTGGCACCGGAAGCAGACCGGTCCCTTGCGGCATCGTGTTATTTGAAATTTCCAGTAATTAGAACATCTCAAACTTCTCTTGTACTAATTTTAAGCCTTCAAACAACCCGTGCCTGCCAAAAGCCTGCTCATCTTGGTAAAAGCCCCGAACTACAAATAGATAGCTATTAACAGCATCTGTTGTAATAGCAGAGACAATATTCTCTGGGGCCAGCACGTCACAGCCTGGAGCCGACCCCAAACGTCATCTGTTATTATGTTTGGAGAGTCTGGCACGCGCTGAGGCAATCGTTCAATTATATCTCCATGAGCCGGTTCTGACGCACCTGCTTGCACAGAACGCTGAGGCAACAGTGGCCAGTGCTGCCCGGTGGACCAGCCCTGCCGATAGCAGAGTCTGGGGGATGGGGGCTGGCAGCTTAAAGACCCCTTTTCGTGAATTGGGCTTGCCTTTTTTTTTTTTTTTTTGATTAAGGAGAATATCCTGACATTGTATTGTCATTACGAAAAGTCACTTTAGGCTTGGCACAGTGGCTTATGCTTGTAATCCCAGCATTTTGGGAGGCTGAGGCAGCAGATCCCCTGAGGTCAAGAGTTCAAGGCCAGCCTGGCCAACATGGTGAAACCCTGCCTCTACTAAAAATACAAAAATTAGCTGGGCATGCTGGTGGGTGCTTATAATCCCAGCTACTCGGGAAGCAGAGGTGAGAGAATCGCTTGAGCTCAGGAGGTGGAGGTTGCAGTGAGCCAAGATCTGGCCATTGCACTCCAGCCCAGGTGACAGAGCAAGGCTCCATCTCAAAGAAACAAAAACAAAAACAAAATTTAGTGGGGTGTGGTAACACTTGTCTGTAGTCCCAGCAACTCAGGAGGCTGAGGCAGGAGAATCACTGGAACCTGGGAGGCAGAGGTTGCAGTGAGCCGAGAGCACCCTACCGCACTCCAGCCTGGGTGACAGAGTGAGACTCCACCTAAAAAAAAAAGAAGTCACTTTGAGATTATTTTATCCAGGTCTGCAGCCTTAAATTGGGTCCCTAACTTTACTGGCAAGGCAAGTAGCAGAGTTTGGCCTGAACCCTACTACAAAAGCTGAGGGCCTGGACCGTCAGACCTGGGTGAGGTTGCCGGCTAAAATGGGGCAGGTGACCGAACCTCTCTGCGTCTCAATTTCCTCATCTCAAAGTTGGACTCACAGGACCTGCTCTGTAGGGCCATTGTGAGGAGTTCATCCTGGGAGGAACATAAAGTTACCTCGCAATGCCCAGCAGGTAGCAGGTGCCCAGTGAAGGCCAGCTCCTCCGCCGCACTCTGGTATGCACCAAGCCTTCTCCGTCACGACAACGACGTGAGCTCATGGACAGGATGCGTGGTGCCCGGGACACGCCAGAACCTGGCCAGCGAGAGCCTTTGCCCCTTAATCAGCTGTTTCACCCCATGAAGGCTTCAGTGGCTTCCAGTTCGTTGTTTTTTGTTTGTTTGTTTGTTTGTTTTAGAGTGCTTCCTTTATGTCAAGCGTTGTGCTAAGGACTTCGTATTTCCCATGTGACTTAATCGTAACAGCAGTCCTATGGTGGGGGTTCAAGGATCATCCCCACTTTACAGATGGGGAAACTGAGGCTAGGAGGGGTGCAAAAGCTGGACCTAGAGCACACAGTTTGGGAGTGGCGGCCCCAGCTTCTGAACGTGCGTCCGACTGCACACGGTTTGGGAGAAGTGACCCCAGCCTCTGAACGTGCGTCCGACTCCAGACCCCACTCCTGCCCCCATGCTGTATTGTCTACAGGAAGAGCAGCGAAACACGGCTTTCCAGTTTTTAAAGAAATACGCTTGGCATTTTGCTGGTGGGCGGTCTTCGCGGCGCAGGTCTAATTTTGGAATTTACAGTGGGATTTAAAGTTTTCAGTGAGATTCTCTGTTTCACCTTGAAAGAGGCTCAAGGTGTATGAATCCCACACTAGACTGATGCTGAAGAGGAGCCCGTGGAATCCGCACCCGCTGGCATTTTCAGTAAAAAGGCCTCTGTGTCTTCCTGATATGCGTGCGCCCCGCGCGGGCCACGTTGCCAGGTTCCGGGTGCCTCTTCACCGAACTGCCACCAGGGGCCGCTCCAGCCCAGCCCGAGTTATCCATCGGCCACCGCACCTGCTGTTCCCGAAAACGCAGCGGCCCAGACTTCCTTTGCAGTTACCCTCTTAGAAGAACGAACGTTTCGCTTCCCTCCTCATTTGCGTATCATAGAGCCAGTGAGACACAGTAGCCTTTTTGGGTTTTCCCCTGAGCGTGCTTGGTCCCCAGCCCAGGGTGGCCGCCGTTTCAAGCAAGTCCCTTGCTCAGGTACAGGGGTGCAGATGCCCCGAGCCAGCCTGAGGAGGGGCTGCATGTCCCGAGGGCCCCATGGTTCCCCTCAGGAGGCAGATTGGAAAGGGCTGACTTGTCTCTTACTCCAATGAGTAGAGAGGCGGAGGATCCAGCCCATCAGAGGCTGCCGCAGTAAAGAATTCTGTGACAGGCTGGGTACGGTGGCTCACGCCTGTAATCCCAGCACTTTGGGAAGCCAAGGGGGGCGGATCATGAGGTCAGGAGATCGAGATCATCCTGGCCAACATGGTGAAACCCCGTCTTTACTAAAAATACAAAAAAAAAAAAAATAGCCGGGTGTGGTGGTGCCCACCTGTAGTACCAGCTACTTGGGAGGCTGAGGCAGGAGAATCTCTTGAACCCGGGAGGCGGAGGTTGCAGTGAGCTGAGATCACGCCACTGCATTCCAGCCTGGGCGACAGAGTGAAACTCCGTCTCAAAAAAAAAAAAAAAAAAAAAGAAGAAGAAGAATTCTGGGACAGCTCGGGGTCGGGAAAGGTGAAGAGATGCCTGTGGGCTCCAGCCCTGCTGGAAACCCTTGGGAAAGTCTTCTAGCCCCAGAGTTAGCACAGCACCTTACCCTGCAGAGGCTCAGGGCTCACAAGTCCCTTCTGGTCCCAGCAGCTCCTGTTCCTGGCCCTTGTTGGTTGGCCACATTCTGGAGGGTGACTTTTCTACTAGGTTTTGTGGGTGGGGGTCTGGCAGGCATCGGCTGTCAGTGGACTTATGCCTTATGCAGTTGGCGTCGCTCTTTGGAACCCTATTTATGTGCCTACGTAGAACCCTAGAGTGCTTGAGCTGGGACCAGGAGAAACGTGTAGTAACTCTCTTTACACAGATGAAGCTGCGGAGCCCCTGAATGGTGTGCGATGCACAATCACCACCACTGCCATCATCAGACAACACTTTACAAAATGCCTCCTGCCTTGTCTCCATTTATCCTTCCCGCTCTTCTCGTTTAACAGGTAGAGAGGCTTAGGCTCAGAGAGGCTAAGCTACTTGCCCAGGGTCACACAGCAAGTTAGAAGCAGAGCTGAGTTGCAAATCCAGGTCTTTAACTATTTCTGTGTTCTGTGGACTTTCCTAGAAATCCCAGGCGGTTCCCAAACTGCCGTGGGAAAGGCTCGATTCCACTGTAACACACAGAGCTGCTTACCGACCGAGTGATTCGATGAATAAATCAATGAACTGACTAATCCCATTCATTCCTGTATTCATTCATCCCGTGAGGGTTCGTTGTGTGCCTTCAATGACCCCTTCCTGCACTAAGTCGTGTTGATACAGTGATGGTCCAGACGGAAACAGCCATTTTTGTTTGTTTGTTTTTGGTTTTTTTTGAGACTGAGTTTCGCTCTTGTTGCCCAGGCTGGAGTGCAGTGGCGCGATCTTGGCTCACTTTAACCTCCGCCTACCAGGTTCAAGCAATTCTCCTGCCTCAGCCTCCCAAGTAGCTGGGATTACAGGCACCTGCCACCACACGTGGCTAATTTTTTGTATTTTTAGTAAAGGTGGGATTTGACCATGTTGGTCAGGCTGGTCTTGAATTCCTGACCTTGGGTGATCCTCCCACCTTGGCCTCCCAAAGTGCTGGGATTACAGGCGTGAGCCACCATGCCCAGCCCAGAAACAGCCTCTGTCCTAAGAGTGCAACTGGATGGGACTTAACTCAGTCTTACAAATGACATCTACCAGGCTGGGTCCAGTCTAACTTGTCCATGAAGCATCCATCATCCCTGCCTTCTAGGCATTTCTATTCTAGAAGAGATGATACAGACATGCATGAATTTCCACACAGTAAACTTATCATGAGTGAGCCCATCCCAAGAGCGAGAGGCAGACCCCCTGGCAGGCTCCACCCTCAGCCACCCATCAATGCACTTTGATGCCGCTGGGGCTGGTAGGCTGCAAACCCCCTTTCTACCACGGACACAGGCCGAGGCGAAGCGAGCACAGAGCTCACCGTGCTTGCATTTTGTGGTTCTGTAAGTTCCTTACATTGTGTTTTGGAGGCCAGGCACAGTGGCTCACGCCTGTGTTTTGTTTTTGAGACAGAGTCTCGCTCTATCGCCCAGGCTGGAGTGCATTGGCACGATCTCGGCTCACTGCAACCTCCACCTCCCAGGTTCAAGCGATTCTCCTGCCTCAGCCTCCCAAGTAGCTGGGATTACAGGCACCCACCAACACACCTGGCTAATTTTTTGTATTTTTAGTAAAGACAAGGTTTTAGCATGTTGGCCAGGCTGGTTTTGAACACCTGATCTCAAGTGATACAACTGCCTTGGCCTCCCAAAGTGCTAGGATTACAGGCGTGAGCCACTGTGCCTGGCCTAACAAAGTGATTTTATGTGCTGATTGTGTGAAGCACTCTTTCTGTGTATTTTTAAAAATTGAGATGTAATTCATCTGTGTATATTTAAGGAGAATAGAAGACTTGCTCATAATGGTAGAATTTTAAAACTACATATGACTCCGAGGTTGCTCCAGACCAACACTGAGATTTTGAGTGAAGAGGGGCAGTGAGCAGCTCTGTGGCTTGGTCCAGCACTTGCCTAGCCCCTGACTGGACCAAAGCCAAATCCATTTTCCATTTTCCAGTTTACACCTTGGTGCCTCCAACTATGAGTACTTTTTTTTTTTTTTTTGAGACTGAGTCTCACTCTGTCGCCCAGGCTGGAGTGCAGTGGCACGTTCTCAGCTCACTGCAACCTCCACCTCCCAGGTTCAAGCAATTCTCCTGCCTCAGCCTCCTGAGTAGCTGGGAGTACAGGCGCCCGCCACCACACCCAGCTAATTTTTGTATTTTTAGTAGAGATGGGTTTCACCACGTTGGCCAGGCTGGTCTCTAACTCCTGACCTCAAGTGATCCACCCGTCTCGGCCTCCCAAAGTGCTAGGACTACAGGTGTGAGCCACCACGCCCAGCCCAAGTACTTTTGGTGTCAGGAAACCACCAGGAGTCAGCAGTGTCAAGCTCCCCAAGGCATTCGTCATGCGCTCAGTGCTTTCCTGGCTTTTGCCACAGCGGGAGGTGACATGAGCAAGGCGGGTGACACGAGGCTCCTCCACAGCTACGGGAGGCACTCGGGCCACCGCGAATTCGTGATCAGTGCTCCAGTTCTGCTGGCGCCTTCCAGCCTTGCCCAGCCATCCCAGGAGCACACTGTGCTCCTTTCAATGAAAACGTGTGGAATAGGTACCACATTTGTAGCAGCTGTTGATGGAAATCTGTTAGTGACAAAGTGCTTAGACACAGGAGAAGCCACCCACATCAGAACCCCTGGGGAGCTCGTTAAAAGGCAGACTCCCAGCACTACCTGGACCTGGGGATGGCAGCCATGACTCTGTGAGGCAGAGCCAGAGGCCTCAGTGAGCGATGCTTATGGCTGAGCCCCACGTGTCAGGAGAAGGAAGCTCCTGGGAGGCTGCACCTGGCACTGTGCCATGGAGAGGGGCACCCCAAGTCCTGCAGGTGGAGAGCGCTGACTCCAAGGCGAGTGTTTAGGGTGACTTAGGACGGAAGGAGTGTTCCAATAAAAGCTGGCCCTGTGGTGGGCCTAGATTAAGCAGGGACTGCCAGAGATCAGGACTGATGCTATAGCTCAGGGTCTGCTTATTTAAAAACCTTGCTCACCCAGGAGCGGTGGCTCACACCTGTCATCCCAGCACTTTGGGAGGCAGAGGCGAGTGGATCACCTGAGATCAGGAGTTTGAGACCAGCCTGGCCAACATGGTGAAACCCTGTCTCTACTTAAAATACAAAAATTGGCTTGGCCTGGTGGCACATGCCTGTAATCCCAGCTACTCAGGAGGCTGGGGCAGGAGAATCGCTAGAACCCAGAGGTGGAGGTTGCAGTGAGCTGAGATCATGCCATTGTACTCCAGCCTGGGCGATAGAGTAAGATTCTGTCTTAAAATAAAACAAAACAAAAACTTTGCTCATTGTGTTATTTTATAATGTTATTTGGTGATAGGATTTAAGCTGCTTTTAAAAAATATTTGGAAGACATCTTTTTTTTTTAAATTAAAGTCTGGAAATCTTATAGGACAGGCAGGCATCTCAGAAACTTTCTTTATCGATTTCTGCCTGCAGGGAGATGAGGCCCTCACCACCACCCAGTGGCAGCACTGGGACCCTGCCTTCATTCCACATTTACTGTGAACCTCTGGGCAGGCGCTGGGCTGGCGGGGGGCAGAGTGAATGGGACAGACAGAGCCCACCTTTCACGGAGCCCACCTTTGGCTTGTCACTTCAACCATACAGCAACCCCTTGCGAGTGAACTCATATAACCCTAATGTAGACAATGCCTCAGGTAACACCACAGCTCAACAAACAGACAAAATGACACACACGTCTCGCTGCCTTTATTTCCAGGAATTAGTGGCGGGCCCTTGGAAAACCACTACAGACTGAAGCAATTTCACTTCCACTGGGGAGCAGTGAATGAGGGGGGCTCAGAGCACACAGTGGACGGCCACGTGTACCCCGCAGAGGTTTGTAGACGTGGCCTAACGGCACATATCTGGACGCTTTCCATGTCTCCGGCTCTATGGTGGGGGGCGAACAAGCCATGCCTGCCGCTCAGATGTGAAGGATTTCCTGGGGCCTGGGACTGTCAGTGCTCAAACCAGAACCGTCGGCCGCCCCACCCGTTTAGTCACACTCCTCTCCTACGAAGAAGGCACTTTAAGTTCTCTCATTTAACGGAAGAAGAGACTGAGGTTCTGAATGGTTACGGAACTTGCCAAAGCCAGACAGCTGGGATTCAAAGTCAGAGCTTGAGCTCTTTGCCACGCTTCACTCAGCTGTGTGCTTGCAGCTGTAGGGACTAGCAAATCCACAAGGCCCTCCGCTGAGAAGCTGAACATCTTTGCAATAGAGATCATCTTCTTTTGTTTGTTTGTTTTTTGTTTTTTTGAAACAGGGTTCACTCTGTCACCCAGACTGGAGTGCATTGGTGCAATCTTGGCTCACCACAACCTCCGTCTCCCAGGCTCAAGCGATTCTCCTGCCTCAGCCTTCCGAGTAGCTGGGATTACAGGTGCGTGCCACCAGGCCCTGCTAATTTTTGTATTTTTAGTAGAGATGTGGTTTTGCCATGTTGGCCAGGCTAGTCTCGAACTCCTGACCTCAAGTGATCCACCCACCTCAGCTTCCCAAAATGCTAGGATAACAGGCGTGAGCCACTGCACCCAGCCAAGATCATCTTCTTAAAGCAGTCTTATTTTCAACATTCCAAAGTGGGAGTCAGTAGAGAAAATGAGTGCGGATCAATGCTGGGAATTGGTTTTTGTAGTTTTTTTGGGTGATAAGTGATGCCTTATAGATTTCCCCAAATATTTTATTATGAAATTTTTGCAACATATGAAAAAATGAAAAGAAATGAACGAGAAGAATCTATGAGTTTGACGTCTCAGTCCTGTGATGATCATTTTTGCCATATTCACTTTATCACACCTCTGCTCACCCACTCACCTGACTTCTTGATGCTTTTTCAAGTTGAGGACTCTTTCTGTTTTTTGAACTTGTTGTTGTTATGAAAGTAATGCTGCAGTTAATGTGGAACTAGAGTGCACCCAAACCAAAAAATGAAAATTGCTTGTAATCGCACACCCAGAGGTGACCTCTGGACATTTTATAAATAGGGAGTGATATCTATTGTCATCATCATACACATATTTATAAATAGTTCCAAGAATGAGCACAACAATGGCTTCTGTGTGCTTCCTTTCATTTAACAACATGCCTTTTATTTTAGTATCTCTATCTGCAACTTTGTTTTTGATGAACAGATATTTTATTTATTTATTTATTTTTGAGACTGAGTATCACTCTGTTCCCCAGGCTGGAGTGCAGTGGCGCGATCGCATGATCTCGCGATCTTGGCTCACTGCAACCTCTGCTGCCCAGGTTCAAGTGATTCTCCTGCCTCAGCCTCCTGAGTAGCTGGGATTACAGGCACCTGCCACCGCGCCCAGCTAATTTTTGTAGTTTTAGTAGAGACGGGGTTTCACCATCTTGGCCAGGCGGGTCTTGAACTCCTGTCCTCGTGATCCACTCGCCTCGGCCTCCCAGAGTGCTGGGATTACAGGCGTGAGCCACCACGCCCAGCCGAGGCCTGAGTTTTTTCTGGTAATCCTTGTCCAAGGATAACTAGGAAGTAGAAAATAATGAAACCACCCATTTCTATTGGATGAGGTTAACATGATCCTCTCCTTTTTCCCACCACCAGGAAGACTGAGGCTCTTCCTTCCCATGGCTTCGTCAAGTGCCTGGGAGCTCAGAGGTGCTGCTGGTGCTGGGATCTTACACATCTGGCTGCAACAACTTAGTTCTTTTTTTTTTTTTTTGAGACGGAGTCTCGCTCTGTCACCCAGGCTGGAGCGCAGAGGCACAATCTCAGCTCACTGCAAGCTCTACCTCCTGGGTTCATGCCATTCTCCTGCCTCAGCCTCCTGAGTAGCTGGGACTACAGGCGCCCATCACCATGCCCGGCTAATTTTTTTTTTTTGTATTTTTAGTAGAGACGGGGTTTCACCATGTTAGCCAGGATGGTCTTGATCTCCTGACCTCGTGATCCACCCACCTCGGCCTCCCAAGGTGCTGGGATTACAGGTGTGAGCCACCACGCCTGGCCATTTCATTATGATTAAGTGGACACATAGGTCAGCCATTCAGAAGGGGAAGTGACTGTCTTATTTCTTGCTGATCAATTTAAGTTCTCTTTCCATTGTGTTTCAGCTGCATTTAGTTCACTGGAATTCTGTGAAATACCAAAATTACAAGGAAGCTGTCGTGGGAGAGAATGCTTTCTGTGATAGGCGTGTTTTTAAAGGTAATCACTTGCTGGGGTGTAGATCTAATGAAGAAAGTGGTGATCCATCATTAGGATTGCTTTTTTTTTTTGAGACAGGACTCGCTGTGTCACACAGGCTGGAGTGCAGTGGCGTGGTCTCGGCTCATTGCAACCTCCACCTCCTGGGTTCAAGTGATTCTCCTGCCTCAGCCTCCCCAGTAGCTGGGACTATAGGAGTGTGCCACCACACCCAGCTAATTTTTGTATTTTTAGTAGAGACAGGGTTTCACCATATTGGCCAGGCTGGTTTCAAACTCCTGACCTTAGGTATCTGCCCACCTCGGCCTCCCAAAGTGCTGGGATCACAGGCGTGAGCCACCGTGCCTGGCCTAGGATTGCTTTTAAAACGTGGTGTATTTACAGTGGAGTGAGCTTCCCCCCGCCACCCATTGCCTTTTCAGCTAACCCCTTGTGTGTCTGCCACGCAGCTCGGGGCCCATCATCAGATGCTGCAGAGGCTGGTGGACATCTTGCTGGAAGTAAAACATAAGGTAAGCTGCATATTTGAAATCAGCAGGCCGGGCGCGGAGGCTCACGCCTGTGATCCCAGCACTTTGGGAGGCTGAGGCAGGTGGATCACCTGAGGTCGGGAGTTCGAGACCAGCCTGACCAACATGGAGAAATCCCGCCTCCACTAAAAATACAAAATTAGCAGGGTGTCGTGGCACATGCCTGCAATCCCAGCTACTCGGGAGGCTGAGGCAGGAGAATCGTTTGAACCCAGAGGTGGAGGTTGCAGTGAGCTGAGATTGCGCTGTTGCACTCCAGCCTGGGTGACAAGAGTGAAATCCTATCTCAAAAAAAAAAAAAAAGAAAAGAAAGAAATCAGCATAATTTGACAAGCAAAATTGTTTAGTGCAGCGATTCATTTGCAAGGAAAAAGAAATCTCATAGTGGAAAGAGCCCCGCCGAGGCGCTGTGATTCCAGTTCTGGAAACAGGATTCTGCAGGGTTGATGCTCGTGTGTCCACAGCTAGCTCTCTCTGACTTTGAATGCGTCACCACTGCTCTGGGACCCTGTTTCCTCCTCCATAAAATAAGGGTGTTGGGCTCAATGGAAGTTCCCAAAATTCAGTCATGCAGGCAAGATCCTGAAGACTTTGACGTATCTGCCTGCCAATGGGACAACTTTCTACTGAATATTTTTCTTTTCTTTTTTATTTTTTCGAGGAGTCTCCCTCTGTCACTCAGGCTGGAATGCAGTGGCGCGATCTCGGCTCACTGCAACCTCCGCCTCCCGGGTTCAAGCAATTCTCTTGCCTCAGCCTCCCATGCAGTTGGGACAATAGGTGTGCGCCACCACACCCAGCTAATTTTTGTATTTTTAGTAGAGACGGGGTTTCACCATGTTGGCCAGGCTGGTCTCAAACTGGGGACTTCAGGTGATCCGCCCGCCTTGGCCTCCCAAGGTGCTGGGATTACAGGCGTGAATCACCGCGCCCAGCCTACTTAATATTTTTCTTTAAATTGATTAGCTCGAAAAATTTTTAGCCTTGTCCTGGGTGATGATATTCACTAATGATAATGTTTGTTTGAAAACAGATTGAAACAAAAACCTCAAATCCCTAACTAATAACATTTAAGAATGTTGACTCATGTACCACCCAGCATCTCCTTGAACGTCCCTGTCCGACCCCAAGCCCAAGGGCAGAGAGAAACCTGCCCAAACCGCGGCTCTCCGGCCCAGCTCTCCACACGCTTCCCTGCATCCAGCGCCCAGCTCTCCACACGCTTCCCTGCATCCAGCGCCCAGCTCTCCATACGCTTCCCTGCATCCAGCACAGCTCGAAAAGATGACGGGGACAAGAGTGTCGCCTTTCTCCAAGATCAGCTGAGAAAAGGCTTTGAGGGAGAAGGAGAAATTCCAAAGAAATGTAGTTTATTTATTCAGCAGCAAACAAAAGAATTCCAGGGCAGAAGGAGTCAACGCAAGCCTCAGATGTGCGGAAGGATGAGGCTTCAACCTGTGTTAACAATGGTGCGGGCTGGTCCAGATGGAGCTGGGGCAAGCCCTTCCTCGCGGTTCAAGGAGCCGTTTGATCTGTACGTGGCCTTCGCCTTGATGCTGGCTTCGGGGCGGCCTCCTGGGACTGGGACCAGATCACCCCCCGCCGCCCCATCTGCCTGCTCAGAAACTTCACAAGGCCACGGTTCTGAGAGCTCTGACGCCCCATCCTCTTCCTCCGCGCGGCTCCACAGCCAGAGGAAACCTGGGGAGGGGTTGTTTTCCCAGCCAGCCTCCACCTTCCACACCAGGTGGTCCCACCTCTTGGTGGGAAAGAAAAGAGCTGGCTGTGAAGGACCCTTTACCCAAGGGCTGTTTTCCTCCTGGGGAAGGTTCTGGAGCATTTCTTCCCCATGGGGTAAGTCAGAATTTTCTAGGCAAACCACAGGGGAGGAATGATGCCCGGGACAGGGGAGGAAGTGCCACCGCGGACTGAGCTCTGGTCCTGATGCTGATCTCTGGGCTCATCCCCTCAGCTGAAAATAAAGAGTTAGACTCTTTTTTTTTTTTTTTTTTTTGAGATAGAATCTCGCTCTGTTGCCCAGGCTGGAGTGCAATGGCGCGACCTCGGCTCACTGCAACCTCCGCCTTCCAGGTTCAATTGATTCTCCTGCCTCAACCTCCTGAGTAGCTGGAAGTACCGGCGCCCACCACCATGCCTGGCTAATTTTTGTATTTTTAGTAGAGACGGGGTTTCACCATGTTGGCCAGGCTGATCTCAAACTCCTGACCTCAAGTGATCCGCCCACCTTGGCCTCCCAAATTGCTGGGATTACAGGCGTGAACCACCGCGCCTGGCCGAGTTAGACCTTTGAGAAATTAAAAGACCTTAAGAGGCTGAGTGCGGTGGCTCAAGCCTGTAATCCTAACACTTTGGGAGGCCAAAGCAGGCAGACCACCTTAGGTCAGGAGTTCAAGACCAGCCTGGCCAACATGGTGAAAGCCTATCTCTACTAAAACTACAAAAATTAGCCAGGCATGGTGGCGGGTGCCTGTAATCCCAGCTACTCGGGAGGCTGAGGCGGGAGAATTGCTTGAATCTGGGAGATGGAGGTTGCAGTGAGCTGAGATTGTGCCACTGCACTCCAGGCCGAGTGACACAGCGAGACTCATCTCAAAAAAAAAAAAAAAAAAAAAGACCTTAGGAGGTAAAAGACCCAGCCTTGGGGGCAAGAGTCTATGCTTCACGGGTCAGGGAATGGGAAGAGACTTGAACAACCCTCTCGCCTAGAGGCTCCTAGCCTAGGACTTCTGGGAGCTTCTCCCATAGCACAGTGTATCAGAGAGCCCCACAGTTGGACTCCTGGGTCCAGAGCCCTGATCCACCACTCCTGAGCTGCGCACCTCTGAGCCTCAGCTTCCTCGCCTGTGAAATGGAGATGTTAAACATCCACAGTAGCCCGGGCGCGGTGGCTCACACCTGTAATCCCAGCACTTAGGGAGGCCGAGGTGGGTAGATCACCTGAGGTCAGGAGTTCAAGACCAGCCTGGCCAACATGGCAAAACCCCATCTCTACTAAAAATACAAAAATTAGCTGGGTGTGGTGGCACACTCCTGTAATCCCAGCTACTCAGGAGGCTGAGGCAGGAGAATCGCTTGAACCCAGGAGATGGAGGTTGCAGTGAGCCGAGATCATGCCACTGCACTCCAGTCTGGGTGACAGCTCGAGAATCCGTCTCCAAAAAAAAAAAAAAAATCCACACTAGAGCAGCATTCTCACCATGTAATGGAATAAGGAGCATGTCTGGTTCTTGGTGAAATGTGCAGTTGAGTTTAAGGCCCAGCTGTGGCCAACACTCACACACACACGTCTGCTGTGGAATGCACAGGCTGCTGCTGCCTGTCACGAAACGAAAATCCACCAGCCCAATCACTAAGGTTAAAGTCGCTTTTTGTTGCTGCGGGTGCTTTCAGTCAGCTGGTTCCCAGAGAGAGCTATTACCTTTTGGGAGTCCATGAAACTTTAGAATGATGGCCTTCTGATGGAAAATGCTAGAAGTGTGGTTGAATCTAACTCCTGATTGGTGGGCAGTGCAGGGCAGGACGGGGCCGTGGTGGCCTCAGGCTCAAGGGCAGATGGCCTTGGCTTCAAATCCCAGCTCTGCCTCTCACCCCCTCGGACTCAGCAGTCCTCACCCAGGGATGGGCTCATCTGCAGCTTCTGGGCTGCTTTCCTGGTTTCCTCCAGTTAAGGAACAAGCTGTCCTGAACTAGGGCAGGAAAGACCAGAGTCACGTAGTCCCCATCATCTCTCCTAGTTCCAGGCTGGTCCGGGCCCTGATGTGGGACTGACTCGGCAGAGACCCTCCAGGAATGCCTGCCACGGTCATTCCCTGGGGACCCAGCTGGCTTCTATGCAGTGCTCAGGGCTCCAAGGGTGCATTTCCAGAAAGAGCCAGACGGACACGATGTCTTTTCTGCCCTGGCTTCCAGAGTCACAAAGCACTGCTCCTGCGGCATCCTGTTCACCACTCCCACCAGGAGCACCTGCCCAGGCTCAGGGCAAGGCGACATCACCCCACACCTCGGTGGGAAGGGTTCAAAGAAGCGACAGCCCTCCATATAAATCATCACACTGAATCTTCCAATCACTCCATGGGGCAGGGCCTGTGATTCATCTGTCTTGCACACACAGGGAAACCAAAGCTCAGAGAGGCAGAGAAGGCCTTGCCCCGGCACACAGGTGGCAGGTGAAGAGCCCGTTTTTAAACCCAGGAAGTGGCTCCATGCAGCCTGAACTCCCAGTCGTCCCAGCGCCCACCTCCCACATGCAGTCAGAACCCAGGCTGAGCTCCAGGCCCTGCTGCACATTTCTGAGCTTTTCAGCAGCTTAGAGGGAAACACAGGCAGTGTCTATAACCAAAACCACATTAGGCGCCGCCTGGAAGCCCGGACCCCCACCCCCACCCCCAGCGCCGTCCCATCTGCACAGGCCCCTACCAGTGCTGACCTGTCACTATGCACTCAGCTCCCAGCACGCAGGCCCAGCCCCAGTGTGGCCCCGGTGACCCTGGGCAGACACTCCCAGAATGGAGACCTCGAGGCTTCGCCTTTGACCCTCTCACCATAGCCAGAAGTTTTGGCAAAAACTGCCCACAGAGGGTCCCCACCCTCCATGCCTGGACAAGCTGCAAGCTCCTCAGGCTGCTGGGGCCCCCCCTCCTCCCTGCCTTCGCAAGAGTCAGGGCTACCGGGGAATTGGCTGCCTTGTGGAGCTGGAAACAGCCCACCAGGTCCAGGGGATCCAGGGAATGGCTCTATGCCCTGTGGGGGCTCTTCTAGCTTCGGCAGCAGCAGCGGCAGCACCTACCGAGCCCCACGCCCATGTGGCAGGCACTGATGGAAGCCCATTACAGCCACCACACTGCCTGTCGTACACCTGGGGAAACTGAGACTCTAAGAGGACAAACCAAGGGCGGAGTTAGGCTGGGTGAGGCTTGACGCTCATAAAATGCGGGGTCCTGTTTAAGAGAAAGAAGACAAAACCAGGAACAGAGCAGTGGCTCACGCCTATAATCCCAGCACTGTGGGAGGCTGAGGCGGGTGGATTACCTGAGGTCAGGAGTTTGAGACGAGCCTGACCAACATAGAGAAACCCCATCTCTATTACAAATACAAAATTAGCCAGGCGTGATGGTGCATGCGTGTAATCCCAGCTGCTAGGGAGGCTGAGGCAGGAGAATCGCTTGAACCCGGGAGGTGGAGGTTGTGGTGAGCCGAGATCGTGCCATTGCACTCCAGCCTGGGCAACAAGAGCGAAACTCCATCTCAAAATAAATAAATAAATAAGAGAAAAGTGGAACAAGTCACCAACCCACTTCCGCCAGCAAAGGCTTGTGGTGCTTTCCACAGGTAGCTGGGCCATCCGTGCTCAGATAATGGATGTGATGGTCTTCAGCCTCATTGGTGTGCTCACCGGTGTCCCATTCTAGCTGCCTGGGGCTCACCACACGCATAAAGGAAGGGCCCTGACTTCCTCTGGGGGCCCTGAGGGGGAGCAGCTTTCTGTAACCACATGGCTGCTCCAGCCCTCATGCATCTTAGAGACAGGACAGGAACTCCTGGGGACGATGAGGCAACACACAGGCATCCTCTTCTCAGCCCAAGGCTGGAAAGCTTAATTGGCAGGAAACCTGCACGCAGTGGAATGGCTGGGGCCTGCCGCTCCCCCGACTGATTCCTGCAGTCCTGGGGAGGGAGAGATGAGCCCGCACCTTGGAACGGGCCAGGCCTCAGTGGCCCTGACTGGCAACGTGGCTTTGGGCAAGTTGTTTATATCTGTCTGTCTATCTTCATCAGTAAACTAGAAATACTTCTTGAAGGGTTGTTCTGAAGATTTGAAGTAGTTGCTCAGAAAGTGACTGGCACATCTGTGCCCTGGGAGCGGGGACGTGTGGCCGGCAGGAGGAGAGGACATCTCACTGCACACCTGCCTGTTACCCATGTGCACAGACCAACGTCTCACTGCACACCGACCTGTTACCCATGTGCACAGACTGACATCTCACTGCACACCCGCCTGTTACCCACGTGCACCAGACTGACACCTCACTGCACATCCACCTGTTACCCACGTGTACAGACTGACGCCTCACTGCACACCCACTTGTTACCCACGTGCACCAGACTGACGCCTCACTGCACACCTGCCTGTTACCCACGCGCACCAGACTGACATCTCACTGCACACCCGCCTGTTACCCATGTGCACAGACTAACACCTCACTGTGCACCCACCTGTTACCCATGTGCACAGACTGACGTCTCACTGCACACCCGCCTGTTACCCATGTGCATAGACCAACACCTCACGGTGCACCCACCTGTTACCCATGTGCACAGACTGACGTCTCACTGTACATCCATCTGTTACCCATGTGCACAAGCAGCCTGCTCCTTCACAGCCCAGCTAGAGTGTGCAATGGGATGTCAACCCAGCTAGACCATGCAATGAGATATTACTTGGCAATCAGAAAGGACACAGCTCTAACTCACGCTGCGGTGTGGGTGAGCCTCAAAAGCACCGTACTAAGTGACAGACGCAAGACACAAATGTTCCACATGTTACATGACTCAGTTCCTATGAAACCCACAGAGACAGAAGCAGCACGGCGGGGGTGGGGAGAAGAGCTAAAAAGTACCAAGCTTCCTCCTTGAGGTGCTGAAAATGTTCTAAAATTGACTTGGGATGGCTGCACAACTGTGAATATACCCAAAACCATAGAATTGTACACTTCAATTTTTATTTACTTTTTCTGGTTTTTTTTTTTTTTTTTTTTTGAGATGGAGTTTCACTCTTGTTGCCCAGGCTGGAGTGCAATGGCATGATCTCAGCTCACTGCAACCTCTGCCTCCCAGGTTCAAGCGATTCTCCTGCCTCAGCCTCCCGAGTAGCTGGGATTACAGGCATGCACCACCACGCCTGGCCAATTTTGTATTTTTAGTAGAGACGCAGTTTCGCCATGTTGGTCAGGCTGGTCTCGAACTCCCGACTTCAGGTGATCCACCCGCCTTGGCCTCCCAAAGTGCTGGGATTACAGGCATGAGCCACTGTGCCCGGCCTATTTACTTATTTTAAGAAAGGATCTCACTCTGTCACCCAGGCTAGAGTGCACTGGTGTGATCACAGCTCACTGCAGCCTCAACCTCCGGGGCTCAAGCCATCCTCCCACCTCAACCTCCCAACTACCTGGGACCACAGGCATGTACCACTGCACCTGGCTAGTTTTTGTGTTTTTTGTAGAGTCAGATTCTTGTTATGTTGCTTAGGCTGGTCTCAAACTCCTGGCCTCAAGCAGTCCTCCCACATCGGCCTCCCAAAGTGCTGGGATTACAGGCATGATCCATCGCGCCCAACCAGGTTGTACACTTTAGATGGGAGAGTTGCATGGTATGTGAATTCTATCACAATAATGCTGTGGGTTTTGTTGCTGTTGTTGTTGTTTGAGACCGAGTCTCTCTCTGTTGCCCAGACTGGAGTGCAATGGTGCAGTCTTGGCTCACTGCAACCTCTGCCTCCTGTGCTAAAGCAATTCTTGTGTCTCAGACTCCCGAGTAGCTGGGATGACAGGCACCTGCCACCATGCCTGGCTAATTTTTGTATTTTTAGTAGAGACGGGGTTTCGCCATGTTGGTCAGGCTGGTCTTGAACTCCTGACTTCAGGTGATCTGCCTGCCTTGGCCTCCCAAAGTGCTGCAATTACAGGCATGAGCCACTGTGCCCAGCCTATAATGCTGTTTTTTTTTTTTAATTAACTGGATAATTATAAACGTGAACACGTGTGCACAGAACTGATGCATGTGTCTGCCGGCGTGGACACTCCTGGGCTTCCTTCTGGTAGCTCAGCCGCCTCTCTTGACCCTGACCCTCACTGCTTGATGTTAGGAGACAAGCCCAAGGCATCTAGGTTGCTGGCTTCCACCTTGGAAGGCCAGGGCCCAGCAAAGTCAAGGTGATGTGATGTGGCTGAGCAGGGAGGCCATCTTCCTTCCAGACAGAGACTCTGTCACTTTGGACTGGACTCTTGTCCCACAGTGCTGGCCAGGGACAGGTGCAGAGTTGTGCTTGGTTGGCATGGGACGCTGATGAGGGCTGTGTTGCGGCCAGGCCCAACCACCATGAGCCGAGATCATGCCACGGCACTCCAGCCTGGAAGACAGAGTGAGACTCTGCCTCAAAAAAATAAAAAAAATAAAAAGTTATAAATAGAACTACCCTATGATTCAGCAATCACACACTTCTGGGTATATATCCAAAAGAGCTGGCTGGGCACAGTGGCTTATGCCTGTAATCCCAATATTTTGAGAGGCCAAGGCAGGAGGATCACTGGAGCCCAGGAGTTGGAGAACAGCTTGGGCAAGATGGCAAGACCCCCTGGCTACAAACAATTAATTTTAAACCCTGGTATGGTGTCCTAGCTACTTGGGAGACTGACGCGGGGGGATCGCTTGAGCCCAGGAATTAGAGACTGCAGTGAGCTATGATGGCATCATTGCACTCCTGCCTAGTTGACAAAGTAAGACCCTGACTCTTTTTTTTTTGTTTTTTGGCTGTGAGTGTATTCAATGCAAAATAATCCTCTCTAATTTTACGGAGGTGGCTGGCCATGTCCACGACCAAATCTGCCTCTAAACTGGAATTCGGTTGCTGACCCAGCCCGAGCCTCAGCTTTCTTATCGGCACCAGGGGCACAGCACTCCGTCTGTAGGTATGTCTGTCGGCTTCCCCTCTTGTGAGTCTTGCAGGTCGCCCACCCTCCAGACCTTTAGGCCGAGGCCTGCCAGTCCCTGGACGGCTGCAGCGTAGGGTGGCAGGCACAGTTTCCAGGGACAGATGAAGGTAATCACGGAGATACTGGATACCCTGATCGGTAAGGTAGCAGTAGAAATGTCTCCAGGCAAGCCAGGCACGGTGGCTCATGCCTGTAATCCCAACATTTTGGGAGGCCGAGGTGGGCGGATCACGAGGTCAGGAGATCGAGACCATCCTGTCTAACATGGTGAAACCCCGTCTCTACTAAAAATACAAAAAATTTGCCGAGCGTGGTGGCGGGTGCCTATAGTCCCAGCTACTGGGGAGGCTGAGGCAGGATAATGGCATGAACCCAGGAGTTCAAGCTGGTCTTGAACTCCAGGAGGCGGAGCTTGCAGTGAGCCGAGATCACACCACTGCACGCCAGCCTGGGTGACACAGCGAGACTCTGTCTCAAAAAAAAAAAAAAAAAAGCAACAATGCAGGGACTCCTGACACATGCTCCAATGTGGATAAACCTGAAGGACATTATGCCCAGTGAAATAAGCCAGACACAAAAGACAAAAACCACAGGATCCCACCCACATCAGGTCCCCAGAGTCCTCAGATTCAGAGAGATGGAAGCAGAATGGTGGGTGCCAGGCCTGGGGGAGGAAGCTGGACATAGTGTTTAGTGGGGTCAGGACAGAATTTGAGTTTGGGATGATGGAAAAGTTCTGGAGACGGATGGTGGAGATGGTTGCACCACAATGTGACTGCATTTAACGCCATCAAATTTTACACTTCAAAATGGTTAAGATGGGCCGGGCATGGTGGCTCATGCCTCTCATCCCAGCGCTGTGGGAGGCTGAGGCAGGTGAATCACCTGAGATTGGGAGTTCAAAACCAGCCTGACCAACATGAAGAAACCCCGTCTCTACTAAAAATACAAAATTAGCAGATGTGGTGGCGGGTGCCTGTAATCCCAGCTACTCAGGAGGTTGAGGCAGGAGAATCACTTGAGCCTGGGAGGCGAAGGGTTGCAGTGAGCCAAGATCGCACCATTGCACCCCAGCCTGGGCAACAAGAGCAAAACTGCATCTCAAAAAAAAAAAAAAGGTTAAGACGGTAAATTTTATGTTATGTATATTTTATCACAATAAAAAGTAATATTTTTTGCAGCCAAGGTATGCTAAAAGAAATGGCTTTTTAATTTTTTATTATTTATTTATTAATTATTATTATTATTTGAGACAGAGTCTCACTCTGTTGCCCAGGCTGGAGTGCAGTGGCGTGATCTCAGCTCACTGCAACCTCTGCCTCCTGGGCTCAAGCAATTCTCTTGCCTCAGCCTCCTGAGTAGCTGGGACTACAGGCGCCCACCACCACATCTGGATAATTTTTGTATTTTTAGTAGAGACAGGGTTTCATCATGTTGACCAGGCTGGTCTCGAACTCCTGACCTCAAGTGATCCACCCGCCTCGGCCTCCCAAAGTGCTGAGATTACAGGGGTGAGCTACTGCGCCCCAAGAAATGACTTCAAAAGGAAAAATGTAAGCACCAACATAAGCTGGTGTAATGTAATGTAATTCCCACCAATGTAAGTTGGCAGGAATCCTTGCTCTGTATAGAAGGCTCACATTTTCTTATCACTGCTTCCAAGTGTGACAGCAGTGGCCTCATGGCCTTATCTCGGGGAAAGCACTTCCTTCCAAGCACCATGAAGGCCTCCCGTGCTGAGACAAGATGGAAGCTCCTAGTCCCACCTGAGGACTGATACGGCCTGTGCTTCTCGGTCTCTCAGGACGCGCAGGCGGCCATGCGCCCCTTCGACCCCTCCGCTCTGCTGCCCACCTGCTGGGATTACTGGACCTATGTGGGCTCGCTCACCACCCCGCCGCTGACCGAGTCGGTCACCTGGATCATCCAGAAGGAGCCCGTTGAAGTGGCCCCAAGCCAAGTGAGCCGTGCCCGTAACTGGCATGATGGCGCTTCATGGAAGGCGTCTCTCTTGCTTGGCAGCGTCACTAAGATGCTGCATAAGAGCCTTGAGGAGTTATATATATTCTTTCATGCATTTGGGGTGTTCTTACACAAGAAGAAAGTTCCAATTGAAGTAGGAGCTTGTTGAGATTGGACAGCGGTTCCAGTGATCACAGCGAGCATGTTCTGAGCAACGCCCTAATCTATCACACACAGACACACAAGGCATCCATGGGAGTTGTCCCAGCGTCATGGGTCTGCATGGTTTTTGTTTTCTTCCTTTTTCTTTTCTTTCCTTTTTTTTTTTTTGAGACAGAGTCTCGCTCTGTCGCCCAGGCTGCAGTGCAGTGGCTCGATCTCAGCTCACTACTACCTCCACCTCCTGGGTTCAAGCAATTCTCCTGCCTCAGCCTCTCGAGTAGCTGGGATTACAGGCACCCATCACCACGCCTGGCTAATTTTTGTATTTTTAGTAGAGACGGGGTTTCACCATGTTGGCCAAGCTGGTCTTGAACTCAGGTGATCTGCCCACCTTGGCCTCCCAAAGTGCTGGGATTCCAGGCATGAGCCACCGAGCCCGGCCTCCTTTTTCTTATCTAAATAGTTTCATTGCTTTTTTTTTTTTTCGAAAATTAGTTAATAATCCTTGTATACATTTTTAAAAGTTATACTATTGGGCTGGGCGTCATGGCTCATGCCTATAATTTTAGCACTTTAGAAGGCTGAGACAGGCAGATCACTTGAGGCCAGGAGTTCGAGACCAGCCTGACCAACATGGTGAAACCCCGTCTCTACTAAATCTACAAAATTAGCCAGGCGTGGTGGTGCACGCCTGTAATATCAGCTACTTGGGAAGCTGGGGCAAGAGAATAACTTGAAGCCGGGAGGTGGAGGCTGCAGTGAGCCGAGATCGCACCACTGCACTCCAGCCTGGACAACAAGAGCAAAACTCCATCTCAAATAAATAAATAAATAAAAATACAAAAATTAGCCGGGCATGGTGGCGTGTGCCTGTAGTGCCAGCTACTTGGGAGGCTGAGGTAGGAGAATCACTTGAACCTGGAAGGCGGAGGTTGCAGTGAGCTGAGATGGCACCACTGCACTCCAACCTGGGCGACAGAGTGAGACTGTCTCAAAAAAATAAAATAAAAAATAAATAAAAGTTATACTATCATTTTTTTCTGGAAATCTTAAGAATCTATAGCAATTCTGTCTGTCCAAGGCAGTTCAGAGCCACAGGCATGCTGCCTATGCCCCGCCCCCGCCCGGCAGACGTTTCTCAGCAGTCGCAGCAGGACTTAGCATCTCTGGCTCATCTCTTTCTGAGGGCTCCAGGTGAGCTCTTAGAGGGTCTTTCAGTCTCCTGGGCCTGTGAAAATATTCCCTTATATACAAACCATGGCATGATGTCATTTGCACGTGGAGATGTGGGATGCAGAATATCTGCCTACCTCCAAACCAGAGCTGTTGGACATGGGGAAGGCTTTTGTTGAAGGTGGCCCCTTGTCAGCAAGGCCCTTATGCTACTCAACAAGCATATATGTGACAAGTGCCCATTCTGGGTCTGTGCCACCAAGAGAGGGTGGGAGGGGGGCAGGTGTGGAGGGGCGGCACAGGAACAGGGCATTCGTCTCAGAATACTGCTGTCTGGCAGGAAAGTAGAAACGAAGCCAATAGTATTAAGCCAGGGTGGCCGGTGTCATATAAAAATGCAGGGCAGGAGCTCCTTATCCTGAGCAGGGGAGCCAGGGAGGCACATGTCCTGGAAGGCGGGGAGTTTTCCAGGGGAGGAGAAAGGCTGCCTTTCTGAGACAGTCAACAAATGTGCAGACCACAAATGTGGATGAGCACACTGTGGTCATGGCCCAGGAGGCCACGTGCACCATGCGCGCGCAATTCTAGGGGGCGCTGGATCATCATGCAGGGCTAACTGGCCCAGTATGCTGTCAGCATGTAGACATAATCTCACTTCTGAATTTAATTAAATGTGTGAGTTGCCTCACAGAGTTCATAAGTATATTCTGTGAACAAGTGAGATAATACATAAAAAGTCTTTTTTTATTTTTCATTTATTTATTTATTTTGAGACAGAGTTTCCCTGTTGCCCAGGCTGGAGTGCAATGGCGTGATCTCGCTCACCACAAGCTCCACCTCCCAGGTTAAAGCGCTTCTCCTGCCTCACCCTCCCGAGGAGCTGGATTACAAGCATGAGCCACCACATCTGGCTAATTTTGTATTTTTAGTAGGGATGGGGATTCTCCATGTTGGCCAGGCTGGTCTCAAACTCCTGACCTCAGGTGATTCACCCACCTTGGCCTCCCAAAGTGCTGGGATTACAGGCATGAGGCACTGCATCCAGCCATAAAAAGTAGTCTTTTAGTTCCTTGAGTGAAAAGTAAATTCAAATGTTACTTTAGCATTTACATTATAGGTGTTAGTTATCTATTGCTGTGTAACAAATAGCTCCAAAACATAGTGGCTTTAGAAAACAATCATTTGGGCCGGGTGCAGTAGCTCATGCCTGTAATCCCAGCACTTTGGGGGCCGAGGCGAGTGGATCGCCTGAGGTCAGGAGTTCAAGACCAGCCTGACCAACATGGTGAAACCCTGTCTCTACTAAAAATACAAAATTAGGCTGAGCACAGTGGCTAACGCCTATAATCCCAGTACTTTGGGAGGCCGAGGCAGGTGGATAACCTGAGGTCAGGAGTTTGAGAGCAGCCTGACCAACATGGAGAAACCCCATCTCTACTAAAAATACAAAATTAGCCGGGCGTGGTGGTGCATGCCTGTAAGCCCAGCTACTCAGGAGGCTGAGGCAGGAGAATCCCTTGAACCCAGGAGGCGGAGGTTGCGGTGAGCAAAGATCACACCATTGCACTCCAGTCTGGGCAACAGGAGCAAAATTCCATCTCAAAAAAAAAAAAAAAAAAATTAGCCGGGCATGGTGGCTCATGCCTGTGATCCCAATTACTCGGGAGGCCGAGGCAGGAGAATCGCTTGAACCTGGGAGGCGGAGGTTGCAGCGAGCTGAGATCTTGCCAATGACACTCCAGCCTGGGAAACAAGAGCGAAACACTGTCTCAAACAACAACAACGACAACAAAAACCAATCATTTATTATCTCCCATAGTTTCCTTGGGTTGTGAATTTGGGTGGCTCTGGCTTACCATCTTTCATGAATTGTAGCCCAGTGTCAGCTGGGACTGTAGCGATCTGAAAGCTCAACTAGGGCTAGAGGATTCATTCCAAGGTTGGCCCTCTCAAGTGGATGGCAAGTTGGCGCTGGCAGTTGGCTGGGAGCCTCAGCTCCTTTCCCTGTGGGCCTCTCCTCGGGGCTGCTTGAGTACCCTCCCAATATGGTGACCAGCTTCCCCCCAGAGCAAGTGATCCTAAAGACCAAGGCGGAAGCGGCAATGCCTTTTATAACCTGGCCCTGCACACACCATCACTTCCACCATCTTTACTGGTCATTTCAGGCCATCCTGATTCAGCATGGGAGGAGACCACACAAGGCCTGAGGGACACCCGGGGGCTGGCTCACCCTGCACTCATACCAAGCTCACCCTGGCTGCCCTCTATTCCAGCTCTCTGCATTTCGTACTCTCCTGTTTTCTGCACTTGGTGAAGAGAAGAAGATGATGGTGAACAACTATCGCCCACTTCAACCCCTGATGAACTGGAAGGTCTGGGCGTCCTTCCAGGCCACTAATGAGGGCACAAGATCCTAGAGACATTAGGTCCACATGAATAGCAGAACTGACTTTGAAGGAAGGAAGCGTTGTTACCCAGGAGATCGAGACCATCCTGGCCAACACGGTGAAAACCTGTCTCTATAAAAAACACAAACATTAGCTGGGTGCGTGCCTGTAATCCCAGCTACTTGGGAGGCTGAGGCAGGAGAATTGCTTGAACCCGGGAGGCAGAGGTTGCAGTGAGCCAAGATTGCACTATTGCACTCCAGCCTGGGCAACAAGAGCAAAACTCCGTCTCAAAATAAAAAGGAATTCTTGTGAGGCCAGGCACAGTGGTTCACGCCTGTAATCCCAGCACTTTGGGAGGCTGAGGCAGGTGGATCACTTGAGGTCAGAAGTTTGAGACCAGCCTGGCCAACATGGTGAAACTCCGTCTCTACCAAAAATACAACCAAAAGTAATCTGGCAGGATAAAACCAGAAAACATACACAATTTGATGTCAAGACCTATTTCAAAAGCTATAGTAGGCCAGGCGCAGTGGCTCATGCCTGTAATCCCAGCACTTTGGGAGGCCGAGGTGGGAAGATCACCTGAGGTCAGAAGTTCGACACCAGCCTGGCCAACATGGCGAAACCCTGTCTCTGCTAAAAATACAAAAATTAGCTAGGTGCGGTGGCTCATGCCTGTAATCCCAGCTACTCAGGAGACTGAGGCAGGAGAATCGCTTGAATCTGGGAGGCAGAACTTGCAGTGAGCTGAGATCATGCCACTGCACTCCAGCCTGGGCGACAGAGCGAGACTCCATATAAAATAAATAAATAAATAAAAATAAAAAGCTATATTAATTAAGATAATGTGGTACCTGTCAGAGAAGGACAAATCAACCAATGAAAAAGAATAGCATGTCTAGAAGGTTCCACACATTTGTGATCCCTGAGTCATGCTGTAGGGAATGGATGGGCTTTTCTGTGAATAGTTTTGGATCATTTGGATACTTATCTATCTATGTATTGATTGATCGATCAATTCATCTGTCGATCCACAGGGTCTCACTATGTTGCCCAGGTTGGTCCTGAACCCCTGAGCTCCAATAGTTCTCCTGCTTTGACCTCCCAAAGTGCTGGGATTACAGGCATGAGCCACCCCACCGAGCCAACGGGATATCCAAATGGGGAACCATGAATCTTTTTTCTCACCATACCTCACACCCCTACCTCACAGCACACACAAAAATTAATTCCTGACAGACTATAGATCTAAATAGGAAAGGTAAAACAATAAAGCTCCTAAAAAATAACATAGGAGCCAGGCGCTGTGGCTCACGCCTGTAAACCCAGCACTTTGGGAGGCCAAGTTCCAGACTAGCCTGACCAACATGGAGAAACCCCATCTCTACTAAAAATACAAAATTAGCCGAGCTTGGTGGTGCATGCCTGTAATCCCAGCTACTCGGGAGGCTGAGGCAGGAGAATTGCTTGAACCCGCGAGGCAGAGGTTGTAGTGAGCCGAGATCGCGCCATTGCATTCCAGCCTGGGAAACAAGAGCAAAACTTTGTCTCAAAAAAAAAAAAAAAAAAAAAAAAAGACTTGATCCAGAACTCAATGTTGGGTCTGAGTGTGGCTTTTCTGTCTCTCTTTCGTGATGTTGTCTCTCTCTTGGCAAGCTCATTCTTTTTGTGGAAAGAGAGCTACCACTTGTGCCAGGATGGTTTCCATTAATTCATGTAACATTTATTGAGTGCCAATTACGTGGCAGGCTCTATTCTAGACTCTGGGGACAGAGCCTAGACTGTTTCAGGTCTGAAGAGCCTTTGCCTCGGAGCTCACGTTCTGATGGAAGGAGGTAGACCATGATGCATCAACACAGAAAGTCTGGGGTGGTAAGTCACAGGGAGAGGACATGGCTGGGTGGGGAGGTCTCTTCTACAGGGGCCATTTGGGCAGAGACCAAAGGAGGAGTGAACCACATGGCTACCCGAGGGCAGAGAATTCCAGGCAGAGGCTGGAGGCAGGAGCACCCTTCTGGTGTTCAAGGTGCAGCCCGAGGGTGAGGGCAGCCAAGTGCAGGGGTGAGGAGAGAGGCATGGGAGGCAAGGGTGGGTACTGGGGCCCCATAGGCTGGGTGGAGACTTTGGAGCTGCTGCTGGGTTCTGAGCAAAGGGCATTTTCAAGTGGAAAGGCTCAGTTTGGCTGTGCTGCCAAAGAGTTTTCCAAAGTGGTCGTTCCTGTCCTTGCCAGCAGGTCATTGTGTGCTTTCTGGAGGGTGTGCCCAGGTGTCTCCTGTGGATTTAATTTGCACTTCCCTAATGATTAATGATGTGGAGCACTTTGTGCAGATTCATTGGCCATCTGCATATCCTCTTTCACCAGATACCTACTTGAGCCATTTGCCCATTTTTCTCTTGGGCTGTCTGTGGTTTTCTTAGTGATTTTTAGGAGTTCTTTATATATTCCAATTATAAGGCCTTTGTCCATTTTACAAATCTCTTCTCCCACTCTGGGGCTGCCTTTCACCCTCTTTTTTTTTGTTGTTTTTTGTTTTGTTTTGTTTTTGAGATGGAGTCTTGCTTTGTCACCCAGGCTGGAGTGCAGTGGCGCAATCTTGGCTCACTGCAACCTCCACCTCCCGGGTTCAGGTGATTCTCCTGCCTCAGCCTCACAAGTAGCTGGGATTACAGGCGTACACCACTGTGCCTGGCTAATTTTGTATTTTTAGCAGAGACGGGGTTTCTCCATGTTGGTCAGGCTGGTCTCGATCTCCCGACCTCAGGCGATCCGCCTGCCTCGTCCTCCCAAAGTGCTGAGATTACTGGCATGAGTCACCGCGTCGGGTCTGGATCAAGCTTATAGCAATGGTTGCACCTGATCAGTTACACAAGCCAATAGGTGCCCTTTCATGTAAGCCAGTTTGGGTTTCTTTTTACCTATTACTTGCTTGGAAAAAATCCAAAATCAGTACAGTGTTTTTCTTTTCCTTTTTTTTAGATGGAGTGTCGCTCTGTCACCCAGGCTGGAGTGCAATGTCATGATCTCAGCTCACTGCAACCTCTGCCTCCCGGGTTCAAGCAATTCTCCTGCCTCAGCCTCCCGAGTAGCGGGGATTACAGGCACCCGCCACCACGCCCAGCAAATTTTTTTTTTTTCTTTGAGACAGAGTTTTGCTCTTGTCGCCTAGGCTGGAGTGCATTGATGCCATCTTGGTTCACCACAACCTCTGCCTCCCAGGTTCAAGCAATTCTCCTGCCTCAGCCTCCCAATTAGCTGAGATTACAGGCATGGGCCACCACGCCTGGCTAATTTTGTATTTTTACTAGAGATGGGGTTTCTCCATGTTGGTCAGGCTGGTCTTGAACTCTCAACCTCAGGTGATCCGCCCGCCTCAGCCTCCCAAAGTACTGGGATTACAGACGCAAGCCACTGCGCCCAGCCTATTTTTTTTTTTTTTTTTTTTTGCATTTTTAGTAGAGATTTGGTTTCACCATGTTGGTCAGGCTGGTCTCGAACTCCTGACCTCAGGTGATCTGCCTACCTTGGCCTCCCAAAGTTCTGGGATTACAGGCATGAGCCACCGTGCCTGGCCCAGTATTTTTATTTTCATAGCATTAAAAAATATTCCTCCCAGAAGAGAGAAAGTTTTACAATCAACCTAATTAAATTATCTTCCAATGTCACCTTACAGTCAGATAAGCACAGAAAAATAAGCAGATGCTAATCTGTTTCCCAAGGTGATAAAAGCCGTTTCATTCCGGGGAGATAAAGAATAAGTAGGTTAGGTCAGGCGCGGTGGCTCACGCCTGTAATCCCAGCACTTTGGGAGGCTGAGGTGGGCAGATCACCTGAGGTCAGGAGTTCAAGACCAGCCTGGGCAACATGGTGAAGCCCCGTCTCTACTAAAAAAAAAAAAAAAAAACGCAAAATATTAGTCGGGCATGGTGGCAGGCACCTGTAATCCCAGCTACTTGGGAGGCTGAGGCAGGAGAATTGCTTGAACCCGGGATGCAGAGGTTGCAATGAGCCAAGATTGTGCCACTGCACTCCAGTCTGGGTGACAGAGTGAGACTCCGCCTCCAAAAAAAAAATAATACAAAAACTAGGCTCACGCCTGTAATCCCAGCACTTTGGAAGGCTGAGGCAGGTAGATCATGAGGTCAGGAGATCAAGACCATCCTGGCTAACACGGTGAAACCCCGTCTCTACTAAAAGTACAAAAAACTAGCCGGGTGTGCTGGCATGTACCTGTAGTCCCAGCTACTCGGGAGACTGAGGCAGGGAGAATTGCTTGAACCCAGGAGGTGGAGGTTGCAGTGAGCCGAGATCGTGCCACTGTACTCCAGCCTGGGCAACAGAGTGAGACTCCATCTCAAAAAGAAAAAAAAAACAAAACTAAGGCTAGGCACGGTGGCTCACGCCTGTAATCCCAGCACTTTGGAAGGCTGAGGTGGGCAGATCATGAGGTCAGGAGTTTGAGACGAGCCTGGGCAATATTGTGAAACCCTGTCTTTTCTAAAAATACAAAGAAAAATTAGCCGGGCGTGTTGGCATGCACCTATAATCCCAGCTACTGTGGAGGCTGAGGCAGGAGAATCGCTTGAACCTGGGAGACGGAGCTTGCAGTGAGCCGAGATGGCGGCCACCGCACTCTAGCCTGGGTGACAGAGCGAGACTCCGTCTCAAAACAAAACAAAACAAAATCTAGCCAGAAATCGCTTGAACCCAGGAGGTGGAGGTTGCAATAAGCTGAGATTGTGCCACTGCCCTCTAGCCTGGGCAACAGAGTGAGACTCCACCCCTCCATGCCCCCCCAAAATAAAGTGTCTGGCTCTTTAAAGGAGATCACACTTGGTGGTGATGCGGGTGAAAGAGGATTGGGTTGAAGGAGTCAAAGTAGAAGTGGGAAAGCACCAAGCTGGGAAATGGGCACGTTTCTGTTCTGCGTCTAAGGTGATGCTCCTGACTTCGATTCCATCGATCAAGAGGAGTTTGCTGAAGGACAGGGTGTACAGCTGCCTTGCCCGCTCCTGAACCAGGCCCGGGGTGAAGTGTGTTGTGCACATTCAGCAGCTCCAGCCCCGCTGTGGGTCGCACTGACATGCTGGGCCCAGCCCACGCCCCAGAAGCTCGCAGCGCCATTGGTCTGGGGAATGGTGTTTTATGAGAAACTCCTGAAGTGACAGGATGGTGTCATTGGGCATAAGGGCCACGGCACTCCCACTGAGTTGCGACAAGTTCTACAAAATCATCCCTGGTTTTTAATAAGGAAACTGAGGCTCACTTGACAAGTTGAGAAAGTTGTCGCTGACCCGCTAGGCCAAGGGATACGCAGCATTTCACTCTTGCCTTCTCTTATTTGTGCAATTAGTCAAGGAAAAAGTGCAGCAAAGAGAGAGTCCTGAACCTTAAAACCCAGGAGAAAACTTATCCTACAATGCCGGGCAGTTCACGCTGATGGAAGCAGCAGCCAGAGGAAGGCACTTGGCTGGGCTTCCTGCAGCGCTGTGAGAATAGCCCGCTCCTCTGGTGGGGAAGGGGTGACACAGTCAATGGAGGGGGTGGTCTCTGAACCTGGAGCTTGGGATGGGGGCAGACAGCAGCTATTCAGCCATTCTCCATGGGCTGCCCATTTCCATGGGGACCTGGAGACAGAGAAAGGCCCAAGCGGCCAGAGGGGCCCTGGGCTCCAGTTCTACCAGCCCCACATTGACATCGTGTCCAACAAGATACCAAGAGAAGCAGGGAGTGGCTGACCTTCATTTTCCATATCAACACAGGGGGCCCTCTGCACGCACCAACATCTTTGTCTCCTGAAAAATGGCCTTTGTCAGTTATTTTTAAAAACTGGTGTTAATCCTGAGACACGGAGATACTCCCAGGAAGACATCCGAGCCTGGACACACTGAGATGAAACCAGAAACACTCCGAGAGAAAATGACATTGATTCCAGCCCTCAAAGCAACGGGACAAAAAACAAACAGGAGGCTTCCCTCCCGCCCCAGGGGCAGCGGCCAATGTCTGCGGCTCTGCGGGAAGGGCTCTCACTGTGACCAGATTGTGGCTTCTGATTGTATTGTAGAATTTCTGGCCCAGCTTTTAAGGTTCAAGGCTTCCTCCCTTTGCTTTTATGTTATTTTCTTGTTTAATAAAGATACACCTGTGTGAGAAGCATTGCCTGTTCACAGCTGCCACCGCCTCCTCCTCCTCCGCTTCCTCCCCATCCCCAGCACATCCTTCCCATCGACCCTCCAGAGAACCAAGCTCAATTCAGAGCAGGCCATGTGCCCAGCTACATCCCCTCAGCCTTGCCCCCCTGAGACAGAATCCACATTCCTGCCCCTCCGCCCCCACCCTCTCCTGGCAGCCCACTCTGTGCCGACCAGAATATCGGCCCCCTCCCACCCCAGGGCTCTTGTGGCTGTTCTGATGGACCTGAGGGCACCCTTCCCCGCCCGCCCCACACCACCTGCTCAACACCTGCTCCTCCTGTTCCCTCAGCCTGAGCTGAGCCCCCAGATGGCACCTGGCACACAGCGGTGCCCAGCAGTAACGGAGCTGTCATTTTTTGACACTTGTCCCTCCTGCTGAAAGGTGGGCTGTCCATGCACTGCTGCATCCCCAACTCTGTGCCCACCAACCCCGTCTTGATAAATGGTTCCTCCATCCACCCGACGCCACAGGCAATCTCGGGAGCCCCCTTGGGCCCTCCTCTCCCCTCACTCCTTGCACCCAGGGCAGCAGCACGCTCTGCTGGAGGACCCTCAAACTGCTGCCTATTCCAAGTCCGTCCACTTTTCTCTGTCCCTTCTGCTGCAGCCTGAGTGACAAGCTGGGCTTCCAGTTTAGCCACTTCCTTTCCAGCCTCTTCCCCTCTTCCCTCAAATCCCTTTTTCTTTTAACAGTGGGTTTTTTTGAGAAACCGACACTTGGCCATTCTGCTGCCCTGTTCAAAACTGAGGCTTTCCACTAGGCTTGGGATCGAGCACGAGCTTCTCCCAGCAAGATTCGCAGCCTGGCCCTCTTCCACGTCACCTTGTGTGTGTGGGCCTCTGGCTGGGGTTGCTGTCCCCACGGCTGCTTCACAGTCACTCCTTTCCATCCTCAACCAGCTCTCAGACACTTGTCCCAACCACGGTCTCCCTGTGTCCCCTCCCCAGCTGTTGGCATCAGGCATGTGTTGCTGCATGATGCTTGCATCCTCCTCTGGAATGTGAGCCCCCAGGGGCGGGATCCTCAACCATTCTGCTTGCCCATGGCACAGAATAAACGCGGTCAGGCGCCATGGGCTGCAGTGCTCCCACTTGTAAGCTCGGGGACTGCTGTGCACTGCCCCTGGGCCTCCAGGCGCTGCTCCCTCTCCTGGGCTCATCCTCCTTCGTCAGTGCCAGCCCCAGGCAGCAGCATCCCCTCCCCCCACACCCAGGCTCCTGCACATCCCACGTTATCACAGGGGTGCACATGAAAGGGTCACCCGCAGGCTGGGGTGTCATGAGGACATGCATTCTCACAAAGCCAGGCGTATGTCTAGCTATTGTGAAATGTTTGCTGAGTCAATGAATGAATTGCAGGATACTAGATGGATCTGGCTACAAATGTTTAGAAACTACCTTAAATCCAGTTAACTGGGGGCTGTCATCATTGAGAAGTCTAGACAAAATGAGTGACAGGGAGCAGGTGTGATCAGACATGGAGCAGACATGGATCACACATGGAACAGACATGGCTCACACATGGAGCAGCATGGACCACATGTGGAACAGACACGGTTCACACATGGAACAGACACAGTTCACACATGGAACAGCATGGACCATACATGGAACAGACACAGATCACACATGGAACATACACGGCTCACACATGGAACAGCATGAATCACATATGGAGCAGCATGAATCACACATGGAACAGACATGGTTCACACACGGAACATACATGGTTCACAGATGGAACAGACATGGTTCACACATGGAACAGATAGTTCACACATGGAACAGACATGGTTCACACATGGAACAGACACAGTTCACACATGGAACAGCATGGACCATACATGGAACAGACACAGATCACACATGGAACATACACGGCTCACACATGGAACAGCATGGATCACACATGGAGCAGCATGAATCACATATGGAGCAGCATGAATCACACATGGAACAGACATGGTTCACACATGGAACAGACATGGTTCACACATGGAACAGACATGGTTCACACATGGAACAGATAGTTCACACATGGAACAGACATGGTTCACACATGGAGCAGCATGGATCACACACGGAACAGACACAGTTCACACATGGAACAGACACAGTTCACACACGGAGCAGCATGGTTCACACACGGAGCAGGCACCACACACCCATGCCGTAGCATGCATCAGCCTGGTTTTCGGGCCCACACAATAGAAGTCATTGTTTTGGTGGTAAACAATATCCACCTGGATATTTTTCAAAATAGAGAATTGAATTATAACCTACAAATTTCCATCCTCACATGGAAATTTGACCTGGTTGAATGGCATCTGCCCTGCAGCCACTGTCCCCAAAACTGAGAGGCGGGGCAAAGTAGCCGAAGAAAGCAGCGCTGAAGCTGGCAGCTGCAAAGAGTGCAGGGCCCTCCAGTCTCTACAAAATTCACAGCTGCTTCCAGCCTCATGCTGGGACGTGGGCTGAGCAATGAATTCTTCTTGTAATCCAGGGTAGAGTGGAAGAAAGTTCAAGGTGAGCATCAACTCATTCAATCACTTAACAATAGGCAGGTTTGGCTCATACTGCAGAGGCCAAGCAGGAGAACCTGGCTCCTGTGTCTCTGGAAATGTTAAAATGCCTGTCAACAGGAAAAAAAGATCTGTCTCTGCCATCCTGAAGGTAAGTTTGCCACCTACGCACTAAAGATTAAGGCCATATTTTTTCAATGTTGAGATTATTCCCTTTGTCTGCAAACAGGGGCTTAGGACAACAGCCCTTTGTTCTCTCACAGTCCCGGAGGCCAGAGGCCAACATCAAGGTGGTGGCAGGGCCAGACTCCCTCGGGGGCTCCAGGACCCCTCCTGCCTCTTCCAGCTTCTGGGGGCTCCAGGTGTCCCTTGACTCAGAGCCGCCCACTCCCATCCCCGCCTCCATCTTCATGCTCCAGCCACTGAGACCATGCCCGACACAGCAAGTGTGGGCTGCTGCAACTGCTGTCCCTCCGTGTTCCCTCTGCACACATTGGAAAGAAAGTCTGAGGGTGGAAGCCAGGCATTCGGCCAGCCCTGGGAGCACAGTTCGGCAGTGACGGCAACACCAGCAGCTCAGGGTCCTCCACCCGCCAGCCCCGGGAGCACAGTTCTGCAGTGAGGATGACACCAGAGGCTCAGGGTCCTCCACCTGCCAGCCCTGGGAGCACAGTTCTGCAGTGATGGCAATGCCAGCGGCTCAGGGTCTTCTACCTGCTGGTCCCCAGGAGGCGGGCGCAGGTGTCTCCCTGCTTCACAGAAGAGGAAACTGAGACTTTGAAAGCTGAGCCGAGTCACTCGCCTGGTGCCACATTAACCAGCAAGTGGTAGAGGTGAGATCTGAACCCAGGACCGTTCGATTCTAGTCCTGAACTGCTTTTATCTTTTGGATGTATAGTTCACACATAACATAACATTAACCGTTAGTCATTTAAACACGTACAAATCCGTGGTGTTTAAGTCACTCCCAGTGTTGGGCAACCATCCCCATCATCTAGTTCCAAGACATTTTATCACCCCAAAGAGAGACCCCATCCACTCAGCCCTCACTCTCCATCGCCCCTTCCCCCCGCCCTAAGCAGCCACGAATCTCGTCCGTCTCTCTGGATCCTCCTGTCCTGAACATTCGTGCACTCGGAATCATACAACCCGTGGTCACTGACCCTTTCACGCAGCCCAGTGTTTTCAGGGGTCCTGCACATTGCAGCGCGTCTTCCTGTGTGCAGCTGAATGACTCTCCAAGGGATGGCGGACTACGCTGGGTTTATCCATCATCCACGGATGGACGGGCCTGAACTCTGACCCCGGCTCCTACTGTTGCTTCCATGTCATCTTTTTTTTTTTTTTCAAGACCAGTCTCGCCGGGCGCAGTGGCTCACGCCTGTAATCCCAGCACTTTGGGAGGCCGAGGCGGGGGGATCACGAGGTCAGGAGATCAAGACCATCCTGGCTAACACCGTGAAACCCCGTCTCTGCTAAAAATACAAAAAATTAGCCGGGCATGGTGGTGAGCGCCTGTAGTCCCAGCTACTTGGGAGGCTGAGGCAGGAGAATGGTGTGAACCCAGGAGGCGGAGCTTGCAGTAAGCCGAGATCGCGCCACTGCACTCCAGCCTGGGTAACAGAGCGAGACTCCGTCTCAAAAAAAAAAAAAAAAAAAAAAAAAAAAAGACCGGTCTCATTCTGTCGCCTAGGCTGGAGTGCAGTGGCGTGATCTCAGCTCACTGCAGCCTCAACCTTCCCCAGCTCAGGTGATCCTTCTACCTCAGCCTCCCCAGCAGCTGGGACTACAGGTGCACCACCACCACGCTGGGCTAGTTTTTGTATTTTTTGTAGAGACGGGGTCTCCCTATGTTGCCCAGGCTGGTCTTGAACTCCTGGGCTCAAGAGATTTTCCCACCTTGGTCTCCCAAAGGGCTGGCATTACAGGCGTGAGCCACCGCGCCCAGCCTCCAAGTCATCTTTCACACGCAGAGCACGCCTGAGAGCAGCAACAAGACTAACGTTGGGGCCAAAGCTAAGAAGTGGGGCGGAGCCTCCCTGGTGGCCGGTCGTCAGCCCAGTGCCTGAAATGCATGCAAAGTCTATTTTTATTTTGCGTAGTTGAACCTAAGCAAAAAATCTGGCCCTATAATCTCTAACCTTGCTCCTAACTGGCACCTACCCTATTGCACAAGAAGCTATCTAGGGGAGGACTCAGTGAGCACTCGGTGAGTTTGTCCAGCCATGGTGGTACTGTCTCCTTCCCTCTGCAGGCACAGCGGGAAGAATAGGGTGGATGGAGGGCTCTCTGCACCTTCCACAGCCCGCAGCGTGGACGGCAGATTACAAGTTAGTATCTGTGCGACCTCCGCACTCCCCTGCCGGTGGCTGCCTGGGCTGCTGAGATTTCGCTTGGTTTTATCACTGCAGAGGAATGCCTGCCATACCGGGGGGCGAGCAAGGTCCAGAATGACAAGCCGTGGCATTCCTCAGCCGCCTCCTCCCCGGGGTGGGGCCTGGACATTCCTGGCTGCAGCTAGAGGTCCCAGCACGACAGGGATTCTGACCCCCCCTCCACCACGGCTATTGTTCAGAATTCTGTGGATTCCAGAGGCATCTGCCCAGCAGACTGTCTTGCTGTGAACACCCAGCTCTGCAACCGGTGTTTGCGTGTTTGCCCTGGGAGGCTGAACGCTCACCCAGAACAAAGGCCTCCCCACATGCCTGCTGTGAGCTTCCAAGTACTCGTTAGGACACACGCCAAGGAACCCCGGGTTGGGGGGATACCGAGGAGCTTCCTCCCTGACCCACACACACCCTTTGAACAGGTCTTTGGCTGCTCACCAGTCTGGTCAATCTCGGGGCAGTATTTATATTCCTTCCCGTTTCCAGGCCTAGGAGCCTTGGCATCCTGCTCTCGCCTCTAACTGAAATTACCTCTCAACCCTTTTTAGCTAAGATGCCTCTCGCATTCCCCAGGAATAACAAGCTTTAAAGCCCCTTCACACTGAAGCCTGCCTTTGAATTTCCCAGCTAGATTTGGGGGTGGGGGTCTTATGGCTCCCGGTGAACCCCCGGTTCTGTTGATTAAATTGAGCTCAGGCAGAGTGCTGGCTTCCCAAAGCCTGTGTTATTACTGCTTCTCAAAGCTACGGGCACCGGATCGCCATCTTTGGCAAGATTCTTTTGGGATACAATGGGAATTACTGGGTGGCCTCGGTTCGGTTCTTCCCTCGTCTCAGTTCGCGGCTCACCAGCCACATTGATGCAGCCCCCAGGCTGGAAGGAGGCTGCAGGAGCTTCCCCTCAGGTCATCTTCTCATCCCTCCCCCGTGCCCCAGGAGCTGGTTGTGGGGGCGGTTCCATCCCCTCGGCCCATCCGGGACAGGAGCCTAGGTTCCCTTCGGGGGGTACCCCAAACCCCATCCTTGGCCTCAGGCCAGCCCTGGTGCACTGCCCGCTCCCAGGCTTGACGAGAGGCTGCGGGCCAGTGGGTGAAGGGGCTCGCCCTGACTGCCAGGCCCCGCCCAGGCGCACCCGGGAGGACGGGCTGGGATGACGCGGGCGCCGGGGGGGTAGGTCGCGAGGCCGGGGTCTCCATGGCGCAGGAGTACGGGGGCCTTCGAGGACCACGCGGGCCTGGGAATCGCCTGCCAGGCTAGGCCGGACGACGCACGTGCTCCGAGCTGGGTCGAGGGGGCGGGGCTGAGGGCCGCGGCCGGGCCACGGGTCGGGGAGGAGCCGCGGACGGTGGGCGGGGCCAGTGGGCCGGGGCCTAAAAGGCGGCGCGGGCGGGGTTCCTGACGCAGCTGCGGGCGGCGGGCGGCGAGCGGCGCGCACAATCCTCGCTCGGCTGCGGCTCCCGGGTGTCCCAGGCCCGGCCGGTAAGCAGAGCATGGCCGGTGCGGGCCCGAAGCGGCGCGCGCTAGCGGCCCCGGTGGCCGAGGAGAAGGAAGAGGCGCGGGAGAAGATAATGGCCGCCAAGCGCGCGGACGGCGCGGCGCCGGCAGGCGAGGGCGAGGGCGTGACCCTGCAGGGGAACATCACGCTACTCAAGGGCGTGGCCGTCATCGTGGTCGCCATCATGGGCTCGGGCATCTTCGTGACGCCCACGGGCGTGCTCAAGGAGGCAGGCTCGCCGGGGCTGGCGCTGGTGGTGTGGGCCGCGTGCGGCGTCTTCTCCATCGTGGGCGCGCTCTGCTACGCGGAGCTGGGCACCACCATCTCCAAATCGGGCGGCGACTACGCCTACATGCTGGACGTCTACGGCTCGCTGCCCGCCTTCCTCAAGCTCTGGATCGAGCTGCTCATCATCCGGCCTTCATCGCAGTACATCGTGGCCCTGGTCTTCGCCACCTACCTGCTCAAGCCGCTCTTCCCCACCTGCCCGGTGCCCGAGGAGGCAGCCAAGCTCGTAGCCTGCCACTCCGTGCGTGAGTACGGGGCGCGGGCCGGGGGTTGGGAGGTCGTAGTCCCTGGGTCCCTGCATCCTTGCATCACTACGCCCCTGGCTCCCACATCTCTACATTTTTGCGTTCCTGGACCGTCCCGGCAGTTCTAGGCTAAGGTCATTGGTCCCAGAAACCAAGTGCGTTTCTTTCATTCATTCTTTTACACTTCTCCCCACAGGCTGGGAATATCTTCAGTGACGGGACAGCAGGGTCCCTGCCCTGCCCTTCGGTGGGCATTTCATTCCCCCACTTAAGCGGTTCAGGCAAGTGCCAGCCTCCCGTTGGCCCCGCTGAGCAATACTCCCAGCCTCTTGCGTGGCACCCACGTGGAGTAACTGAGCAACCGGTTTATTGTTAAAGCTCCGATTGCTGACTGGTTGGTGAAAACGAAATTGCAGTTAAAAAGAAAATTATTCATTTCTGCTCTCCACACCAGCTCGTCAGGAATCAGTGACACGGGCTGACTCATAAGAAAACAGTAGTAATAAAATCGTGTGCGGGTAGTGACTGGTGCTGGTTTAGGCTAAGGGATCCCCCCTGAGGGTTGCCCAGTAGTGAGAGAGCGGAGCTTGGCTGCAGATTCAGTCTGTGTTACAGTGAATGGAGGTTCGGGTCCCAGGTTACTCTGGGAAACAGCCATGGGGCTCCTATTTTGGTGGGCATGGTGCTGGTGTGTTCTTCACCAGGCCAGAGAGAACTGCTTTTCAAAATAGTTTTCTTTTCTTTTCTTTTTTTTTTTGAGATGGAGTCTCACTCTGTCGCCCTGGCTGGAGTGCAGTGGCGCGATCTCGGCTCACTGCAAGCCCCGCCTCCCGGGTTCACGCCATTCTCCTGCCTCAGCCTTCCGAGTAGCTGGGGCTACAGGCGCCCGCCACTACGCCCGGCTAATTTTTTTTGTATTTTTAGTAGAGACGGGGTTTCACCGTGTTAGCCAGGATGGTCTCGATCTCCTGACCTTGTGATCCGCCCGCCTCGGCCTCCCAAAGTGCTGGGATTACAGGCGTGAGCCGCCGTGCCCGGCCTCAAAATAGTTTTCTTGTGGGATTTCAGGGGGAAAATGACTTGTACCAGATACCACATGATTTGGTTGGGTGGCGTGGGAAGGCGGGTCTTGGCAATTCTCAGGTTCATCCCATGGCAAGGATCGGCCTGGATCTCAGTAGTGTGTGTACACATTCAAGGTGGGAAGGGTTAATTTATAGTTGGGGTCTTGAGCCATGAAATCAGGGGAGTGGCTTCTGACTGGCAGGACCTGTTGGCGCTGTTTTCTGCCACACCGTACTTTGGGGAGAAGGGGGAGGGGGAGGCATTTCTTCATAAATGTGAGAATGCCCCGAGGGCAAGACTCAGCAGGGCTCTGTGTGGTTTCTCTGAGGCTCTGAGCGGAGCAGCCGCACCACCATGCAGGTCAAAGCCGGGAAAAATCGTAGGACAGGAGTGGGGAGAGCCTGTGGCTTCCAGCTGGGCGTTGGACATGTGAATGTAGGGGATGACTGATTTCTTTTTTTTGTCATTAGAATTTCACTGGTTCAGTCTCCCTCTCGCCTAGGTACATGCCCGCCTGGTATGTAACGACATGGATAATAGCTTATGCAGCCTGCACTCTTACCTTTAAAAAATGAATCCCTGTTGGCTGGGTGTGATGGCCCACGTCTATAATCCCAGCACTATGGGAGGCCAAGACAGGCAGATCTACCGAGGTCAGGAGTCCGAGACCAGCCTGACCAACATGGTGAAACCCCATCTCTACTAAAAATACAAAAATTAGCTGAGCATAGTGGCTCACGCCTGTAATCCCAGCTACTTATGAGTCTGAGGCATGCTCCGGGACGTGGAGTTTGCAGTGAGTTGAGATCCTGCCACTGCACTCCAGCCTGGGTGACAGAGCAAGCCTGTCTCAAAAAAAAAAAAAAAAAAAAAAAAAAAAGCAGCCCCTGGGTGCTGAGTGTCTGACTTCCTGTTGGTGCCAGGAGTGAGTTGTGGGAAATGCTTCATTGGCCACCAGGAAGGAGACATAGGATGGGGCGCTGCCTAGTTTTCTCTTTCTAATAAAAATCACATCAGTCATACATGAATTCATCATCATTTAAAAATTCAAACCAGCCAGGCACTGTGGCTCATGCCTGTAATCCCAGCACTTTGGGAGGCCGAGGCAGGCGGATCACCTGAAGTCAGGAGTTCGAGACCAGCCTGGCCAACATGGGGAAACCCCATCTCTACTAAAAATACAAAAAATTAGCCAGGCGTGGTGGCAGATGCCTGTAATCCCAGCTACTCGGGAAGCTGTGGCAGGAGAATCACTAGAACCCAGGAGGTGGAGGTTGCAGTGAGCTGAGATCGCACCACTGCACTCCAGCTTGGGCAACAAGGCGAAACTCTGTCTCAAAAAAAAAAAGCAAAAATCAGCTGGGCGTGACGGCGCACACCTGTAGTCCCAGCTACTCGGAGGCTGAGGCAGGAGAACTGCTTGAACTTGGGAGCCAAGATGGTGCCACTAAGCTCCTGCCTGGGTGACACATTTCTCCTCCTTTACCACCCCCCAGCCCCAGAGTTTCTGTGGCTGACAGTGTACGCTTCCAGAGCTGCTTCTGTTACAAATATATCGCTGGCCTATTTATTTAAAAGATCATAATGTACAACTTGTTCTCCACCTTTTTTTTAAGCCTAAAATGGTTTTGCCATGTTCCCAGGCAGTACGCAGAGGCTGCCCTCTTTAGCTGCTAAGAAGACTTCCCTGTGTCGGCAGGAACAAGTGTGCTCACCGCCCCCACCCCCCGACCCCCCGTAGACCCCTGTGGAGGGCATTTGGGGTTTCCCAGCTTTGTGCAAATGGGAAAAGGTTATGTGGTTTTTTGTTTTTTGTTTTTGTTTTTGTTTTGAGACAGAGTCTGTCTCTGTCGCCCAGGCTCGTTGCTCACTGCAACCTCTGCTTCCTGGTTTTAAGCAATTCTCCTGCCTCAACCTCCGGGAGCTTAGATTACAGGCATGTGCCTCAGCCTCCCAATTTGCTAGGATTACAGGCATGAGCCATCGCACCCGGCGGGGTGTGGAGTCTAATGTAATAGCTAATGTGCCTTCCAAAGAGGCTGTACCAAGTCACACGTTCCTGGATTTATTTTGTGGTAATAGGGCTTTAAAAAGTATTTTTATTTATTTATTTTTATTTTATTTTATGTTTGAGATGGAGTTTTGCTCTTACCCAGGCTGGAGTACAATGGCGCGATCTCGGCTCACTACAACCTCCACCTCCCGGGTTCAAGTGACTCTCCTGCCTCAGCCTCCCAAGTAGCTGGGACTACAGGTGCCCACCATGCCCAGCTAATTTTTTGTATTTTTAGCAGAGACAGGACTTCACCATGTTGGCCAGGCTTGTCTTGAACTCCTGACCTCAGGTGATCCACCCGCCTCTGCCTCCCAAAGTGCTGGGATTACAGGCTTGAGCCACCGCACCCGGCCTAAAATAGCTTTCCAGCAGTCCTTTTGGTCCCAGTAGGTAAAGCCTCAAGGCAGGCTCTAGAGTGCCAACCCTTCTGACCCAGAGGTGAGGGTTAATGTTAATAGGATCCCTTTCAGCGAAAGTTAGGGCCACACTTCTCATGTCCCTAAGCCATTTGTACTTGTTTTTTTTCTCTGACCCACCTGTGTATGTGGTGAGTATGTGTGTATGTGTTGCTTTTTTTTTTTTTTTGGAAAGTGATTTTCAGTAACAGAAAGGGATGTGCTCTCTGCAAGAGTGAATCTATTCTTGCCCCTGTGTGTAAGGCGAGAAGGAGAAGTTGTGTTCTCTGAACAGGCAGACCCTGCTGAGAGAGGGAGGTGTGTTGGGGTTCAATCATTCTGGTGGGAAAGATATTAGAGGTAGTTATAGAAATAGACACAAATCTTGGAAGGCCGAGAAGTTGGCATAACTTTGGTAATTAGCTCTGGCTGAAGGCGGCCTGATCCCTTTACCTTTAGTTAAACAAATAAACATAGAAATAAAAGAAAGGCAGAGTAGTTTACCTAGCTAGCTTGTTTACTCATATAATCTTAAGACCCTGGGTGCTTAAATGCTTTTTACCCGGTAAGTCCACAATGTCTGTTACACTCTAATGGTGTTGACTCAAGCTTTTGTTAATTAATCATACTGAATAAATGCGCGTCTGACTAGCTGATCAGGGCCAAGTAGCAACTGTTTACAGGACTCAGCAGGGAGCCTATAAGCGGCTGGAACACTCAGCTGGACTGGCAGAGCAGAATATCTGTGTGTCTCTACTTTATTCATCTGTCACGGGGTCACGGGTCTGTAAGGGACAGACTCCCTGCAGCTGGTGCCCCCTTGAAAGGAGTGCTGTCGCAGAGGTGGGCTTGGCTGAGTCTGGTAGAACTCCAAGCTGATTCTCAGGTCGTTCTGACTTCAGCTCGGAGAAGGGCAGTGGATGTCCCAGGAAGGGAGACCCTGCCCTTGTAGGGGGACTTCTGACAGGTGCAGGGGGCAGCCTGGAGCCCGGACCAGTGGGCAGGATGGGCGCTCCAGGGTGTGAAGGAGAGGCTCGGCGTTTGATCTGTGGACATTGTTCCTGGAGCAGTGAAAAGCCATAGAAAGTGATTTATTTTATTTATTTATTTATTTATTTATTTATTTATTTATTTATTTTGAGATGGAATTTCGCTCTTTTTGCCCAGGCTGGAGTGCAATGGCACGATCTCGGCTCACTGCAACCTCTGCCTCCCGGGTTCAAGTGACTCTCCTGCCTCAGCCTCCCGAGTAGCTGGGATTACAGGCATGCACCACCATGCCTGGTTAATTTTGCATTTTTTAGTAGAGACAGGGTTTCTCCATGTTGGCCAGACTGGTCTCGAACTCCTGACCTCAGGTGATCCGCCCACCTCGGCCTCCCAAAGTGCTGGGATTACAGGCGTGAGCCAGTGTACCCAGCTGATTTTTTTTTTTTTAAATGATCACACATAAGGTTGGGTTCCAGAATTTTCTGCTTAGGAAGGGAAAGGGCACCTTTTACCCCCTTAGTCCTTGAGCCTGATCCTACAGAAGGTACAGTGGCTTTCGGGTCTGGATCCTCAGCCCTCGGGCCTCTGAGGCTGCCTTGGGAGAGGGTACGGATTTGCGAACAAGGTTCTCAGTTTTGCTGGCTGTCTTTTCAGTCGCCCAGGCACGTCCCACAGAAAGTTTCTTTTTGTGAAATAATCGTGTGAAATGGGTTGGCCTCGGTGCTTAGAACCATCCCACTGACGGTGAGTGGAAAAAATCCCTTGCTTGTCAGTCTGGTTAGGAGATGAGGTCCTTTCACGCGTGTCTTCGTGTTGGTGCGCTTTTCACGGGTCATAAAGATGAGAGGAACCAGCTCCATGTGTCTCTTTCTGGATGGCCATATGGAACTTGGCATGACAGTAGGGTTGTGTGGGTTATTTATTGCTTGATGAAGACTTGGCAGCGTGTACTGGAAATTCAAGCAATGCTGGGTTTTATCAGAAGGCGCAAAGGCTGGAGTTGAGATTCTGGCTGGGCCTGGATTTGGTTTGGGCAGTTTATCTGACCTCCCTGGGCCCCAGCTGGCTCTGCATAGCAAGTAGGGTAGCATCTACTCAAAGTCCCGGCCACAGCCGTGGACTGGCACTGGCCCAGGCGAGCTCTCAGTAAGTGGGAACTCACAGGTTCAGAAGATGCTGTGGGCCTCAGGGGCTTCCACCTCCAGGGAGGTGCTCTCAGAAGAAGGGCCTGATGGGCTCACCACATCGTGGAGAAGATACCCCGGCTCAGTCTCAGTCAGTTCCCCAAGCGCATAGGTGTTCGGGAAGTGGCCTGCAGACAGCTCCTCCATGCCTTGAAAGCAGAAGTAGCCCCCTCCTGTTTCCCTGTCCCAGTTGGGTGAAGCATGGGAGCCTGCTGGGACAGTCCCAGGCGTGCCGTCACGCAGGGGCAGGCCGTCCATCGGTCTCGCGGGACTCTGGCTGCGGGTGGCTGAGGACACCTGGCCTCATGGGAGACGGTGCCAGGGTCCCTGGAGTGAGGTGGGTCTCCTCCCCATGGCTGTCACTCCTCAGCAGATTGGTGTGGGCGGGTGTGCGTTTAGGAACCTGTGAGCTGAGACATTGTCCAGCTAGCGTCAGGCCAAAAGCAACCAAGGCTTTGAGAAATCCACCTGGCCCTGCCGAGCCTGTTTCTGGCTGTGGAATGGGATTTGCCCCAGCGCCAGGTGTCTGGGAATCACAGGCCTCCGTGTGTGAAGGTGCCAGTTGCACGGGCTGTGACCGTCCCTCCACGTGCTTGTATCTCCTGCTCACTGTGCATGTTGAGCAGCCCTCAGCCTCACTGTCTTCTCCTTTGGCAAAAAGAAAGGAGCAAGGGAACAAAGAGAGGGAGGGAAGAGCCAGAGACAGGAGCCAGGGTTTCCTTTAGTCTGGAGCTCTGGGTGCAAGATGATGTCACCCACCCACACTCGGCACAGGCCCAGGGTCGGGGGGCTGTGGGTGGAAGTAGGAATCACCACAACTGTCTCTGAGCCCCTCCCTAAAGGGTGAAGGGTGTAAGGGGTGGGTTTTGATGGCTGTGGGCTTAGCTGTGGTCAGTGGACTCAAAGGCCAGTTGGCCAGTTAGCAGTGACCAGAGAGCAGAGGGGGCCTGTGTGTGTTTTGCCCCAGGGTCTTCAGGCTGCCTGGCTGCCTCTATCTGCCCCCCTGGTGTGTCCAGCACCCCCCTGGGGTATCCAGCACCTGTAACCTGTAGCCCCGCTTCTCAGTCCAGGCCTGTTCCAGGGCCCCCCCGGGGTATCAAGCACCTGTAGCCTGTAGCCCCACTTCTCAGTCCAGGCCTGTGTAAAACCTGGCCCCGGGTTGGGTTTTGGGATCCCTGCACCCCTCCATCCCCAACCCCCCACAGCTGGGACCCTGGCTCAGCTAGCAAAGGTTCTGCGTGTTTAAGGAGCTGGGTGGGCCCCAGAGCTCAAGCCGTGGGCTCATTGCAGGCGGCAGCCAGTGATTAGTGCTGAAATCCGACTTTCCCAGCCAGACATGAAAGTGCCGCCAGCGCCTGGGCAGGTCACGCTGCATCACGGGATTCGGGGCAAGGCCCTAGGGCGAGTTCACAGAAGCACATGACCTGAGCCACACAGGAGAGCCTAACGGGCACTTCTGACCCTTTTTCCTTGGGTCACAGACCTCTTTCATAATCCAGCAGAATGTGCAGAATCTTGCCCAGGAATGTGTACCAGCCGCCTTCACACAGAAGGGTGGGCTGTGCAGACCCCCGAGGGCCCAGGCCAGGGTGAGAGCCACCCCCTGGAGAGGGGTGTCCAAGGTAGGGCACACGCTTGCACCACCTCTTGGCACCTCTTGGCCACCACTTTCCACTCCAGCCTTTGAAGCCAGTGATAATCCCCAATTTACAGCTGGGGAAACTGAGGCAGGAGCAAGCCAGGAGCCAGGGGCCACAGTGCCCACCTCTACACTGAGGCCACCGTTTGTCTTCAGGCATAGGGGAGCACACAGCCACGCCTGGGGAGTCTGGTGGGTGCCAGGGGTCTGGGGAGGTGTCAGCAAGACTGGGTGGCCCAGTCGGCCCAGGTAAGGACACAGGTGGGTCAGAGGCTCATCTGTGTTCCCCAGCAACCCCTAGGGGCTCTTCGCGCTCCTCCACCCTTCTCCATCCTTCCCAGACTCACATCCAGGTATCCTGGACAGCCACAGGGTTCTGCTCCCCAGTAGGCCTGGCCCTCCCTGGAGCATCACCTGGATGGCTGGCCATGGGCAGGCCTTGCCTGGCCCGTCTGCAGGGACAGGGCATGTGTATGCACGCAGATTGGTACTGTGTGCCCGCGCGCTCCCCAGAGGCCCTGTGGCAGCACCCCCTTCCCGCCGCTGCCCTTTTCCAACAGGAGGGCCCCCCCGCAGCGTCTCCTTCCCTGATTGTGGCCAAATCCTGAACTCTCCCTCTGGAAGGCGGACCCTCCGGGGTGGCCACAGCTCGTGCCCTCTGGGAGCGTGGGAGGCGTCTCTTTCTCTGCATCCCTGGCCGTCAGACCGCCCCAGGTGGGGACCATTCTCTGGCATTGCCCGCCCCTCCCCTGCCCTAGGATTTGCCCACTATGTGAGGAATGAGCACCAACCTCCTATTCCGGGCCTTGGAGCGTGACGCCCGCAAACTCGATCCCTGCTGAGTCATCCTGACCTCGGGGTGGGCCAGCATCTGTCACTGCTGAGACACTATATGTGTGAGCTGCTTGTTAACGAGAAAGCCAGACTCTGTAAAATATTTGAAGAGATTTATCCAGAGTTAAATGTGAGGACCAAGGCCTGGAGGCCCTGAGGACATGTGCCCCAGGGGGTGGGCCACAGCTGGAGTTCATACCTTGTACAAGGACAGAAGTTACAGGCAGACATCAGTCAGTATGTGAAAGGTATTTGTTGGTTCTGCCGAGAAAGGCGGGACAACTCCAAGGTGGGGATGGGCTTCCTGGTCACAAGTGGGTTCAAAGATTTCTTTATTCTTTATATATATATATATATATATATTTTTTTTTTTTTGAGATGCTTTTGTTACTCAGGCTGGAGTGCAGTGGCGTGATCTCAGTTCACTGCAACCTCCGCCTCCTGGGTTCAAGTGATTCTCCTGCCTTAGCTTCCCGAGTAGCTGGAACTACAGGCATGCACCACCATGCCCAGCTAATTTTGTGTTTTTAGTAGAGACAGGGGTTTCACCATGTTGGTCAGGCTGGTTTTGAACTCCTAATCTCAGGTGATCCGCCCACCTTGGCTTCCCAAAGTGCTGGGATTACAGGCATGGGCCACCGTGCCTGGCAAAAGATTTTCTGATTCACAATTGGTTGAAAGAGTTATTAGCTAAAGACCTGGAATCAATAGAAAGGAGTATCTGGGTAAGACAGGAGGTTGTGGAGACCAATATTGTGTTTTGTTTTGTTTTGTTTTTGTCACCCAGGCTGGAGTGCAGTGGCATGATCTCGGCTCACTGCAACCTGGTTCAAGCGATTCTCCTGCCTCAGCCTCCCAAGTAGCTGGGATTGCAGGTGCCTGCCACCACCATGCCTAGCTAATTTTGTATTTTTAGTAGAGATGGGGTTTCTCCATGTCGGTCGGCCTGGTCTCGAACTCCTGACCTCGTGATCTGCCCACCTCAGCCTCCCAAAGTGCTGAGATTACAGGCATGAGGCACTGAGCCAGGCCAAGATCTGTGTTTGAATGTTAGTGCTGGTCAGCTGTACCTGAATTCCAGAGGGAGGGGGTATAACAAGGCCTGTGTGACCCTTCTTCCCATCATGACCTGAGCTCGTTTTTCAGGTTAACTTTGGAATATCCCTTTGGCCAATAGGAGGGGTCCCTTCAGTCAGTTAGGGGGCTTAGAATTTTATTTTTGGTGTACGTGCTCAAACTGCAGCTGCTACAAAACCAAGGCCACGGTGACCCTGGGGCCAGTCCAGCTTTGTCCCTGTGCTCTCGAGCTGCTGGAGGCCAATGCAGGATTCTGCCCACAGCTCACATGTGTGGCTTCAGAGCCTGGGAGTTCTTGGGGCTGTGTCTTCACCTGGTACCGTGTAGGGGCCCTGTGAGCTGAGTCAACTGGAAGAGCCCAGAGCCTCTGCAGAAGGCCTGAGCAGGGCCCGGGCACTGTCCCTGGAGCTCTGAGTCCCTCAAGCTGTGTGGCCCGCAGCCAGGCGCTTGACTTCTCTGGCGTTTGCTTCAGAGCTGGGAGCCTGGGGTGGCGTAGGTCTTTGGCAGGGGTCAGGTAGGGGAGGGGCCAGCCAGGAATCAAACATCCCTGACAGGTGAGGGGGCAGGTGAGGAGGGCAGGGCAGGAGCCCCTGTAGCACTTGTGCAGCAGCATCTGGACCGGTGCAAGCCCTGAGATGGCTTCAGGTCCTGCTCAGAGCTAAGGGCTCCCTGTCACCAGGGATTCTTCCATCACTGCACCTGCAGAGCCCATTGGGATTGGGGAGAGGCCCTGGCCTTAGCTTGGAACAGCTGTATCCGCCTGTCGGGTGTGCAGGCTGTGCACTGGTTAAGCCTGAGCGCAGAGTCTGTTCAACGAGTTCATTGTGTGGTATTTGCTTCCGCTTGCTGTTGAGTTGGACTGGCCTGGATGCTGGCCAGGAGCCCAAGTGGACTTGGTGCTTCTCTTTGACAGCCAGGATTGAAAAGCCCAGTCAAGTGGGCAGAGCACGAGGGTGAGATTTAGGAGACCTGGATGTCCTCACTTTGCCGCCCAGGAACTGCTGTGTGACTTTCAGCAAGTGGGACAACCTTTCTGAACTATGTTTACACCAGCTATAAAATGGAGGTGTTGGATTGGCTGCCACAAGTGTCCTCCACCTCCACAATACCGTAACTGGAGCGGGTTTTCACTCCTTTTTCTTGTTAGCATAACTGTTGGAGCTATAGAGGGTTTGGAGTGGGGTGTGGGTTTCTGGGCCACAGATGTGTGAGGCTCCGCACTTAGCCAGCAGTGGCAACTCCTTATCACTGGTGCCCACGGCTTCATCTGTGCCCTGAAGATACTAATGCTGCGGTGACTGGTCAGATTAATGGTGATGCTTTCATGGGGCGCCGTAAGACATGTCCGCGAGGTATTTCACCCATACAATGGGAGGCAGTGTTCCAGTCTGTTGGAGACAGGAAAGGGAGGCTCAGTCCCTGCGAAGGAACTTTCCCGAGTTCACACAGCATTTCAGCACCGGGTGGCCTGGCTTCAGAGTTTCAGAGGGAGGGGTGGCCCTTCCTGTCGGTCCTGGGGGTCTCCTGGAGTCAGGACCCTTGGGAAACCCAAATCCACCAGGACGCTTGCATCAGGAGAACCTGACCACATGAGAAGCTGCCCTTTTCTGGTTCTCCTGCTTACCCTCGACTTGGGGTGTCGGCAAATTTCAGAGCTTGCCAAATCTGCATCTTCCTGGCCTGTTTAAAATGAATGTGTCAGCCCCATTCTGGACAGCAGCTGACACCTCTTCCCCCGTGCCAGCCAGGACAGTGTGGTTGGGCGTAACTCAGCCCCGGTTAAAAATGGAAAAAAGTACAAAGACATGTGTTCAAGGCCTGGTGACAGAATTTGAAAATGTGACACCAGCCTGTTAGTAATTTGTTTTCACAGAAACCTGATTCAACACTGAGCAGACAGGTGGGGCCAGGGCCTTGGGATCATCTCTGTGCTTGCCCAGGGACATCTGTATGTCTGGCCCAAAGCGGGGGCCTTGTGCTCTGCAGAGACTGGACATCAAAATTGAGCCATTATAAGCAGACCATCCTGGCCAGGCACGGTGGCTCACTCCGGTAATCCCAACACTTTGGGAGGCCAAGGTTGGTGGATCGCCTGAGGTCAGGAGTTCGAGACCAGCCCGGCCAACATGGTGAACCCTTGTCTCAACTAAAAATACAAAAATTAGGTGGGCGTGGTGGCAGGTGTCGGTAATCCCAGCTACTGAGGCAGGAGGCTGAGGCAGGAGGCAGGAGAATCACTTGATCCCCGGAGGCAGAGGCTGCAGCTACTCGGGAAGTAGAGGTGAGAGAATGGCTTGAACTCAGGAGGTGGAGGTTGCAGTGAGCCAAGATCGCACCATTGCACTCCAGCCTGGGCGACAAGAGGGAGACTTCGTCTCAAAAAAAAAAGGAAACACTGCCTTTGCTTCCCTGCCCTGGAACTGCTTCATTTTCCTTGGGGTTTCCGGACCATTTTGACCTCTCTCTGTGGCCAGCAATGGTGGGGAGGCGGGTGGATCTGGAGCCGGCATGGGCAGGCTCAGCATTCCAGCCCATTCTGGGGTGAGGTTGGCCTTGGGTGAGGACAGGGGTCACTGGGTCAGACATTCATTTTCTGGAGCCCAGGGCGGTGACGTGTCCATCAGGGAAGCACGCGCCTGTGCTGGGGGGTGCTCCCTGGACCAGCAGCGCCGGCCTCCCTGGGACCTTGTTCTGTGCAGATGTGTTGTCTCCCTCTCCCCCGACCTGCCTGATCAGAAGCTCTGGGTTTCCATCCCACTCCCCCACCACTGCTTTTACAAGTCCCCCCAGGGGATGACACGGGAGATGGTGGAGGCTGTCTATCAGTGGATAAGGTGGGGGCTGTCTATCAGTGGAGAAGGTGGGGGCTGTCTATCAGTGGAGAAGGTGGGGGCTGTCTGTCAGTGGAGATGGTGGGGGCTGTCTGTCAGTGGAGATGGTGGGGGCTGTCTGTCGGTGGAGATGGTGGGGGCTGTCTGTCGGTGGAGATGGTGGGGGCTGTCTGTCGGTGGAGATGGTGGGGGCTGTCTGTCGGTGGAGATGGTGGGGGCTGTCTGTCGGTGGAGAAGGTGGAAGCTTGTACTCAGAGCAGGGGATATTTAGACTTGAAGGGGCCAGGGAGGAAGGTACTGGTTCTACTAAGCCCCATGTTCACTGGGCAGCCACTAAGTTAGGGACCGTGTGTGTACCGAGTGGATTCCGACAAAGAAGCTGTCTCAGGAGCCCCAGCCAGCTGCAGAGGGGGGCCCAAGCTCCAAGGCTGGGTGTCAGGTTTGCCAGGTGCTGGCTCCGCTAGGGGCCGCAGGCTGCGCTGGGCGGGACTGGGCTGGGCTGGTACCTGTGCCCGGTGTCAGGCCAGCTGTAGTTGCAGCGGTCAGCTGCCGCTCTCTGGCCCTGTGCGAACTGCTGTGCCAGGTGCACCCTGGGGGACCAGGCTGCCTGGGCTTCCTGGAACTGGTGAAGCTGCCGCCACTTCCTCTATGCTCTCTCCAGCAGGCAATTCTGGGTAAACGATCTTCATTTGCCTATAAAGCTGCACAGCTCACAGGCCTTGGACCGTTTCTGCCCCAGCCCCAGCATTGGCCCTTTGGACAGACTCTGAAACCGTGCGCAGAACGCACCCTGTCATTACAAATGACTCCTGGAGGCAGTCCCCGGGGGCCTGGCAGGAGCACCTGTGTTTCTGTGGGGTCTGAAAATGACAGACCAATCGCTTGAACCCGGGAGGCGGAAGTTGCAGTGAGCCGAGATCGAGACATTGCCCTCCAGCCTGGGCAACAAGAGCAAAACTCCATCTCAAAAAAAAAAAAAAAAATCTTCACAAATATAATTTGTAATGGCTGCAGAAAATTTCAGCTCTGAATGTACTGCATCCTAATCAGTTTCCTATTGTTGAGCATTAGTATAGTTTCCAGGTGTTTTGTTTTTGTTTTGCTATTAATAAGTAAAACTGAGATGAATACTTCTGTATCAATCTTGATCCTTATTTTAGATAATTTCCATTTCATTCCTCCCATTTCTTGAGTGCTTCCTATGGTCAGGTGCTGTGCTGTGTGCTGAGTATGGAGGAGGTAGGCTGAGATAGATGTGACCTTTGCTCTTGCAAAGCTGATATACTAAGGGTTGGACAGATGCTAAATGTGCAAAGAAACCCAATACTTGCAGATGGTGCTGGGTACTACCAAGGAAAGAAATAGGGTATATGACAGAGTACCTGGAAAGGGCACTGGCCAGCTTTTATGGGCAGGGAGGTCAAAGCAAACCTGTCTGGAGATGAGACAGGCCAGGAAAATCAGGGCAGGGGCCAGAGTAGGGCAAATGTGGTGCCTAGAGCCTCATTTTTTTTTTTAGACGGATTCTCGCCCTGTTGCCCAGGCTGGAGTGCAATGGCAGGATCTCGGCCCACTGCAACCTCTGCCTCCCAGGTTCAAGCAATTCTCCTGCCCCAGCTTCCTGAGTAGCTGGGATTACAGTACAGCCTCAAATTTAAGGAGGGACTCACTCACAGGATTGTGCAAATGCAAAGTTGGCTTTTGCATGACCCTGGGAGTAGGTGCCTCCTTAAATTTTGCACCCTCAGCAACTCCATCACCTGTCACTTTGCTAGTCCCAACCCTGATGGGAACAAATGCAGGGAAGGCATTCCAGATGGCGGGAACAGCAAGTACAAAAATCCAGAGGCCAGAAAGGCCTGGTGTGTTTCAGGAACAGAAACTCGGCTCCCATGACTGAAATGGAGTAGGGAAATCCTAATGGAGCCAGAGAGGCAGAACCACCAACAGGAAGAAGAAAAAAATGTTGGAAGTTATGAGAGTTGCTCACGTTTGATTCATTTGATTTATTTTATTGAAATGGAGTCTCACTCTGTTGCCCAGGCTGGAGTGTAGTGGCACGATCTAGGCTCACTGCAACCTCCACCTCCTAGGCTTAAGTGATTCTCTCATCTCAGCCTCCCAAAGTGCTGGGATTACAGGCGTGAGCCACCATGCCCCACCTGAAGCAATTTCTTTGTTGTCTTTTTTTTTTTTAACTTCTCTCATAGAAATAATTAACCCTCAAAAACACTCAGTGTTGACAAAGGGTGGTGTGAGGACACAGAAAGTATCACACTATCATTGGCAGAAACTTCCTGGAAAGCAACTTAACAGTCTGTATCCAAAGACTTAAAATCATTAACAGCCTTTTCCCCAATAACTCCACTTCTCGGAATCTATCCTAAGGAAATCTGCCACAGCCAGAGTGATTTTTTCCGTCCCCTTAAGAAATGGTCTCATCCTGTTGCCCAGGCTGGAGTGCAGAGGCACCATTATGGCTCACCACAGCCTGAAACTCGTGGGCTCAAGCGATTCTCCCACCTCAGCCTCCCAAGTAATTGGGATCACAGGCATGCCTCCACATCCATATGCCTAGTTGGATAATATTTTGACCAATAAAGAAAAAGAGGGCCAGGCGCGGTGGCTCACGCCTGTAATCCCATCACTTTGGGAGGCCGAGGCGGGCGGATCACGAGGTCAGGAGATTGAGACCATCCTGGCTAACACGGTGAAACCCCGTCTCCACTAAAAATACAAAAAAACAAAATTAGCCGGGCTTGGTGGCGGGCGCCTGTAATCCCAGCTACTCGGGAGGCTGAGGCGGGAGAATGGCTTAAACCCGGGAGGCAGAGCTTGCAGTGAGCCGAGATTGCGCCACTGCACTCTAGCCTGGGCGACAGAGCGAGACTCCTTCTCAAAAAATAATAATAATAAAATAAAAAAATAAAAAAGAAAAAGAAAGGTAGTACCAGAGATTGTGTCCAGTTGCTCAAGCAATTTCTAACTTGTCTAATTTTAAAAATTTTTAAATTTTTATACAAAATTAGCCGGGCATGGTGGCATGTGTCTGTAATCTTAGCTACTTGGGAGGCTGAGGCAGGAGACTCACTTGAACCTGGAAGGCAGAGGTTGCAGTGAGCTGAAATCACACCATTGCACTCCAGCCTGGGCCACAAGAGTGAAACTCCGTCTGAAAAAAAAAATTTAATATTTTTTTTGTAGAGATGGGGGTCTCACTATGTTGCTCAGGCTGGCCTATAACTCCCAGGCTCAAGGATCTTCCAGTCTCAGCCTCCCATCACTGGAATTACAGGCATGAATCACTTCATCTAAATGATTTTTTTTTTTTTTTTTGAGACAGTCTTGCTCTGTCACCCAGGCCGGAGTTCAGTGGCACGATCTCGGCTCACTACAACCTCTGGCTCCTGGGTTCAAGCAATCCTCATGCCTCAGCTTCCCCAAATAGCTGGGACTACAGGCGTGCGCCACCATGCCTGGTTAATTTTTGTATTTTTTTGTAGAGACGGGGTTTCACCATATTTGTCAGGCTGGTCTCTTGACCTCAAGTGATCCACCCACCTCGGCCTCCCAAAGTGCTGGGATTACAGGAGTCAGCCATCCATGGTGCCCCGCGTTTTCTCTTTCTTCTTCTCCCTCCCTCCCTACCCTCCGCAGCCCAGCCTGGAGTGCAGTGGCAGGATCATAGGTCACTGCAGCCTCCACCCGCTGGACTCAAGTCATCCTCCTGCCTCACCCTCCTGAGTTCCTGGGACCACAGGCACGCGCTACCACGCCGGGTAATTTTTGTAATTTTTGTAGTCCCCATCATTTAGAACTGGCAAGATCCTCCCTTAGTGAGGGATTGGTGGCCATAAGCAAGGAGCCCAAGGTGGAGGGGATATGCATGTGTGTGGAGGTGTCAACTCCTCGTAATCTTCAAGTACTTTTGGTAACAATTTTTAATTGCACAAGCGATATATAAAGACGTTTTCTTTGCAACATAAAATGATAGGTTAAGACTCCTTATGCAGATAAGGTTTAGGCACTTGTTTAAGGAGCATCCTGGCCCACCTTTTAAAAAATGTGTATGCATTCACGTTATGCATCAGATGCTTTAGGGAATTTTTTTCCCTGGGGCATGGGGCATGTCATGGGGTAGACAGTCAGGTACGTCTCCTCTACCCAGCTGATTCTCTTTTTTTTTGGAGATGGAGTCTTGCTCTGTCGCCCAGGCTGGAGTGCAGTGGAGCGATCTCTGCTCACTGGGAGCTCCGCCTCCCGGGTTTACGCTATTCTCCTGCCTCAGCCTCCGGAGTAGCTGGGACTACAGGCGCCCGCCACCACGCCCGGCTAATTTTTTGTATTTTTAGTAGAGACGGGGTTTCACTGTGTTAGCCAGGATGGTCTCGATCTCCTGACCTCGAGATCTGCCCGCCTCGGCCTCCCAAAGTGCTGGGATTACAGGTGTGATCCACCGCGCCCGGCCTTCTCTCTTTCTTTTCTCCTTTTCTTTCCTTTCCTCCCTCCTTTCCTTCCTTCCTCCCTCCCTCCTTCCCTCCCTCCCTCGTTTCCTTCCTTCCTTCCTTTTTCTTCCCTCCCTGCTTTCTCTCTCTCTCTCTCTTATATTTTTTTGAGACAGAGTTTCACTCTTGTTCTCCAGGCTGGACTGCAATGGTCTGATCTTGGCTCACTGCAACCTCGGCCTATTGGGTTCAAGCGATTCCCCTGCCTCAGCCTCCCAAGTAGCTGGGATTACAGGCGCCCTCCACCATGCCCGGCTAATTTTTGTATTTTTAGTAGAGGCGGGGTTTCTCCATGTTGGCCAGGCTGGTCTGGAACTCCTCACCTCAGATGATCCGCCCACCTCGGCCTCCCAAAGTGCTGGGATTACAGGCGTGACCCACCGCGCCTAGCCCCCAGCTTCTTTCACCAGCAGAAGGCGGGCAAGCCTCAGGGTGAGAGGACTTCAAAGCACATTTCACATTGCAGAGGACAGGGTTTGGTGGTCGTGGGTACTCCCTTCCCTTCCATCGTTTAGTTTTTTTCATTGGGAAGAAATGGTAAAAGGTGCTAGGACTCGATGGGCACATTTCAGGTGGAGGTTGGGAAGGTGGATATCCACCTGTCGATCTGACTATTTTCACTTTCCACCCCGCCCCGTAGAAAGTGGGAAAACTGGCACACGTGAATCCAAGGGCGCCCCTGTGTGCGCGCGCACCCCAGGGCAACAGCCCGCCCCCCCCCCCCACCCCCCACCGCAGGTCCTTGATTGGACGCCTGTTTACACCTGACTGCCTGGCCCTCCGGTGCTTTCCGGGAAGCATTTGGGAGAAAAGTGTGTGGCCGCAGTAGTGGAGATCCCCTGTCTTAGGATTCGTCACCGCTACGCCCAGACCTCTTCGCCGTCCAAGAGCCTGGGGCCGTGGGGGGCGGGGCGGCCTGCTATCGGCCCCGCCCCGCCGACAGGACCCGCCTCTCTCCGCAGGCACGGCGGGGCCGACCCCGCCTCTCGCTCCCAGCATGCCGTGCGACAGCGGCGGCGCGGCGAGCGGAGCCGGGAGGCGGGGAAGCAGTGGCCGTGTGAGCGTGAGGAGCTGCCGCCACCGCCTGTTCCTCGTCGTCCTCCTCCTCGGGGGCCCCGGCGACGTGGGCCGCGCAGGGCCCTGGAAGAGACGTCGCCTCCCCTTCATCCGCCTCTCTCTCACCGCGCCGCTCCCGCCTCCTCGTCCTGTGCTGCGGGCTCAGGCGGAACCCGGAACGGTCGTCCTCTTCCCCCGCCCGCCGCCGCCTCCTCCTCCTCCTCCTTCTCGGCTTCCTTCTCAGCCCCGGGCCGGAGCGGGGTGTTGGCGGCGGCCGGTTCGGGTGGCGACTCGCGCTTCTCTGGGCGGCGGCGCTTGGCCATATCGTGTCGGGGAAGGTAATGAGCCGCAGAGCCCCGGGGTCTCGGCTGAGCGGCGGCGGCGGCGGCGGCGGCACCAACGGCACCAACTATTCGCGGAGCTGGAATGACTGGCAACCCAGGTGGGTGACCGGCCCGGGACCCCGCCCCGACCTCCCGGGCTCCGCCTCGGGCGGGCGGAGGCCTAGGGCCGCGGGGCTGGGAGGCGCGGCCTAGGCCCTCCACCCCCGGGAGCCGGGCGCGGCTTCCTGGGTCTCCTCCGCCCCGGCTGGGGGAGGAAGGCCGCGGGGAGGCGAGGCCTAAGTGCCTCTCCCCTCCCTGCTTGTTCAGCCCGGGGCTGAAGCCGAGACCCGGGGCTCCCGGCGGTGGCACTGGCCTAGGGTCGGGACCAGGAGGTGAGAAAGAGGCGGGGGTGGGGGGGCGGGGGGCATTCCACTTACCGCTTCCCCCTGACCCCGAGTTGGGAGATTCTGAGAGTACAGGACCCTCCCTGTTACTCATTCACTTTCTCGGTTCCCCAGTCTTTCAGCCGCCACGTGAGAGCTCTTCTAACCTCTGTTCCTTTCTGTGACCCCCACGTGGTAATATTGAAAAAACCAAAACAAAACTCCAGCTAAGGCATTGCTCTGACTTTAGGCAGAACATTCATTAGTGGAGCGTGAGATGAGATTGTGTGACTGTTGATGGGATCGACCTACTCTGGTCTTGGGCGATGGAAGTTTTCCCTAAGTGCAAGGCCGGTTACTCTGGTGAATCGTAATTCATACCTGGACACTTGAGTGAACTCTGGGCACCCACTTAGAAGTCTAGAGAATTTCCTCTTTTATGGAGGATTTGATGTCAGACCGTTTTGGGGCTTAGTTAGATTTGAATATATTAGGAACATTAACTTTTTAAATAAATGTAATTTCCTGTCTTTTTGATCAATGGGGGGAGGGCAGCTGTGCCTAATTTAGGATTGATTTATTCTAACCTCTCTTACTAAATAAATGCTTGTATTCAGAGTCTGTTTGGAATTTAACCCAATGCTTAGAACTCCTTAAATATACAGAAATATATTTTAGGGGTAATTGATTCATGGAACTCTCCTACTTTGGAGCACAATTGTATTATAATTGTCCGGAAACTGGCCAGATAATGTAGAACGCACAAGTTGTTGAGAAGCCCTTTTGTTTCCTGATAGTTACATGTAATTCCAGCAGTATTTGGAAATAATTTGCTAAGATGTTAGAATGTAACATTTGAAGACTTGTTAGAAAAATCAATAAAATTATCTTTGGCTAATGGGTAGTACACATCTTAGTCTGTTTAATATGCCTTTCCAAAAAAAACTGTGTCTGTTGAGAATTGGTGTATATAACTAGATGACTTTAATAATTAGTGCCTGAGTCTAGAATTGAGATGTTTAGTCGTAAAAAAAAATATTGTTCGATAAACAGCGTTGACTTGTCTTGTACCACTTAAGAGTTTGTGAGTGCTTTAAATAAAATTAGTTGATTAAGTATTTTTTTTCCTATGATTGACATGCTTAGTTTTGCCTTTTTATTGAAATGTGTGAAATTTGATTTTCTGGCATCTAACAAATTAGGTGGTAAATGAATGACAATGGATTTTCTATTATTTTTCAGTATTGTGATCAGTATAAGTATACAAGAGAATTTAGTAACCTTTTAGAAGAATAAAGTGCCCTTCCCAAATAGTCCTACAGCTTTTGGAAAAGTGTAAATTGTAGTTTGTAGTTCTAAATAAATAGAGAAGAGTCGCAGCCACGTGCTAGGGCCAGCTGACTTCATTGCTGACAGGTATGAAGCCAAATGGCTTATGTAGTTATGGAATATGTACATGAGCTATTAATAAATATTATCCATGTTGTTTCTTTCAAGTGCTTTATTTCTTGGCTCTGGGGAGGGGCGATGGGGGAAGGGAGGAGCTTACAAGAAAGCTTGCAAGGTTTCTTTGAAGCTGTGCTTTTTGTAGGAAAGTTTCAGGATGTAACGCCTTGGTAGACGATACTGTGATACATTTGGTTACAGGCAATAACAGTTTGTTAGGATGTTGGAAAAATTTGATTTTCTCCTGTTGTAGAGGGAACAGGGAAGTGTGGACATACCCCATAGCATAACTTGATTTGTTGCTAAGATTGTCATAGCTGATTTGTTAGTCAATAAAAATACCTGGGGTGTTTGCCAAGTCATAAATTTTTATTAGTTAAATTTGAGGTGATTCTGTCCCCTATTCAGAAAGATGACAGACTCCAGGTAACTGACGGAACAGATCTTGATCTTGCTTCTTGCTTAAATGAAGGTTTAGAACATCTTCAGATGCAGGCACATTTATTATTGTTCATCTGAATAATTTTGGTGAAAATTTTTTTGCCTCTTATGTACCATTTTGTCCCTGGTGTTTTGGTTCTGTTTTCCTTGATGTAGGCTTTTTTTTTTTTTTTTTTTTTGTCTTCCTGAGATGGAGTCTTGCTCTGTCTCCCAGGCTGGAGTGCAGTGGTGTAATCTCGACTCACTGCAGCCCCTGCCTCCCGGTTACAGGGAAAAATTCTCCTGCCTCAGCCTCCTGAGTAGCTGGGATTACAGGCGTCCAGCTAATTTTTGTATTTTTAGTAGAGACGAGATTCCACCATGTTGGCCGGCCTGTTCTCGGACTCCTGACTCAGGTGATCCGCCTGCTTTGGCCTCCCAAAGTGCTGGGATTACAGGTGTAAGTCATCGCACTCAGCCGATTTAGGCTTTTGAAAAAGCAATACTTGTTGATTTCTTTTAGTGTTAGTTTGCCAGTTGGTGTGGAAAATGACTGTTGAGACAATTTTGACCACACATGATACTTCACACATACTGACAGGAAGTGTTCCAGGTGGCTGAATATGTGAATGTCATATGGCAAGAGAGCAAACCCGTGTTCCATAGAAGCATACCTCCAACAGTAAGCATTTATATGGCACTGGCTTATAGTCTTCCTTTTCATTCACTGTGCTCTCAGTCAACTCTTCTGTCAATTTTTTTGAGACGGTCTTGCTGTGTCACCCAGGCTGGAGTGCAGCGGCACAGATACTTGGCTTACTGCAGTCTCGACCTCCCAGGCTCAAGCCTCCTGCCTCAGCATCCACAAGTAGCTGGGGCTACAGGCGCTTGCCAACAGCCCGGCTCATTTTTGTATTTTTTGTAGAGATGGG